>NC_000018.10:11510249-11810299 GCF_000001405.40 Homo sapiens
AAGTACGTCTCATAAGATTTCATTTATATTAGTATCTAGAAAATTCCTGCTGCTATATAGTGACAAGAAGCACATCAACGGTTGCTGTGGGGGGGAGACAGGGAGATAAGTGAGATGGGTTACCAAGGGGGATGAGGAAACTACTGAGAGTGGTGGAAATGTTCCTTATCTTGATTGTGGTGACTGCTTCTTGAGTGTACACATTTGTCAAAAGAGTTCACTTCAAATCCGTGTATTTTGTATGTCAATACACCTCAAGTTATTTTAAGTCACCTTATCAATGAGGGCTTCTCTGAATAACCCCCTCACTTAAAATTACAATATTGCCCACCTACCCCACCTATCTCTTCCTTAATTTTTCTCCATGGATTTTATCACTTTCCAATATAACGTATGTTATTTACTTGTTTTGTTTATATCTGCCTCCTGCCCATGCCACTGAACTGTGAGCTTCCTGAGGGTAGAGGTTGTTTTCTGTTTTCTTGCGTGATGTGTCCCTAGCAACTAGAATAGAACCTCAGTGAAGGAGTGAATGATGAAGGCTTCTTTGCCTCTCTAGCCTCCCACGAGCTCTCTCAGATCCTTTTATTTATTTATTTATTTATTTATTTATTTATTTTGAGACGGAGTCTTGCTCTGTGGCCCAGGCTGGAGTGCAGTGGCGAGATCTCGGCTCACTGCAAGCTCCGCCTCCCGGGTTCACGCCATTCTCCTGCCTCAGCCTCCCGAGTAGCTGGGACTACAGGCACCCGCCACCACGCCCAGCTAATTTTTTGTATTTTTAGTAGAGACGGGGTTTCACCGTGTTAGCCAGGATGGTCTCGATCTCCTGACCTTGTGATCTGCCTGCCTTGGCCTCCCAAAGTACTGGGATTACAGGTGTGAGCCACCACGCCCGGCCCAGATCCTTGTGTTTTTTGTAACACAGATTGAGTTCTCATGCCTAAACACATAAGGTAATAGAAAGCAGGAAATATACGTGTATTCTGTTGATGATTCTCTATTAATTATGGGAGTCATTCAGCCTTTCTGGGTTTCAATTTCCTCATTTATAGAAAGAGAAATAGATGATCTCTATGGTCTAAATGTTTGTTATTTATAATGTACCCTTCTCAAAATTAACCTGCAGATTCATCAAAAGTATGAGACTTAGTAACTTTTAGCATATACATATACACAGTAGATTTATATGAACTGACTTGGAAAAATATACATGTCAAAACTTAAGTAAAAAGAGATGCTGTCAAATGATATGCATAGTATGATCCAACATACTAAAATACTATAAAACTAGATCTTCGCATATATGTCCAGTGGGACACGGAGGCCTAGGGAACAGGTGGGGTGATGGCTGTTCAACTGCCAGCTGTGGTTACTTTCAGGATCAGAGGGAAAGAAAAGAGAGTTTCACTTTTTACTTCGCATGCTTCAAAACAAGAGAAGTGAAACCATTATGAAAGAGGTATTTTTTGTATTTATGTCTTTTTCTAAATTTTATACATTTCTAATTGTATACATAAAAGTGTTTTTAAAAAGCATTTTTAATTAAAACTCTTACTCCTGACCTCAAATATCCACTTCTACCAGGAAAACCTCTGTAACTTAGACTGCAGAATGCGAAGCTGTTGTTATTTTTCTGGGCCTGCAAATCACACTGAAACTAACGGCGTTCCAAATCTGTGTCAAGCTCACTGCTGAGTTGCATTTAGCATGTTCCTTAAAGTGTCCTTACTCTATAGTAGAGATAAGTTTCCTCATCCTGCAGAAAAGATATAATTTCTGTGCTAAAGTGGACAAGACAGAGAGAAAAAGAGAGTCACTGGAGAAGAGAAGAATGGGAAAGGTCCTGATCTGTGATCTCGATAGCAAAGATTTCCCATTTTTTATGCCTCAGTGGTAACTATCAATGTCTGTCCTAGATCTACCAGGGACCGAATAGCAATTGTGTTGCCATAACAAAATAGCAGAGTGGACCAGATAACAGAATGGCCAACAGCTTGAGGCAGCCCCAGCGAGGCCCAGCTAGACTAAGGGAGCTGTGACATTATGAATGCATCTTGGGGCAAGTCCATAGCAAAATGGTTTTCCCTTATCTTATCGGTTTTCCCTTGCCAGGAAAGGAACCAGGCTTGCAAAACTTAGCATATCACATAACCTTACAGGGACTGGCACAGAAACACATTCTCCCAGCACACTGTTAAAAGCAGGACACTCCCCATCTTTATTACATTCTACACAGCAGTGTGGCTGATTTTATTTCACAAGGGAAGAACAGGTTGTTGAAACAACCAAGTCCAAGTATTTTTCTCAGTTGCATTCGGTTTCATTAGGTAATTTTTAGCATGGTGCATCCTCCCTTTCTAGCTGGCTTTTTTTTTTTTTCTAAAGGAAATGAGAAGATTACACTCCTAAAATTCCAGACAGGTCCACCATGAAAATTTAGCACAACAATACCAACTTTCCTCACGATGGGATTGTTCTAGAAGGAGGTTCATGACTATCACACAAGCTTCTAAATTCTGAGGTTGCCTCCCTCCTGTCCTGCTGACTGGCACTTGCTTTCCCATTTCTAGGGTTGCAGCTGCCACCATGTGGAAATGGAGTGTGCAGGTATGAGAGGCACTGATCCAAAAGGTTTAATATTCCAAATCTGTGTCAAGCTCACTGCTGAGCTGCATTTAGCACGTTCCCTAAAGTGTCCTTACTCCATAGTAAAGATAAGTTTCCTTATCCCACGGAAAAGATATAATTTCTGTGCTAAAGTGGACAAGACAGAGAAAAAGAGAGTCACTAGAGAATAGAAGAATGGGAAAGGTCCTGATCTGTGACCTCAATAGCAAAGATTTCCCATTTTTTATGATTCAGTGGTAACTATCAATGTCTTTCCTAGATCTACTAGGGACCGAATAGCAATTGTGTTGCCATAACAAAATAATCCATCTTTCAGGAGTTATATTTTCAGTGGCAGTCCAGAGATACAGCATTAATTCCAGCCGAATCTAACAGCAACAAGGGGAGGGACGTTTATAACACTAGACCTTTGTTACATGCATATGGCTTGTGAAGCAGTCACACTTCATCAACAGGTGAAAGCAAATACCTTCGTTCATGCAATCAGCATCTTTAGTCACATAGCATCCCCAAAACTAGATAACACTAATGTTGATTTGAGACATCTTAAATATTGACATACAATTTGGATACAAATTGTTTGCCATCTACATGTCTAAACAAGAAAATAAATTAGCATTCTTTCTCCAGTCCTCTATAGACAATAGTTATCTAGATATCTCGAATTACCTCCTTTTTCTAATTCATTCAGTCCTTCAACAGAAAATTAGAATAACCTTTCAAGCTGTAAAAAAGAACCAATATTCTAATAGTTATTATTTGTGTCTATGAGTTTATGCTTACAGTTGCATCTTATGGTACCTAAGAGATCATACTGAAAAAAAAAGTGTCTCTAAAAGATTAGTAAAAGCACAGGGAGTTTAATAAAGTTTGTTGCACCACTTCTGAAATGGGATCAGCAAACATTTATTAAACTGCTATGTACTTAGAGAGTACATATTAGCTGTTATTGTCCTTAAGAAAGAGTTCTGGCAGCATTTAATAATATTTGTTGTATTATACTTCATTTCCTCTAAAACATTTTGTGAATGCAAACATTGATTAGAAAATAAAGAGACATGTTTGTTACCTCTGTCTTTCCAAATATATTTTTATCCTTTTTTCCCACATTTCATCTACCAGTTGCAATCATCTCATACACATCTTTAATTATTCCTTAGTCCTGACACTCAAATTTCCACTTCAATGGGGCCTTGTCTGCCAAAAAAAATATTCTATCACTGTTTTTATTCAGAGATTTTTTTGTCTTTGAAAGCTGGAATATAAACTTGCATGAGAAAAAGATTCTTCCTTCACATGAGAATGATCACAAACCCTCAGCACCCACCGACAGGGTGAAGGAAACTCAAGAGGACTCACCTTAAGTGGAGACAGCAAATTAATTTATTTAGAATATGCCAGCTCTTTATCATTTGGCTAAACTATAGCCTCTCAAGGTTTGTTTCCCTGGGACTGAAGGATTCTCTAAAGAAAAATGACATCAAGAAAATTATCTCAAGAGGCAGAACTTTCAAACAGCAATGGGAGGCTTTCCAAGTGATGTTTTGGACTTTGATCTGCAGCAGAACTACCAAGCAGCATTACTCCCTCCTAACCAAGAAAGCCACCAATGCCTAACCAATGAATTCCATCTGCTGAAATGCTTGCAAATGCTTCTGCCTTCTGAGAAGGAAGAGATGGAGGAGGCCCCATTACATGATGGAAATTAGAGAGTCTTAGTACACAGTGGGCGGGGGGTCAAGAATGAGCTGAACAGAGACAGCAGAGTGACCAAATAGAGCACACAGCCTGGACGGCAAGGCCTGAATTCTCATCTCCATCAAGCTGGGGCTCTCTGACTTACAGGGCCCCATCTATAAAACAAAACTGTGTGAAATGATGCTGAAGTCTCTTCCTTCTCTAAAATTGTGCATCTTGAATTGCTCTCGATTCTGATCTTGGTATGTCTTTTAATGGACATGAAAAAATGCCTGTATCTGATGCAATGTTGTCTAAGTCAACGATTACAAAAATGTTAGAATTTTATGAGCAACCTGGGAAAATCCTAACACAGAGTAAAATAAAACCATGGCTTCAGACTTTTTAAAATGACAATAAATAAAAGATTAACAAAGAGATCAATAAAAGTGAGACTCAGTTTATTTGGGGTAAGCATCTGGAGCATGCCTTGGGATCCGGGTGGCCTGGGCAAAAGCAGGCCAGAGCCCCTTCCCTAAAAACACTCACAATCTACAAGGGAAGGCTGGTAGACATGGCCATCCCTCTGAGGATTCATGAAACAAAATTCGTTCCTGGCACTGTGCTCAGTACTTTGAAGGAACAAGATTGTTGATGTCCCTGCCCATGATCCATGTGGACAATGATCCAATTTGTCATAAGGACTTAAGGCTCTGCCCAGGGAAAACAAGAGGAAGCGAAGGAAACATTTTGAGTGCTGGTTTAAAGTGGCCACTGTAAGCCCTAATTGCGTTCCTGGGGAGTACCACCTGCCTAGCACAGCCCTGATGGCCTTATAAAGGGACAGGGCTGGAGCTGGACAACTCATGCACTGGATTAAAGGTGCCAAACAGGGGAAGAGGAAATGTGGCTAAGACATCAGAGTAGGAATAAACACAAAACCTTGAAGAACAGGAGAAAACCAGCCCAACACACTCAAGGATGCTGAGGACCATGAGGGTAATGTTCAGGAGGGAAAGATGGAGCTGATTATGGTGCTCTGGAAGCCAGCTGGGAGCCAAGAGAGAGGGTGAGGTAGGCCCCCCTGTGCTGCCTGGGAACCATCCTCAAGACAGAGCATTGAGTGGAAAGTCAGAGCTCAGAGCACTGACAACAGCATGCCATTTATTGCTTCTTTAGAGGGCGACACAGGACTGCGTGTGCATGTGTGGGAAAATATCTGAAAGACACAGCAAATTCTTCGTCATGATTGTCTTAGAAGTGGGGCTGTGGGAATCAGGTAGGAGGCAGAGATTAATGTTTTAATGACTGCATTTTTGAACCATTTGAAGGAAAAGAAGGAGAGAGAAAGAGAAAAAAAGAATAAGCGGCTGGGCGCAGTGGCTCTTGCCTTTATTCCCAGCACTTTGGGAGGCTGAGGTGGCCAGATCAGTTGAGGCCAGGAGTTCAAGACCAGCCTGACCAACATGGCAAACCCCACCTCTACTAAAAATGCAAAAATTATCCAGGCATGGTGGCGGGTGTCTGAAATCCCAGCTACTCAGTAGGCTGAGGCAGGATAATTGCCTGAACACGGGAGGCGCAGGTTGCAGTGAGCCGAGATCGCACCACTGCACACTCCAGCATGGGCAACAGAGGGAGACTCTGTCTAAAAAAAAAAAAAAAAAAAAAAAAAAGAAGAAGAAGAAGAAGAAAAAGAAGAAGAGAACTGGGCAAAGGAGTGTAGACTTGAAACAAGAGGCTATTGACTTTCTTCTTCCATTTCATAGGAAATGTTGGAGACTGGTCAATCAACATTGATCAGAAAGCTCTAGAAATAGGTAAAGAAATGTGAGAAAAGGGGAAAAAAAGAAAATTTGGGTTGACTGAATAGAGGAAGTAAAAATAGACAAAGTCTATTATTTTCACATAAGAGAAATGATGACAGTCTTACACTATTGGTGCCCAAAGAAACTGCAATTTATCAAAAAAAAAAAAGAATTCCTCAAGAAAAGGGAAACAATAATATTGAAATTTTTATCAAAGCAAATTATTGTTTTGCTGCCTTTCCAGTTTTATAGGCCACATCATTTAAAATTCCAAAGAAAAAGGAGGAAGATTATTGAAATACCATCTATAAAGCAGATTTTACTTCTTGGAAGAAAATAT
Organism: Homo sapiens; assembly: GCF_000001405.40. Classification (NCBI taxonomy): domain Eukaryota; kingdom Metazoa; phylum Chordata; class Mammalia; order Primates; family Hominidae; genus Homo; species Homo sapiens. The sequence goes on from NC_000018.10 coordinate 11,516,706, forward strand.
ATGTACATACAAGTTATTGCCATAGTTTAAGCAGCCATTATCATTTTTAGACACAACCCTCCATCCATCTGAGTGATCCTGGAAGGACTCATGGAATAGTGAGACGGGGAGCGGTTCAACAGACCATCAACGGCAGGTCTGTCTTGTCCATTCCTCAACAAATGCTGAAGTGCCTCAGCTGCGGCCCCACGCTCAGGTTCCAGCCAAGGCTGACTTCACTGGAGCATGCTGCGCTCAGCAAAGACAGCGACAAGGATCCCATCATTCGACCACACAGCAATACTGGAGGAGGCAAGACCTAATTCATCTACAATACTTGGCCCACTGTTTTAATCACTGCGACAACCAAATAAAATCGTTAGGTATCTAATTGGTGACACTGGAAGTTCAGACAGCAGACATCCTAGGACTCCCAAGCTGTAGCAGCCATGACAGGAGAATTTCCCAACCCGCGTCTGAGCTCCAGACTCCCAGGCCAGGTGCCAGTGATTATCTTCAAAGCTGGAGGCCAGCTGAGAGGAAAAGTGGCCAGTTGGGCCGTTTGATTAAGTGTTAGTTGGAGAATTTTCCATGGAACATACATTTTGCAATGCAGTTAAGGAGGGAGGGGAAAAAAGTGTCTCTCTTGCAAATATTCTATGGGGAAAACAGCCTGTTGTATGAAGAATCCCGCTCCCCACAGGCTCACCCTAATAGACAAAATCTGAGCATCTACAGATGTGCATGAGGCATGGGCTCTGGTCTGTGCCAGATGGTGACTATGTTTTCCTGCCCTGGGAGAAGGCTGTCTGCATAAGACATCTCATTCAGCAATCTATTAGGACTTCAGAGGCTTTTAGGGGTGACAAGAGCCCACATAAGGATTTAAGAGAGTTAAAAACAGATGTCTGTCTCTTTTATTCCTGGCTCTGAGTCTTTATTGTGAGAAGGTTGCTTTATTGGCCATTTTTCTGTAGAGTTAATCTCCCATTAGAGTGGCTTAGAGCTACGGCCCAATGGGTCTGCCACCTATTTTTATAAATAAAGTTTTACCATAACATACACACTATCCTTACATTTGCATATCACCCATGGCCACTTCCATGCTACATTGCTAGAGTTGAATTATTGTGGCAGAGACTGCTAAGCTTAAGACATTTACTATCTGACCCTTTACAGAGGCCTGCCAACTCTAGACTACAGGCTAAGAGCAGGACTGGTAGGCTTCCACCCTATCACAGCATTCCCCCGCTCACAGCCTCTGCCCATGTTTCACCAGATGGATGAGGCGCTCCCTCTCAGAACGAAAGCAGCCCAGGCACAGTGTTTTGGAAGAATTCCAAATTGTCATCATGTTGCTTGGAAGGTGGCTGGTTTCTTCTGACCCACTCAGCAAAGGAACAGGACTGTACTGTGGGGGACCTACTCGATGCCCATGGCTTGATATAAAATGAGAATCCAGCAAAAGGTGCTGAGGGCTTTGGAGGCTGTGGGTGTGGCAGTCCCTGCATGAGCAGACTCACGTGGCCGCCCTCACAGGTGCAGACACAGTAGGGCCATGGGGTGCCCAGCATCAATGGGAAAGGCAAAAGAAATGAGCTTCTTTATCTCATCTACCCAACAATGACAGAGTCTGACTCATCAACAGGCAACTGCAGCCATACTTTGGGTGGGGGTCCTTAGGGAGCCAATAATTTTAAATTCAAAGTTTGGAGAGGAGGGAGCCTCTGGCTCCCAGGGAAAGCATCTCAGCGACTGACACTAAGAAACTTTCAGAGGCCACGAGCTGATCTTCGGTATCTGCTTGGACTTGGCCTGGAACACTGGGTTTGTCCAGCCCATGGGAGAACCAGAACTAAAGAGCTTGACCACCTCAGTGAAGGGACACAGAGGCCAGGCAGAAGTTTCTCTGCATGCTGTTCTACTCTCTGCCTAGCACTGACACTACAACTCCCAATTCTTCTGTATTAAAAGGAGCACCTGCATATATGCTAACTTTTCAGGAACAGCACACTGACATCTGGCCACTTATGTTTTTTCTGGAGCAAGATACAAGTCCCCTAATTAATTATGGATCAAACCATCAATGCCTAAAAGAGGTGAGTTTCATTCTCATAAAAGGAGCTCAGTTTTTTTAAAGGCTTTCATGTGAATTTTCAGAGCCTGGCAGCATCTTTCTGCTGTGCTTAATAGCGAAGGGTGAATGCTTCATTTTCTACCAAAACACGCCTTCCACGTGTGGGGATCTCCAACGGGCGTCTGGAGCTCTTGGCTGGAGAGGCTGCCTCTGCCCCAGTGCCAGGTGCGCTGGAGAAAACAGGCATGGGAGCACAGGAAGGATCACGGCTGTCGCACAGGAGGCATGGAGCTGACGGGACCTCCAGGGGCACAGGATGGGGTCAGGATAGGCGAGGACCTTTGGATGGCAGGAGATGGCAGAGCATTGAGAAAGAACAGATTCTGCGGAGCTGCGAGGTGAGAGCGAGGGTAGTGGGTTTGGGCTCTGCTATGCGAAGCCGGCTTTGGGTGTCCTTGCATTGCTGGGCCCTTGGGGGCAGGTTCTTGCACCTCTGTTGGCGGATGCGTGCCCTCTAGTGGCAATTTATGGCAGCCAATTCTGTCCTTAACACTGGGGGAGTTGTACATCCCATTCAGAATATGAAAGCTATGCGTTTATCTCCCCAAACCCACACTTCTGAAAATGCACACACAGTTTTGCTGAAAATATATAAATAAGAAGATCAATGAAAGGACAACTCCACCGACGAGACCTTGAAAAAAACACCACATGACTACAGACCCTTCCCGGGTGGCCATGGGGCAGGGCAGGTCGTCTACCCATTGGCCAACAGAATATTTTTTTAATGACACTTAATTTGCAGATGCATAAAAGTGTCTCTGTGAAAACAAAACCAAATTTCAAAGGGGCTCAAATCGCCTCAAATCTTGGTAGCAACGGAGCATGTTTTCAGCAATTAAAAAATGCCTTTCATTTTGGCAAATCCCCTATTTCCTTCCAACCAGTTCTGAAACTACTTTACCATAAAATAGCCCTAGAAATGTTTTTTTCTTCCAGGAAGGTAAATTCAGTTTTTAATGTAAAATAATTTTAGACCTCCCATTCAGACTCTTATATTCATGGTATGCTGTAATTTATTTATTTAAAATTTAAACCTGTTTAAGCTCTGATTTATTTTTTAATTTTTATTTAATATACACAACTTTTATTTTTGAGATGGAGTCCTGCTCTGTCACCAGGCTGGAGTGCAGTGGCATAATCTTGGCTAACTAGAACCTCAACTTCTCGGGTTCAAGCCATCCCCTGCCTCAGCCTCCTAAGTAGCTAGGATTACAGGCACACGTCACCACCCCTGGCTAATGTTTTGTATATTAGTAGAGACGGGGTTTCACCACGTTGGCCAGGATGGTCTCGATCTCCCAACCTCATGATCCTCCCGCCTTGGACTCCCAAAGTGCAGGGATTACAGATGTGAGCCACCGCATCCGGCCTATATACAACTTTTAAAAACACCAGCCAGCAATGCAATTTTTTCTCTTTAAAAAAAAAGAGATTGTTTTCAACCATTCTAAAAAATTTTTAAACTGTATGCAATGTGCACCCTAAAATTCCACCAGATAAGAGAGAAAGGGGAGATAAAATTTTAAATTTTAATCAACTGTAATTTTCAGAAAATAGTAAGATTATATATTAGAAAGAGGAGAAGCTGTCTTTATTTGCTAACCTTTATCTATGTACCATTTCCAACAGAACTTGAGGTCAAAAACCATGTTTTACCTCTTTAAAACCAGTGTTCATATGTACAAAATATGCAGTAAGGCAAGAATATGTGTGGACAACACAAAACACAACTGTATATTTATGTGCTTTAAAATGAATTAATGTCACTGCTCTCACCTTATGCAAAGCTGGAATAGGAAAAAGGAGAGTTTGCATACTGATCTCTCGACATGCCTATTTAGTATTGACAAGACTTCTCCTTAAACCCAGTCTGATTCCAAACCACAGCGTTATCCGAGGGGAACTCCTGGCTCAGGCATGATGAATCACCAGGCTGGAGTCCCGATTCTTGGGGTGGGTACTCTCCTGCTTGGTGCTTTCGTGCTTCTAAGTGGAAATGGCTTCTCCTACTATGGAAAAGGTCTACGTGATAAACAAGCAAAGAAAAACTATCTGTGATCATGGGCCCTAGAAATGAAACATGTTGCTCTTTTTATTTCTTTCATATATTACTTGTCCAGGTTCAATTCTTTCCAGTGGGGCTATTATTGTCTGAGGCTCTGAAAGTTGTACTCATAGGTCAATCAATGTGTATCAGTGACCTTCATCTCTGCAGCCTGTCAGTGCATACCAGTGACCTTCACACCCATCAGTGTGTACCAGTGACCTTCACATCTATCAGTGTATACAGTGACCTTCACACTTAGTGTGTACCAGTGACTTTCACCTTCATACCCATCAGTGTGTACCAGTGATACCTTCACACTCATTAAGGTGTACCAGTGACCTTCACTTTTATGCCTCATTACAGTGTAACAGTGACCCCCCTTCACACCACATGAGTGTGTACCAGTGACCTTCACACATATCGTTGTGTACCAGTGACGTTCACCTTCATGGCCATCAGTGTGTACCAGTGACCACCCCTTCACACCACATGAATGTGTACCAGAAACCTTCACACCCATCAGTGTGTACCAGTGACCTCCCCTTCACGCCCATCAGTGTGTACCGGTGACCTCCCCTTCACACCCATCACTGTGTACCAGTGACCTCCCCTTCACACCCATCACTGTGTACCGGTGACCTCCCCTTCACACCCGTCACTGTGTACCAGTGACCTCCCCTTCACACCCATCACTGTGTACCGGTGACCTCCCCTTCACACCCATCAGTGTGTACCGGTGACCTCCCCTTCACACCCATCAGTGTGTACCGGTGACCTCCCCTTCACACCCATCACTGTGTACCAGTGACCTCACCTTCACACCCATCAGTGTGTACCAGTGACCCTCACTTTCACAGCCATCAGTGTGTACCTTCACAGCCAACAGTGTGTACTGGTGACCCTCACCTTCATACCCATCAGTGTGTACCAGTGACCTTCACCTTCACAGCCATTAGTGTCTACCAGTGGCCCCCTCCCTGAGGCCTTCTCCGCAATTACTCTAGAGTACTCATTTTTGGGAGGATGCCTCAAACAGTTCACATTTAATACAACAGTCACACACAGGACACAAAAATCGTATCCTCCAGAATGCTTAGGACAATCTCCTTTCACCAAACACTTGCAGAACCATTTGCTTTTGATGAGTGAGACACGGCCATGAGCAATCTAGTAGACAGCTGAGTTGTGACCAAAAGAATTTCATCCCTCCTTCACTCATAATGAGACTTTGAAAGACGACCTCGCTGGCCATAAAGCTTAGTCTTGGGTTTTCACTTATTCCTCTGCAAAGTAGGAACACTCTGTTACTTCTAGAAGGATCTATTGATGATATGATAGCCATGTGATTCCATGTGAAGCACACAGCAGAAAGATGATACAACTAGGAAGATTCTAATTTAAGTGGTCCTCTACTGTCCTTTACTGCTTTCAGCGATCCATTGCCTTCCTGTCGCCTGTATACTGTATATGATTTTCCACCTTTTTTATACCATTTAACATTGGTTCTTGTACAATTCTTTTTTACTTACAAATACTGCAATGCGATTTTTCCTTTTGTTATTTATGTAACAATATAAAATAACATGTATATTTCCATAAGTATTCCTGTAATACTAATGCATTACCATAAACTATGTTCTTATTTTATTTTTGGTTATGAATCTCTTTAGGTGTTTTTTTTTTCTAGAGGCACCTCTTAAGGTAAGGTTGGGTGTACCCAACAGATGCCTAATGCCACACAGAGTTTTGCCAATCACAGCTCTTTATCCCCACTTCTTTTTGAACCAACGTTTTGAGGTTGCCAGCATTCCTAGCAATCATGACACACTTGACTCAATGATTCTTGCCTGAGAAAGTTTTCTGTTTTTTCTTCATTAAGTCAATGAGGGGAAAGATAAGTAAGCAGCTTCACATCCTTATATTTTGTCTTCTAACAGGAAAATAAATAGAGCCATTCGCCTTCATCTCCTTGAGCTAGCTGTCAGACTATATCGACTAATATGGAGTCCGTCTAGTTGTGTATGAGTCTGTGTACAATTGCATGTGTGTATTTGCAGCTTTGATCCGGAAGCCTTCTAAAAAAGAAACTGATGGTTGGCTGCCATCAACACATTTCCTTTCCTCCAGTTCTGTATGCAACCAAGCCTGTGTGTCAAGGGTTCCCCTAAGTGTGGAGCTCCAGTTCCAGCATCAAAGACAAAGCATATCAGAAATGCATTTACATTTGTGTTCTCTTGAGTCTCGCCTTCCATCTAAAAGGCATGAGTCATGCCAATCCACACACACGCGTACGCTCCACACTCCCAACTCAGTCCCTTCTTGATTCTAGACAAGCAGGAAACCAGTCTGTAAGTGGCTCCCAGTCGTTGGGGAATTTCTTATCATGTTTATCTTATTAATAGAACAATTGTCCACAGCATTCCTGCCATATTCCTGGCCTGTGCCCATGTAGACCCTCATAGTGGAGCTCCTCTTCCCTCCTCACTTCTCACTCACTCCTCATATGGGATCATAGCTGCCAAATCCCCATGGCTAGACATTCACCTGGATTCCAGATCCCTGTGTTCATTAAGTGGAGTCTCAGAAGTACCTCCAGCCACATGTTCAAAGGGAGCGCAGATCTTCACAGGCTTATGTGTGTCTCCACCAGAGAATGGCACAGTTATCCTTCCAGATATGCAATCCGGAAAGTGGAGGCAATCCCTCAAAACTCCCTGTTACCCACCTGGCATAGTCAATTTGTCACCAGGTCTTGTAAATTTACATTCCCAGACAAATACAAAATCCATTTACTTTCTCCCTCTCTACCATCACCTCTCTAGTCCGAGCTGCAAGTATTACACATTTGCTCCTCTGAAAGGACCTAGGTCTGCCCAAATCCACCCCACCTTCTAAAATCTGCCATTGATACAGCCTAGTCTCTGTGCTGCACCTGCCCAAAGCCCCCCAGCTGCTCCCCATGGCTCTCCAGGTTGAAATCTTGCACCTGACCTCAAAGTCCTGCAATGACCTGGTGTGATTCACTCCCTTCCTGCCTCCAACTCACCCTCCTTTCCCCTCCTCCACGCCCTTGCTTTTTCCCACTTGATTTATCTTGTTAGCCACTATTAATCTGTCACTTCACAGCTCAAGATTCATAATAAACATCCTTCCTTCAGCCCTCTCAGGCTCTCACAACACCCTACAACGTCTCTCCCATGAAATTGAGCACAGTGGAGCCAAGTTCAATTTGCTCATCACTGTATGCCCAGCATCTAACACAGACTCTGGCACATAACTCTTGCATTACTAATATTTGTTGAAAAAATATTTTTGCATGAGCAAAATATAGAGGTCATTTAAAAAAATAGCTTTGCTAATGAGTCCAGGATAAGGAGGTGGTGGTATTGACGTCTCCTTTTTATGAATGTGCCCTACCACCCAATATACAGGCCAAAGAAAAACATTCTTTTTTGAATTTTCAAAAAAATTGCCTTGATTCTTCACTAAATGTCAGGCATTATGTGCATTATGCTGAGTGCTACATATGCACTATCTCATTGGATAAATCCAAGTTTACCAGCATTTTCAGGCATCAATCCGGGGGCTGAGCAGGAAAGCTGCACACTTTTATCTGTCATCACAGATTGTCACAATCACTCTGGGACAGGAGCCCTCAGTTTGTGGGTGATGAAAAGGAAGCTCAGAAAGTTTACAGGGTGCTGAGCTCACTCAGCCAGGTAAGTGGCAAAGCCCACATCTAATTCTTGATCATAGGCTCTAGTTCTAGCACGCACTCCAATGCCACAGTTGGTCAAAATAGTGGCAAATTATATCAAAAAGTGTGTCTCATGCTGCTCAACTGATGTGATCTAAAATGTTTTATCCCCAATTAGTGTTTTCAATAAGTATCTAGTATAAGACAAGAGTCCTTAATGAGCTCAGTAAAATAATTTAAGTACAAATATTCCCTTTACCTCCCCAGAAAAACTCGGCAACCTCGCCGGAGGCTTGGTCTGACTGGCCACCGCTGCCTTTGACCCTCTGCCATAAACTAGGAATTATAAGTTAAATCAGAGGTTATAAATGTTTCTAGAAAATTTACTTCCTGGGTTCAAACACTACATTTTAAAAGTCCTTTTCAACTTATCCAAAAATTGACAGAAGAATTATTTTTTCACTTTCTAGACTGCTAACTTGGCAATTTGTTCGCAATATGGAGTACAAAGAAACCAATTCAAAGGTTGTATTTATTCATGTCTGGTGCTGAAATTCCTTCGGTCAGGGTGGAGCGTGCTTTTTTTGCATCCTGAGTAGAGCTGAAATTTTTATATTTGTAAATGTTCATGTAAAAAATAATTCATAGCTTTAAAATCTAGAATGGCTCAAAAATGTCTGTGTATTGGCCAGGTGCGGTGACTCATGTCTGTAATGCCAGCACTTTGGGAAGCGGGAGGATTGCTTGCACCCAGGAGTTCGAGACCACCTGGGCAACACAGTAAAACACTTTCTCTACAAAAAAAAATTGTAAACTATCCAGGTGTGGTGGCACGTGCTTTAGTCTCAGCTACTTGGGAAGCTGAGGTGGGGGGATCCCTTGAACTCAAGAATTTGAGGCTGCAGTGAGCTATGATCACACCACTATACTCCAGCCTGGGCAACAAAGTGAGAATTCATCTCTAAAAAAAATTAAAATGTCTATGTACTTTTGTGATGTTTCATCAATTTTTAAACTAATAAATGGGAATAAATGCAGGGTTCAGGAGAAAACAGCATTTTCAAGAGGCTTCTTTAAAGGCTACAGTCTTATTGAAAACTTTAAAAAGAAGCCACAGTTGTCTATGGAAGGTGTGGGACTGAACAGAGCCATCCATCACTACTCTCTGCACTCTGAGTTAGAGAAATGTCACTTTCTCTGAATTCAAGTTCTGAGCCCAATCACTAAATTATGTATCCTATCAATAGTCCTCATTTTACAGTTTTTCTAAATCTTCTGATATGGGGCCTATACTCAAATCTCTGTCACTGTTTTTAATATTTGCTCTATTTGGGACTTCCTACAAATATCATCTCTGGCAAGGGAGCAAATAAACATGTTGTTCCAACATAAGACCTTTATCTTCTGCCCCTGGTTATACTTGCTACAGACATTTGGCTGAGCCACCTAGTTGATCAGAAGCCTCTCATTCTTTCAATCCTTGCTGCTAGAAGTCTTTCTAGAATTACCCTGCTTTCCTAAGTCCGGAATTAGTGCACAAACACTTCCTAACAATACTAATAAGCTTATTCCAAAAATTCATTTTTTTGAATTACTTAGAACTTCAACTACACTATGCAACGAAAACATTATTAGAAATTGTTGCTTTTCCAAACTAGTTCATAAAAGATCATTTTACTCATGAGAAATATATTAAATATAATTTATTCAGATAATACATCTTAATAAATGCTACCATGTGCAGTATCCATGCCAGGTCTTCCTCAAAGAAAAGACTCTTTTTTTCTTTTTCTTTTAAAGACAAGGTCTCATTCTGCTGCCCAGGCTGGAGTGCAGTGGCGTGATCATAGCTCACTGCAGCCTTGAACTCTTGGGCTCAAGAGATGCCTGGGGCTCAGCCTCCTAAATAGCTGGGACTACAGGCACGCACCACCATGCCCAGCTAATTTTTGTATTTTTTTGTACAGACAGAGTCTCAGTATGTTTTCCAGGCTGGTCTCCAACACCTGGCTTTAAGCACAGGGATTACAAGTGTGAGCCACTGTGCCCAGCCAAAAGAAAGGACTTGGTATAATACTTACCCTACACTTAATTTAGAAACTCTGAAAGGGGTGAACACAGCTCAAACATGAAAGGGGAATTTCAGCACAGTCAACCAATGCAGAACAGTCCCTGAGTCCTAATTTTCTGTTATTCTGAACTCAGATTCATTCAAAACTTTCCGTTCAATAAACACTCAGCACCTACCATGTGCCCTGATGCTGCTGTTGCCCTTTCTCTGATTGCTGTTGTTGGTAACAAGCCCACTTCAGAGCTGTGATCTCAGACCTCCCAGTCTGTGGTCTGTGCATAGTCCCAGCTGACTGCTCATTCCTGTCTCCAGGATATCATCCCACTGACCCAATCAATGTGTGTATAGGCCAGGGATGGTGGCTCACACCTGAGTCCCAGTGCTTTTGGAGGCCAAGGCAGGAGGATCTCTTGAGGACAGGAGTTGGAGGGTGCAGTGAGCTATGATTGAGCCACTGCATTCTAGCCTGGGCAACAGAGCAACACCTTGTCTCAAAAAAAAAAAAAAAAAAAAAAAAAGGGATGGGTATGTAGTAAATGCTACTAGACACCAATGAGCTTTCTCTTCAGAGCTGAGGCAGGCTTTCTCCTCCTGCCAGGATGTTCGCTGTTGATGGATCCCAGCTGTGCCCTCCCCAGGAGTGTCCTGGTTGAAGGAAGCTCTCTTGCTCATGGTCATGCCCCTTGCTGAACACAGGGACCTGTGAACACAGGACACAGGGGCTGCTCAAAATGGGAGCATAGAGACCGGGTGCCCAGGATTAAGTCTGGGCCATGGGAGCTCAGAGCCCCCTGAAGGAGCCAAGGACAGCTCACCTTCTCCTCTTATGGGTGCTGCTTCCCTCTCTTCTTATGGGTGCTGTTCTGGAGGGCACTAACCCCCAAAAATCCTGCATGCGAACATCTGCCTCTTAGTTCCTTCCCAGAAGAACTCAAACTAAGACATTTGGCACTGGGGATAGTCCAGGGAAGGTCACAGGAAGCTCACTCACCTTCCTCTGGCCAGCACTGACTGCCACCCTGGGGCACCCATGCCCCCTGGCAGGTTGCGGCCGGGAAACTACTGCAGATTTCACTGTGGTGCCTTTGGGCAGGTCAGGGTGAAGGAGTCCCATGCTGGGGGTGATAGCCCAGGCAGTCAGGAGGTTCTGGTGGAATAGTAGAATCATAAGGTCTGTGGAATGAAACTCTCTTCTGGAAGCCATCAATGCACTGCAGAAAGACAATTAAGGCCGCATTAAATGAACCTCCTATTTGATGTAAAATGTGAACACTACTGGGCCACCAAGGCAATGCAGAAAGAGACTTTCATCTCCTCCAGCAGGAGGGCCGGGACAGCCAAAGGTCACACCAGGACTTAATTTTGAAGGAAGCCAAAAAGAGGCTCAACCCTGGCAAGTCTAATGTCTCAAAGTCAAGGCCCTAAATGAAAAGAAGTGAAATCCTGAGATTGAGATAGGAATACCCGGGAACACTTTGAATCTGTCTCCTTCCCTGAGCCCTCAGGGTCTGCAGAAGTGGCCCTTCCTCCCTATGAATGACTCATGTTTCCACTAGCACAAGGTTGATGCAGAGGCCTCTGCCTTGTGGGACAATGTGTACTACTCTCAAAGCTCACCTCCAGATGCCATCCTGGCCAACAGGGTCGGTAATGAGGGTCAAACCATAACATAACTTAGCCAGGTAAATTCACGTCAGTCAGCTAAGGAAGTAAGGTAGATTAAAGATGGTGACAAACTCTTTGCTACTCTTCCCATTAAGAGCTAAATCTAATCTCTTTTGCTTGTATCTGGGCTGGTTTCATGACTTGTTTGGCCAACAGAAAATAGAAGAATAGGATTTCTGGGGCTAGGGCATAAGAAGCCTTCTAGTTTCTACCGGAGTCTCTTGTAACATACTGTCGGGTAACTGTGGGATGCCATATGAGCAGTCTGATCACCCACAGATCATCACACTGGAGAAGCCTTGCAGATGCCTGTCGAGACACCAGACTCATGAGTAAAGCTATCTGAGACCCTCCAGGCCAGCCCACTGTCTAGATAAACACCACCAAATGAACTCCAGTGATGTATGGAATAAGACTCACCTGGCCGAGCCTGGCTTGTATTCCTAACCCTGAAATATGTAAGCTATAATACAATTGTTGTGTTGAGCCACTACATTTGAAAATTATATGCTGAAGTTACTGCAGGTCACAGCCAACTTGCACCAGCAAAAGCCAGGAGACTCTGTAGGGGACTGGATATGCTGAGGGGGCTGCATCAGGATTGGTGGAGCATAAAGTTGGAAAAGCTCACTGAAATGAGAGCACTTTCCTCTAATAAAGAACTGAATATACAGCAAGGAGCATGGTAGGATGGTTCTTGAAAGCCTGGGTAGCAATGGCCCACATTAAATGAAGTTGAAATATCAGAACTGCTGAGGCAGAGAATGGAAGAACTCATAAAAGGCTTGCAGAGGTGAACATACAAGAGTAGATATTCTATGTAAGGCCTCAACATGGGTATTATTCAATATTTGTGGTGTGAATGCTTCACCCGCAACATGATGCCCTCACTCACGGAGTCCAACTAACTACTTGGTGACAAGCTGATTACATGGAGCCTTTCTATGCTGGAAGGGGCAGTGATTCGCACAGACAGGAATGAATACACTGTCCAAGTAAGGTTTAGGCTTTCTTCTGCCCACAGAGCCTCAGTCAGAACATCTGTCAGCTCTCATAGGGTTTGGCCATTAGACACAGTACTTCCTGCATTATTGCATCGGACCAACGCTCTGCTTTATAACAGAGGAGGTGGGAAGAGGATCTCCTGGTCCTGTCACACATCATACTACCCAATCGCATCCGACCTTTTAGACTGACAGAATGGTCTTCAAATGTGTAGATAAGCATCAACTTGGGCAAGATACCCTTTGATAGGTCTTTTTACATTGCTGGATTATGAAATTTAGATTGTCTAATAAGGTCTCTCAATAAAATACTCAACACAAAAATATCCTTCTCCACCCCACTTATTTTGAAACACACAATTTCTTTGGCCACTTTCCTAGACTTCAGTGACAGCCTGGGTCAGGGGCTGGTCACGAAACTGGGAGAGTCTTGTGTCACCTCTGCCGCTCTTCTTTATCTAATTGGGTAAACTTCAGTCAGTCTAGGAAAATATATTCAGTGTTTTAGCTGGAAATGTTTCCATTCCTGTACTTTATCCCTGATCCCGAGACACCCTATATAAAATAGGAGCTCCCACCTCTTCTGTGTCCTTAGCCTGCTTGATTTTCTTCTTAGCACTTGCTACTATACGATATGCCACATTCTCTCTCTCTCTCCCTCTCTCTCTCTCTCTCTCTCTGCATTTTACACACACACAGACACAAGACATAAAACTCAAGATGAGCAGAGATTGATTTTATGTATTGCTAAATTCTCAGCATTTCAAATGCTATCTGGCACGTGGTAGACAATATCTTTTGAATGAGTAAATGAATGAATGAGAACAAGATAGCTGTAGGACAAAGAGAAGAAGAGAACATTTGTAAATCAGGAACAGACTAGGAAAATGTAACTCTTCCATGTTAAAGGTAGATTTGGTTGTTTTCATGAGGGCTCACCACCTGCAAGCACTTTCTAGGATTCCATTTAGTAATCACTCTCTGACTCCACTTTCTTGTCAGGTCCAGCCTCTTACTTGCTGTCATTCATTCTTTCAACACTTGTGGAAGGTTCATTATGCAAAAGTCAGGATCATTTAGTGGAAAGGGTCAGACGGACTTAGCATCTGTGTGCCTTTGCTCAACTTAACCTCTCTGAGCCTTTTTTTCCTCATGTGTGGAGAAGGGAAATTATAAAATAGACAATATATATATAAAGCACCTAACCTGGCGTCTGGTCCACACAGGAACTCAATAAATGCCAGGCTCTTGGGAAAATGGATGTGCCTTGCTTTTGAGGACCCTACTGTCTGATGGGCAGAACAAATTAGCAAGCTCCCAATGCAAGGCAGCCAGCGGGAGGGTGCAGGTCAATGCAGAATACAAGGCAATGGGGAGAAGGCTTCCCGACGGAGACAGCTTTCTAGGTGATTATGAAGGATGTGATGAGTTTCACAGGTAGAAAAAGACATCCTCAGTTCAGGGCACACAGGGGAGGCCCAGGCTGTGCCCTGGAAACAGAAAGCCACCTGATGCTGTGGAGTGTGGTGGGGAGGAGGCAACGGCAGGCACTACCATTCCCAGCAAGGTTCCTGGGGACCTGCTCCCTGCCGTGGCCTGCGAAGGACATTTGGTTATCTGTGTCCTCTGGCTGGATGTGTTTGGCAAGTAAAGCCCTATTCCATTCTTCTTGGCATCCACACTCTAAAGGGGTGCCTTACACATGGCAGATGCTGAATGCTATTGGTTGGGTCATTTGAACCTATTCCCTAATAGGAATCATGTCTGGAACCTTCAGATGGGGCCAGGAGTACTGGTAAGGCCACTCCATGACTGGGTGAACTTGCCTGCTCATCTGACCTCCCGATCTACAATTTGTGCTGAGCGCTGGGAGAGGTCAGCCACAGTTTGAGCTCCTGGGTGGCAAACATGTTGGGTTCATGGACTGTTGCTTTGTTCTGGAGTTCTCTTGTGCCCTTATCTGTTCCCGTTAGTCCCAGTTACACTGTCTCTGGCATCTGTCTTTAGTCCAGTTGCACTGTCTTCAGCCTCTGATGTAGCCAGGCTGGCTCTGAACAGCCCTGGGACCTCTCAGTTTGTAGCACTCACAGCTGATACCAGAATTGACTTGCTAAACAACTTCATTATCAAATTGCCTTCCTATTATTTTCCTTTTTAAATGTTTACAAGAAGAAATCCAGTTAATCAAAAATTGGCATAACCAGCTGAGATTTTAGTGAATTTCCTGAACTAAAAAGGCAGTAAAGTGGCTAATTAAGAGCATGGGCTTTGGGGGTTGGCCAGGCCTGGGTACCAGTCCTTCCACTTTTGATGAGACTTTAAACAAATTACAATCATGCATCGCCTAACGACGGGGATGCCTTCTGAGAAATGCATCATTAGGCAATTTTGTCATTGTGTGAACATCACAGAGTGTACTTACACAAACAGATAGTAGAATCTACTACACACCTAGGCTATATGGTATTGCCTATTGCTCCTGGGCTACAAACCTGGGCAGTGTGTGACTGTACTGAGTACTACAGGCCACTGTAACATAATGGTAAGTATCTGGGCTTAAACATAGAAAAGGTACGGTATAAATATGGGAAAATAATATACCTGTAAAGGGTAATAACCATGAATGGAGCTTGCAAGACTGGTAGCTGCTCTGGGAGAGTCAGATAGTGAGCAGGGAGTGAGTGGGAAGGCCCAGGACATCATGTAAATGACTGCAGACCTTATGAACACTGTATACTTAGGCTACACTACATTTGTTTTTAAAATTTTCTTTCTTCAGTAATAAATTCACCCTACCTTACTGTAACAGTTTTACTTTATAAACTTTTCAATTTTTTTAAACTTGACTCTTTTGTAATGACACTTTGCTTAAAACACAAATACATTGTACAGCTGTACAAAAATATTTTTTTCTTTATATCCTTATTCTATAAACTTTTTTCTGTTTTAAAAATGTGTTACCTTTTTTTTTACTTTTTAACATTTTTTGTTAAAAACTAACAGACTAACACCACCGGGCCGGCCCTGCAGAGTTCCTACTCCCCCTTCCTGGCCCCTGGACTTGCTGCTGCTGCCACCGCTAGCACAATGCCAATACTGTACTGTGCATAATCGCACGTGCTGGATTTTATATGACTGGCAGCACAGTAGGTTAGTTTATATCAACAGCACCACAAACGAGTGAAGTAATGTGTCGCACTATGACCTTACCAAGGCTACGACATCGCTAATTCATAGGAATTTTTCAGCTCCATTATAATTTTATGGGACCATCTCATGGTAACCTCAAATCAAAAACATACAAAGGATAAGCAAAAAGTAAAAAGCAAAAAAATCACATCATATTAGAGAAAATCACTTTCACTAAGAGGAAGACAGGAAAAAAAAAAGGAAGAGAAGGCCACAATGCAACCAAAAAACAAACAAGATAGTAAGAGCCGGGAGTGCAGGGAGGTGTGGGGGGCGGGATTCGGTGGTGGCTATCCGGGGCCAGACAGCCCATGAATAGAGGCCAGGTTGGGTGCACTATCGGGGGCTACACAGCCTGTGGCAAGAAGGGGTTTGGGGCGATACCCATCGCAGGGTGGTGGGGTGGGTTCTGGGCACCATCGGGGGCTGCACTGCCGTCAGCGGGGGCTAGTTAGGGGCACTATCAGCTGCTGCATTGCCTGTGGCGGGGGTCGGGTTTGTTGCGCTATTGGGACTACACTGCTGACAGTGGGATACTGCTTAGGGGCGCTGTCAGGGGCCACACTGCCCGCGGTGGGGTGCAGGTTGGGTGCACTAACTGGGGCGTCATTCCCCACGGTTAGGGAAAGGTTGGGGTTGCTATCCGCTATCCGGGGCTGCTCCCCATCGTGGGGAGCGGATTGGGGGCCTTAAGGATCCGTGGCTGCACTATTCACTGTGGGGAGCAGGCTGTAGCGCTCTCTGAGACGTCACTGCTGGGGTGTCACTGCCTTCAGCGGGGGGCTGGTTAGGAGTCCTATCCATGGCTGCATGGGTCACCGCAGGGAGAGGGTTGGGGGCGCTATCCGGGGCTGCGCTGCCCACAGCAAGAGCAGGTTGGGGCGCTATCTGGTGCTGTAATGTCGGAGGCAGGGATGTGTTGGGGTGCTATGGGCTACTACACTGCGTGGCGAGGAGGTGGGGTGTTAGGGGCGCTATCGGGCTGCCCTGCCAACAGGGGCAGAGGTTGCAGCAACAGCAGTGGTCTCCAAGAAAGGAGGCTTCCTCCTCTCCCCAGACTCCAGACTCTAGAGGGCGACCTCCTCCTGCTCCTGCTCCAGTGGCACGCGTGCACAACGTTTCCACGGGAATCCTGGGTACGGCAGGGCCCCCACATCCGCCGTGATTCCCAGGCCTGCTTCCTCTCTCTCTGTGTTGCAGAGACCGGCTGGGACCCCTGAGCATGCTGGACACGGAGTAGCGGACACCACAGGGGGACAGGGCCCTGTGGGTGGAGGCATCAGGATCGGAAACAGCACTTGGGTGGGAGGGCTGGCTGGGTCTGAGTTCCTGCTGGTTCTGCTCCCCAAGGAGCGCAGCCCTGGTGGGCCCAGCAGTTCCTGTGGACTGGGGAGCCGGGCAATGTGGTGTTTCCAGTCCCCACTCTAGGCCCCAGTTCCTGGCCAGCTTGGGCCAAAAGGAGAGGCTGGACTTTGGTGGGTGGGTATGAGTGCCTTCATTGAAACCGGCCCCTGCCACCCAGTGGCCAGCATGACAAGGTGAGGCTCTAATGCTGCTACTCCCTGCATCCTCCTCTAGGATTTTCTGGCTTTGCCCACCCAGCTGTTACCAGCCAGGAGAAGGGTGAGTCACCTGCATGCTGCATGCTGGAGGCTGGAGCTTGCAGATAGCCTGCGGCTGCAACTCGCCTTGCTGGGGTTGGTGGCAGCTATGAGAACTACAGCGCCCAGGAGCGGTAGGAGGGCGGCGAGCTGCGGCCACAGCAAGGGCACGGCTGGGCAGTGGCCAGGTGGTAGGAACATTGTAGGGTGGGCCAGTGCATTGAGGGAAGCAGCCATGGTTGTATTGGCATTGGTGCTAGTGATGGCAGTGACAGCAAGTATGCAGGCCGGGAAGGGGGAGTAGGAGCGCTTCGGGGCCTGCCCTGCCAGGCCTTGGATGAGTAGGGTGCTTCGGGTGGGTAGGAAGCTTTGGGTGCTGTACCTCAGGCCTCAGTGGCAGCAGTGGAGGAACAGCCAGGGCAAGGAGGAGGAGTCCTCCTTCTCCTGCAGTCTCTGCAGGGCACCCTCCTCCTGCTGGCGCTTCAGCCAGGTGTGAGTAGCAGCATTATCTCACTTTTTTTTTTTTTCTGAGATGGGGAGTCTCGCTCTGTCACCTAGGCTGGAGTTCAGTGGCACGATCTCGGCTCACTGCAACCTCTGTCTCCTGGGTTCAAGTGATTCTCCTGCCTCAGCCTCTGGAGTAGCTGGGACTACAGGAGTGTGCCACAGCATCCAGCTAATTTTTGTATTTTTAGTAGAGACAGGGTTTCACCACGTTGGCCAGGCTGGTCACAAACTCCTGACCTCAGGTGATCCACCTGCTTCGGCATTATCTCTTAACAAAATTTAGGGGGTGACTGTGTATCTTTTTGCTTTTTTTGTTTGTTTGTTTGTTTGTTTATATTGGACTTACTCAAATTTCATGAATCAGGGAGGGGAAAAAAGGTATCATAATAGGTCTTCTAATTCCCTCACGTGTTCTTTTTCCTTCCTTCTAGTCTGTGTTTTCTTCTCCTTATCATCATCTTCTTGTTCCTCCTCCTCCTCTTGTTTCCTTTTTCCCAAGCAATGGCCTTAACAACAAACCAAAACTGAGTTTTAAGAATAAACTACTTGTTACTGTGTTGTATTTTAAAAATAGTCTGTCCATTACCATGTTTTAGAGATGAGGAAAAAAATTATTTGCGTAATTATTTAGTTACTTGAGTAGCTGTGCTTTCATGATCCTGTTAATGTGTTGGAAGTAGTTATTCAGGAACTTAATAAACAAAGCACAAATAAAATACTGGTAGCAAACAGCCATTTCATCTCTCTCACATAGTAGTCTGAAGACATGCAAGAGGCAGAGGGGTAATAAGTTCCAATTTATGAGATCATTAAGTGAACCATACTCCCTTCATATTATTTCTCTGCCACCATTTTCAGGAGTATTGTCATCTGCATGAGCAAACCTGGTTCATCACTACATATTTGCAACAGGAAAAGGAAGGGGAGGATCATGTATAACATTTTTAGGCCAAGATTCACAACCAAAAACAAGACTTTATTAATGTTGAGCCCTCTTTTATTCCTAGTATTACTACCTTTGTTATGAACCTTTTTCTTTTTCTTATTTTCATTTTCAGTGATTACTCTAGAAGTTTATGCATTTTATTGACTACTTTAAAAAATCTATATTGTATCGTATTTTTTAAGCCCACAGAAATGTGTAAGGCCTATAATTTTGACACTTTTAAATTATTTTATACTGTCAATATATGTAAGTATATGCATAAGTACAACCAGATAGCTTATTTTGAAGAGATAGTGTCTAAATTTTTGTCCAGAGTAGATTGGTTGCAGTTTCTGAGGTGTGTTTCTCAATACATTGCCTCAGTTTTAAAGTCCATAGAAATTTGAATACTGTTTAACATATAGTCCTTTGTTTATAGGCTGTTATCGGGGAACCTGCCCCGATATTCAAGTAGGTTCTTTTCTATTTTCCCTAAGCATCAGCCAGCTTGAGAAATAAAGGGACAGAGTACAAAAGAGAGAAATTTTAAAGCGGGGCAATGCCAGATATCGGGGGACCTGCCCCGATAATCACGTAGGTTCTTTTCTATTTTTCCTAAGTGTCAGCCGGCTTGAGAAATAAAGGGACAGAGTACAAAAGAGAGAAATTTTAAAGCTGGGCGTCCAGGGGAGACATCACACATTGGTAGGATCCGTGATGCCCCACAAGCCACAAAAACCAGCAAGTTTTTAGAGGGAGTGTGTGAATAGGTGTGGGTGACAGACATCAAGTACTTAACAGGGTAATAGAATACCACAAGGCAAGTGGAGGCAGGGCGAGACCACAGGACCACATGACCGAGGCGAAATTAAAATTGCTAATGAAGTTTCGGGCACCATTGTCATTGATAACATCTTATCAGGAGTTGGTTTTGAGATCAACCAGTCTGACCAAAACTTATTAGGCGGGAATTTCCTCTTCCTAACAAGCCTGGGAGTGCTATGGGAGACTGGTCTATTTCATCTCTGCAGCCTCAACCATAAGAGACAGGCGCACCTGGGGAAGCTGTTTATAAGCCTATACCTCCAGGCACGTATTCTCTTTCTCAGGGATGTTCCATGCTGAGGAAAAGAATTCAGCGATATTTCTCCCGTTTGCTTTTGAAAGAAGAGAAATATGGCTCTGTTCTGCCCGGCTCACCAGCAGTCAGAGTTTAAGGTTATCTCTCTTACTCCCTGAATAATTGCTGTTATCCTGCTCTTTTTTCAAGGTGCCCACATTTCATATTGCTCAAACACACATGCTGTACAATATGTGTAGTTAACGCAATTATCACATGGTCCTGAGGTGATATACATCCTCCTCAGCTGACAGGATTAAGAGATTAAAGTAAAGACAGGCATAGGAAATCACAAGGGTATTGATTGGGGAAGTGATAAGTGTCCATGAAATCTTTACAATTTATGTTTAGAGATTGCAGTAAAGACAGGCATAAGAAATTACTAGAGTATTAATTTGGGGAACTAATAAATGTCCATGAAATCTTTACAATCCACATTCTTCTGCCATGGCTTCAGCTGGTCCCTCCGTTTGGGGTCCCTGACTTCCCACAACAGGCTGTTTAATATTTCTAAAGACTAAAGACATCACAGCCCCTTTTAAAATTCAGTAATATTAATAAAATTTGAAATATACAGTGCTAGAATACAACAAATTCAGAGGAAAAATTGTTAAACTATATAGCTGTAGAGCAGGAATGAAATCCAGGTTCTAAGCTATAAGGGGGCCATGAGCTAAAATACAGGTGCATCAGTGACTGGGCATAGAGTCGGCAGAATTACAGGATAGTTAAGAGAGTGAGCTGTGGAGCTTAACTCTTGTGAACATGAATTTTTAAACTGCACAGTGCCTCAGTCTATCCATCTTTACCATGGGGACAGTACTAAGTTTTTGAGTTTTTTCCAGTTGACTGAATTGTTTCCCTAGTCTTTCTTGTTGCCACTCTTGATGCCCACATGAGAAGACCTAAGGTAATTTCTCACAGGCCTGGGACTCCTTGGCAAAACAGAAGGTGCCACAGACCCCATTTTAGGAGAAACCTCTGTTTTCCTCATGGAATCCCAGGAAGTGTAAGCAGAAAGTTCCCTCTCAAAACCTAAGGCTGTGCTCAGTTTTGCCTTGCTTTACCTGACCTTTTTGATTTGGGCAGACATCAGAAATTAGTAGTGGGGAGAGGGCTAATAAAAGTTATGGATATGAAGATGTATCTATGGTAAGAAAGGTTAGGAAGGAAATAAATTTTATATGAGAGAGGATCTTGTATGGCCAATTCTTGTCCTAAAGTAGGACTAATTATTTAGAAAAGAGGGAAATACAGGACAAGTCAGAAATGCATAAAATGGGAAAGAAAAGGTACAACTGCTAGATCATCTCCTGCCTAGAAGTATTGAGTGATGTTTGCATAAAGAGGCTCTAATTAATTGGCTTCAAAAAAAAATGAAGGCTCTTAAATATTTTGTCAGAAAATAGAAACTCTAATGCCTTTTAGTTCATGTGACTGCAGTAATCTTTGGGAAATACAGTTTTAAAATTATTGGTAAAACGAAAATATCTTCAAAATTTAGACATTTGGTCTAAATTAAGTCAGAGGTTAAATTTGCTAAGTGCTTTAATGTCATACACCGCTTCTTTGACTTTGGAAAATTGTCCAGTTTACCTGGTTTGAAGCCATTAGATTTCTAGGTAAGGCCTGGGGTCAGGCGGAGTTAGCCATGCCTCCTAGCTGTGCTGGAAAGAGTCAGACTTTATCTGCAGTTCTGTCTTGCTTCCTAGACTATGCACCTGGTACGTAACTAAAACTGCTTACACACACACACACACGCACACACACGCACGCACACACACATAAAAACAAAAAAAAGTGTTTTTCATTTTTAAAAGACATGGTAATATGGTTTTAAAAAAAAACCAAGTGTTGCCTAATTTAGAAAGTTAAAGAATTACTTTTAGTTGGAAGAAAATAAAGTCTAAGCAAGTTATAGGAAGTTTATGAAAATTAACTTTGTAAAGAATTCTGTCTGTAAGAAAGTTGACAAAAATTAAAAGGGTATTATTTAGTTCTTCCATAAATTAAATATTAAAACAAAAGCATACTGAAACAGGGCCCATATGTCAAAATAATAGGGCTTTTTTGAACATTGATCCGTTCTTTAACAAGAAAAAAATATAGAGTTATAAATAGTTATGAAAATCTTACTTTATACTCAAATTAATTAAAACTAGATAGATTCATAACATTTTATTAAAAAGTAGCTTTAGCATTAAAGATGCACTAATACAAAAATAAAATTTGGTTTTCTTTTTAAAAAGATTTTTATGTAATATTGAGAGACAATAAAAGATTTGTTTGCCTTTTGAGTAAATTAAAACAAAAAGGAGGGGAGAGAGAAGTGACAGATTTAGTTGGCCTCATGCTATCTCTACTAAGTTTTGTTTGGAAAGCTAAGTCTCCTATCAGAGTAAAGGTTTTTCCCTTTCTAAAATTTTTGAGTTATCATTTTTGGCTAAATAAATGACTTACATTGACCTGGGATTCTCTTTTGTGATATCCAGTGTTTTAAGCCTTTCATATTTGACAAACTTTCCAAGATCAAATTCTAAGGTTAAAAAAAGACTCAGCTTATTTGATATATTAAAACCATATAGAAAGCATTGTCAAATATAAAATGGTGTTTAACTTTAGGTTATATTCATACAAATATGTTATTGTATAAGATTTCTATAATTGTGTCTCAGCATACGTTATCAGTAATAATTATAAGTCTTATGTTAAATTGTTTTGTGTCATAGAGATGACCAGATTTCCTTGTTGATTACATACTAACTATGCCAGTCCTGAGAGTTTTGTCACCCACAGACAATTGCTGTCTTGTTTTAATCCTTCTCAAAAGGTGGTTTATAATTAGATATAGAATGCTGAGGGGTACTCTTGAATGCATGTCTTGACAACTTTAAAAATTGTGAGTTGGGCATGGTGGCTCATGCCCGTAATTCTAGTACTTTGGGAGGCCAAGGCGGGGAGATCACTTGAGGCCAGGAGTTCAAGACCAGCCTGGCCAACATGGTGAAACCTATTCTCTACCAGAAATACAAAAATAGGCCAGGCATGGTGGCATGTGCCTGTAATCCCAGCTACGCAGGAAGCTGAGGCAGGAGAATTGCTTGAATTCAGAAGGTGGAGGTTGCGGTGAGCCAAGATCGTACCACTGCACTCCAGCCTGGGCAGCAGAGCAACACTCTGTCTTAAAAAATTAATTAATTAACTAAAAGATTGTGAATAGAGAGAAGCAAAACAACAAACTTCTAAAACTCTCGTGGAAAGGTGATATGTTAAACATTGCGAATCCTTCTGTTTTTCAGAGTCAAGAGAACCTTTCGAGCTGTTTACAACTTTCAGCAATCTGAGTAAAGTATACTCCTGTAAGCAAAATTAGCATATTGCTTTCTCTCTACCTGACTTCTTCAGGGTTTAGAAACTATTTTTGAGTATTCTCAACTTACGGCAATATAGTTATTTGCGTAAGTGCAATGAAAATCTGTTTTCTTTTGTAATAGAAAATGAGTGGAGATGCTGCTTATTTTATCAAGGCTTTTACTAGAATGGCATGCTTTCAAATACAAACACATACTTTAAGGTGTCAAAGTTGAATAACAAAGCCAGTAAAACCCCTTGGAAAAACTGGCCTCATACCTTGTCTACAGAGTCCCTGTACAAGTTTCCTGGCCTGAGGTAAGTAATGAATGTCACATTCTGTCAGGCTTAGGAGCCCCAAGTCATCGTGGAACCTCAAGAGGAGAGGAATTTGCCCAACTCATCTAAATATTTATGACCTGTTGTGTCTGGCACAAATTCATGACTGGGCTCAAAGCTTCAAGGAGTATAACCTGAGATTCCTCAAGGAGAAAAGTTTTAGCAAAGCAATTTTAAAAAGGGCCAGTATGAGGCCAAGCACGGTGGCTCACGCCTGTAATCCCAGCACTTTGGGATGAGGCCGAGGCAGGTGGATCATGAGGTCAGGATTTTGAGACCAGCCTGGCCAACATAGTGAAACCCTGTCTCTACTAAAAATACAAAAAATTAGCCAGGTGTGGTGGTGGGTGCCTGTAATCCCAGCTACTCGGGAGGCTGAGGCAGGAGAATTGCTTGAACCCGCGGGGGCAGAGGTTGCAGTGAGCCGAGATAGCGCCACTGCACTCCAGCCCAGGCAACAGTGCGAGACTCCATCTCAAAAAAATAAAAAGAGCCAGTATGGCAAATAATTATTCCTACTGCACTTTATGCAAATAATCAGGTCAAATATAATAAGACTAAGACTTACTTTGCAAGTAAATTTGACTTACTATGATTTATTTTTATTAACGGGGGACTGGAGAGAGAAACATGATGTTTGCAAAAACTGTAGTACATGTGTTGTTAGTTGTTCTTGAGTTTTTATTATTTTCTACAGTTTGAACTAAATCCTGAATTTTTTGTGGGCCGTAGGTCTCCAAACTAATGCTTTCAGATTTTTCTTCCATTTTTCTGTCTTGCACTCAATGAAATTGCTCCTACCTTTTAACTGAGGTCCTGCAAGCTTAAGCTTACTACTTGTAATATAGGCAGCAAAAAACATGTCAGATTGTCACCACCTTCCTCCTCTGTAACTGAAGAGGCATAGCCCATCTGCATGCCACCTCCTGATATAGAAAACAGCTGTTTAACTGAACTGATCTAGTTTCAGAACTAGGAAGCTGACTGAAAATTATGGGGCAGTATATTTAAATTTGTTCTTTCCTGTATATCCCAATCTGTCTGTCTAACAACTTCTGACCCAAGTCTCTCTCTGCTAGTAACCCCATGTCTGATTGGTTCTCGGAGCTGTCCATCTGGATCCCTCAGAGCTTAAGAGCTATTCTACTAAGACTTTCACTGTTTATCCTGGAACTTGTTATTTACCTTATAGTCCACTTTTGTGTGCTAAAACTATAGATGAGAATGCCATCTTGGGTGCTCAAGGATTCATCTTTGTAAATTGCCACCAAAGCCAAAAGGAAGAGACAATAAGGAAGCCTCTTGTCCCACTGGGAAATGACATTGCAGAAGTTACTAAAATAAAGTCCTTTGATGGGCAGGATACTATGCTCAGGTTACTTATCTAAAGTAGCTAAAAATTTAAGCAAAGAATTATCCATTTCTTCCCTAGTCTGATATAATATTTTATGATTCAAAATAAGCTTGGGGTCAATAAGTAAGAGCTATCTGCAGGTTTAAAACAATAATAGTAATGCTAATAATAGCCACAGTAGTTTCAGTTAATAATGCTGATAATCATGTATGAGGCACTGGATTAAATGCCATATATACATACATTACTTATACACAACCACCTTTGAAGGATATATTATTATCCTCTTTTTCATACAGGAAAACATACATGGTGATAAGCAATGTTCCCAAAGTCACACATCTAGCAAGTAGAAAAGCTAGGAATTAAACCCAGTCTTGTGGGAATCTAAAGCCTATCTTTTTTTCTCATTGTCAGCCACCCATGGCTTGTATTCATTAAAAAAAAAGTTTAGGCCAGGCACAGTGGCTCAAGCCTGTAATCCCAGCACTTTGGGAGGCCAAGGCGGGCGGATCACGAGGTCGGGAGATGCAGACCATCCTTGCTAACACGGTGAAACCCCATCTCTACTAAAAATACAAAAAATTAGCTGGGCGTGGTGGCAGGCGCCTGTAGACCCAGCTACTCAGGAGGCTGAGGCAGGAGAACGGCGTGAACCCGGGAGGCGGAGCTCGCAGTGAGCCGAGATAGTGCCACTGCACTCCAGCCTGGGCGACAGAGTGAGACTCCGTCTCAGACAAAAAAAAAAAAAGAAAGAAAGAAAAAGAAAACTTTACCCATTTGAAGCTATCTTTTTTCCCTCTGCCCATACTAATTAAAAATAGCATCAAAATACACTAGAAGTGAAAAGAAGAAAAAACCCGACGCATGTAATTGTAAACAACCTCTACCTCCTGGGTTCAAGTGATTCTCCTGCCTCAGCCTCCTGAGTAGCTATGATTACAGCGCACACCATCACACCCAGCTAAATTTTTGTATTTTTAGTACAGACAGGGTTTCACCATGTTAGCCAGACTGGTTTCAAACTCCTGACCTCAGGTGATCCTCCTGCCTCGGCCTCCCAAAGTGCTGGGATTGCAGGCATGAGCCACCGCGCTCAGCCTATTGGCAGCATTTTAAACATTATCTTACTAATACATAAAATAATGGGGCATCCCATAATTCACAGTGCCTTACATTAAGTGGGATATGGTATAATAGAACAGGCAGTTCTACTCATATGATTGGCATCTAAATACATATTCATTCTTAGAAGTACCACAAAAAAGAGGGCTGAAATGAAAATAACAAACTTTGTAAACAAAGTAATTCTTACTTTTTCAAAAAACTTAAAGCCAAAGAAAACTCAGCATTCAAATGAATAGGTACAGCTCTTTTTTAAATACTTAGATGTATAGAATGTATTGACTCAGGTATTTCTGATAATAGTAATATTTAAGACTGTTACATATTTTCAGGAGAGCATTTAAAGGTTATTTTTTACAAATATTTTCTAACTTCAGAAATGCTTTCATTTGAAAAAAGGGAATAAAAGCTTCAATTGAGATTCAGTCCTAATCCTCCATTTTTAAATCTCTCAGCTTGCTCAGGCTGGGCAGGTAAACATGAAATTTTTAAGGATGGAAGGGTCCTGAGAGATGGTAGAATGTGTCTGCTACATAATAGGTATTTGGCTTATGTTGGAGAAATAAATGGATTGAAAGAATGAATACATAGAGCTGAAGAGTTCATTGTTATTGTTTGCATATGTGTAATAAACCTGTGTATAATAAAAATATATATAAAATAAAATGTATGCATAAAAATCTACAAACACACATAAAAATATCCTCTTTACTTTTGAAGAGGCTAAAAGTTCACAGAAGATAACAACAGACAAAAATAAAATAGTGAGAAATTATTTTGGCTCGTGCCAGATTCATATTCCTTCTCCTCCCAAGGATTATTTCATTAATCCTAAACTTTTACTAGAAGTTTTATACATGCTTATTGCAGAGATCCACAGATAAGAAAAAAAACATTCACTTATAATACACATGCCAAGAAAGAGCAAATGTTACCATATTTTTTTGTGTGTGTATATATGGCTAACAAAGACACATACTCTGTTTACGTGTATGTGTAATTGAACCCATTGATATACCAAAGTACATCTTCACACACCAACTGACACCTTCAAAGTTTCCTTATTACAACATCTTGTGAATTTTATGAAATTTATTTATGGCATCCATTATATAGGTTCTTTGTAATACATTGCTATTTTAAGCAGTACTGAGAAAAACAAATTGCATGACTCCATCTCAAAAAAAAATAAAATAAAATGGATACTGAATTTTACCTGAATAATTTTCAGCCCAGAAAATAACCTATTATGGGAATTATTTCTTTCATTATGTATATGAAAAATGAAGTGCTGTATATACTTAATTTTGTTAGTTAAATCACTTTAAAATGGTTTATAAAGTGCTCTATAAGGGAAATGTTGAGTGGATCAAGAACCAGCTTGGAGCAGGAAATCAGAGAGCTGGAGAGACCAATAGGGTTACAGAAGGATTTATTAAGGTGTACACTGGCTCAGTGGACCTGTGTCCAGAAAGTCTGAGCACCAAACAAAGAGGGCGTGCGTCTTTTATGGAAGCAAGGGTGCGGAAAACATGATGCAGGAAGCAAGCTTACAGAAGCAAGAACAAAGGCAGTTAATCATTCTATGACATGTCTTAATCTTGGGAAAACATGTTTTGCAGCCTATGCTTATCTGTTTTGTGACCTTGCAGCTGTGCAGCAGAAAAAAAAAACAGGAATTTACAAACTTGCAAAATATGTCGGGGAAAGATATGGTTAATGGTACACAGACAGGCAGTTAATATTCTTTTTAAACTTCCCACTTGGTGGGGGTTGGTTGTTTGGGGCCTTTAAACTTTAAATAGTAACTTTCTATCATAGGAAAAAGAAACTCCTTATTTTTAATTTTCTACTTCATTCCCCCCTTTGGTGCTTTTTATAAAGGCAATATTTTAATAGAAAGCACCACTATATTCTATTTCTTCGTAGGGTGGCACACATTCCTCTTTGGGCAGTGATCGATATTTGGTCAAGGCCATTATTTGAGTAGTGGTTTGCCTGGTTACGATTGCTTCTATAGTCAACTGAATGCTTCTGATTAGGAAAGGCAAGAGACAAGACAGAATCAGGCACCTGCCCAGGATGGCTAAGAAGCCCCCTATCAAAGTCTTAAATCCACCAATAGATGAAAACCATCCTGTGAAGAGGGAGTCTGGAGACCACCCTTTCCAGGTTTGAACTGGAACATGGGCTAGTTTTCACATTGTGGCAGTAATTTCCATGATTGCTTTTCCATTATCATCAATTTCTAGGCAGCAATTTGTTAGGTTGAATTTTCCACGTACTCCCCTTCCTGGGCAAGTAGGCAATCTAATACTAGTCTATTCTGGTAGACAGCATTCCTCATTTGTGTGGCTTGCTTGGCTAGCAAGTCTAAAGCTTTTGCTGTTTCATTACTTATGATTTCAAGAACAGCTTGTAATATTATGATTCTGTTAAGCATATAGATAGGGGTACGGTATCCCCATGACCCATCCTGTGCCCAAGTGGCAGGTCCATAATATTTGATAATCCTTTCAGGGGACCACTCATTATCTTTCCAATCCCCTACATCTATGTCCTTTTTTCTGTTTGTGTCTATGCTTCTTTTGACTTTTATCTTCATCATAAACAGAGTATCCTAGAGCCTCTCCTTGTTTTAGGGGAATTAGGAAAAAGAATGGTCTGATTGTTCCTAATATGCAGGCTCCTGTCCATTTGGCAGGCAGTTGTCTATGCTCACGTTCCACAGATCCAGTAAAGGCCTGAAGGTGCTTGCCAGGTGTTTAGAGCTTCTAGCTGATACCAGGAGTGGTTTAAAGTAGGAAATCTGAAGAAAAGGGTTTAAATCAGGAAATGAGGTACTATTTTCTGACATCCATAAGGTCTTCCCTTTAGTTTCATCATAATACTATTGCCCCAGACAAGTAAGTCCTCCTACTAGATCTGTGAAAGACTTTCCCCATCGAGCAATGCAGAATCTTCCTATTATGGAGGTTTTTAACAGCCAGACACTTGGACCAGAAACAGTTAGGTCGGTGGTGGAGTCAGGCAAAGTGAAATCATCTTGAGGCATTAATCCCTTGCCTGCCATGGCCATTGATCTCCCATGTTAGTTCTTCCACATACATAACATGAGGATATTCCTAGGCTGTCAGCTGTATTCTCAGGTTACGTGGGCAAACAGATTCTTTGTTGGAGAGAGGAGTTCCTTTTGGACCTGGAATTGTGGAATGGAATGGGTTTTTGCCTTCCTTATAATATGTAAGCTATCCTTTTTTGCTGACTGCATTTTATAGCATTATGGGATAACCTGTAGCCCATATAGATTGATCTGGTTCCAGGATAGTGAGATTTATAAGACTACAGGTATCTGTTTTGCAATCAGGCTTTGCTCACAGTTTAATATATACCATGAGCTGTTTTGTGGTAGTCAGGGAACTGGTGGAGCTCGATACACAATCCCAGCAAGTTAATTCTGGCACCTTGCTGGTAGAGTTAGGAAACATGCAGTTCCTTTTTCCACAACTGCTACTCCTTGAGCTCCCTGTGGTAGTTGAGACTATAGGATAGGCAGATCCCGTGAATGCCACTTGACAAGAATTATAGTACAGAGATGAGTCTGTCTCTTTGTAGGTGAGACTCTAACTTGGTTTAGAAGCCTCCCTTCTTTCATCCCATTATGGATCTCAAACCAAATCCCAGGCTGGAATTTTGGATCATAGCATGTATAGGACTGACTGTTTCTTGGGTCACAAACTGAATAGGTTGCCTGATTGTAGATACAGGTCCCTAGGTGGGTCCTGGAGCATTCATAATATGTAAGGGACAAGATAGTCTTAATTTTTGTCTTCCCTTGCCATGTGTTATGCATACAGTAAGAACACTCTTCTAGGGGCTTTCCCTTTAGCATATGCAGGGGTGCCAATAAAAGGAAAATGGTAAACAACATATCTATACTAAACACGGACAGGAAAGGTCCTTTCCTGGGAGGAAAGATTGGCAAAAATGATAGCATAGTGTAACAGAACAATTAATATTACTAAAATAGCAATCAAACTTAAAACTTCTATCCACATTTACTAATCTGATGAAGACTCCTCAAGCTTCGGCTGTGTGTAGACTAGTCAGCTTCCAGTGTGACTAGAGCAGGGCTTGATGACTCCTCAATCTTCAGCCTTGTGTAGACTGGCCGGCCTCCTGATTGGCCAGAGCAGGACTGTCGTCTTTCTCTGCAGTGGTTTGGTTCCATCGCAGGATCAGTCAGATCGGATGGTCTGGGTCCTGTTGACTGGTCCACTTGTCCTGTGCCGCTGGTTTCAGGTGACTGTGGTGGATCCAGGGCCCCATACCTGCAACTTTTAACAACAGTAGGGGTAGACAGTATTACAGTATGGGGCCCATCCCATATGGGTCCTAGAGTGGTTGGATTCCATTTTGTAACAGAAACAGAGTCTCTAGGGCTAAAAGGATGTACTGGGTCAACTAGACTTACAGGTATTCTTTCCTGTACCCAACCATGGACCTCTTGCATGGCTATTCCTAAAGCCTGCATTTGCTTTCTTAAAGTTAATTCCCCTAGTTCCTGGAGATCACCTTTAATCTGATTTATGACTGGGGGTGGTCGGCCGAACATAATCTCATAGGGCAAATACCCAGTTTGTTTGGTAGGGGTGCACCTGACTTGGAGGCAAGACCTGATCCCATCTAAGGTGAGCTTCTTGACAGAACTTCTTCAGCACTTGCTTGAGTGTCCAGTTCATCCGTTCTACTTTTCCTGAGCTCTGCAGACAGTAGGCTGTGTACAACTACCATTTTATCTTTAACAGCCAAGTCAAGTCCTGGACTATTTCAGCCACAAATGCTGGTCTATTATCGATCTTAAAGTTAAAGGCAGTCCAAATCTGGGAATAATGTCTCTTAGCAACACCTGGGTTACCTCTTGTGCCTTTTCTGTTTGGGTGGGGAAAGCCTCTACCCATCCTGAAAAGGTGCAGACAAACACCAACATGTACCGATAGCCCCCAGCCAGAGGCAATTTGGTAAAATCCACAAGTAGGTTCTCACAAGGTGCTGCTCCAACTTCCTGAATTCCTGGAGGCCTGGTTGGTCCCTGCCATGGGTTGTTTTGGGCACAGGTTAGACATTGCTCACAAACAGTTTGAGTAATGGCGGTGAGTCGTGGCACATAAAAGTGTCGCCCCAGCAAAGTCTCTAGTGCTATCTTTCCCATGTGAGTCCCTTGGTGAAACTGATTAACAAATCTGGGAGCCACCATCTCAGGTATGACTAATCTCCCATCGGAGAACTTCCGCCATCCTCCTTCAATGTAGCTCCCATTCTCCTGGGCAAACCAGGCCTTTTCACTTGGAGTGTAGCTGGGTGTCTCTGGGAGAGAAATCTCTGGGAGGAGAGGCATAACCAGAGCTTCCTCCTTAGAGGGCAAACTCATCTTTGCTGCTCACTTTGCTTCCCTGTCCACTTTCCTGTTTCCTTTTGACTCAAAAGTTCCTGCTGCCTCATGTCCTTTGCAGTGAATGACAGCCACCTTTTCTGGAGCCCATACAGCATCTAAGAGCTGTAGAATTTCTTCCTTATACTTTATTTCTTTGCCTCCTGCAGTTAGAAGTTCTCTTTCTTTATATATTGTCCCATGGACATACAGTGTAGCAAAAGCATGCTTAAAGTCAGTATAAATGTTGACTACTTTTCCTTTTGCTAGTAGTAAGTCTCTTGTTAGGGCTATTAGCTCCACCCTCTGGGCTGATGTCCCAGCAGGCAGTGGTTGAGCCTCTACCACTGAGTCACAGGTCACTACTGCATACCCAGCTTGGCAGACCCCTTCTGATATGAAGCTGCCTCCATCTGTGAAGTACTCAACATCTGGGCCTCCAAGGGGCTGATCTGCTAAGTCCCTTCAGCTGGAGAATACTTCGTCTACTACATCTATGCAATAATGTTGAGGGAGGGGATCCCTCAGCTTTTCTATGGGCAGCAGAGTGGTTGGATTTTAAGTATTGACAGTTTCTACAGTTATATATGGATTTTCACATAGGAGGTCTTGATATTTAGTCATTCTTGGGTTTGATAACCTGTGGTGCCCTCTTTGGTCCATGAGAGTTATAAATGAGTGTAGCACTCAAATGATTAATTTCTGTCCTAAAGTTAGTTTTTTGGCTTGTTGTGCCAGCAGGGCTGTGGCTGCTAGCGCTTTAAAACAAGGGGGCCAGCCTTGTGCTATGGTGTCTGTTTAGATAAATATGTCCCCAGCCGCTGCCATGACCTCATCATTTGGATCATCAGAACTCCAATAGCCATTCCTTTTTGCTCATGGACACATAGGAAGAAAAGCTTAGTCTGTTTTGGCAGCCCTAAGGCTGGGGCCTGTATTAGAGCTGTCTTGTTTTCTTTAAAGGCCTTTTTCTGGTCAGGCCCCCGCCAGAGGAGGGGCTCCTTTTCTCCCTGCTTTGTGGTTTCCATATAGCAGTTTTGCCATGAGTGAGAAATTTAGAATCCAAATATGGCAGAAACCTGCGGTGCTCCTAAAAATTCCCTTATTTGACACCGGGTGGCTGGAGTAGGTAGTGCACACACAGTCCACTTCCGTTCACTGCCAAGCTCACGTTTTGCTTGACTTATTTCAAAGCCTAGGTACTTAACTCCTTCTGAGCATAATTTTGCCTTTTCTTTAGATACTCTGTATCCTGTTTCCCATAGGAGATGGAGGAGGTTATCAGTGCCTTAAAGGCAGTCAACCCAGGTAGGGGTTGCAAGTAAAAGATCAGCTATATACTGTAACAGGACACATTTGTCATTGGATGGGGTGAAAGCCCTAAGATCTGATGCCAGTGCCTCCTCAAAAATCACTGGGGAGTTTTTAAACCCTTGTGGGAGCCACGTCCAGGTATACTGAGTTTTTCCCCAATGAAATGCAAAGATAGGCTGGCTCACAGGGGCTAGCGGTAGACAGAAGAATGCATCTTTGAGATCCAGGCAAGTAAACTATGCAACACTCGTGGAATGTGACCCATCAACTGCCCAGTACATAACCATCCAGTGGGTTAGGTACCACTGGATGAATGGAAACTGTAGCCTGGTTCACTGTGTGTAAATCTTGCACTGGCCTATATTCATCAGTTGGCTTCCATACCAGCAAAAGGGGTGTGTTCCAAGGGGACCTGCACTTCACTATGATGCCATGCTTAAAGAGCCAATCTATGTGTTTTTGAATGCCACTTATGGCCTCTATGAACAACGGGTATTGACGAACCCATACCGGAGTCACTCCAAGTTTTAGCTCCACCAAGACAGCCAATCCGGGTGGATTGTCTTCAGCCCACACCCCCGGAATCTTTGCAAGTAATCCATACATTTCAAGTGGTCCTGGTAGTTCTAGCCTAAGTGCTGTTTCTGCATATAGCCTCCATTTATCAGCCCTTGGGAAGGTGAGGGTTAATACCATAGTCTTTGGCTGACTCAGGTTTAAAGACATGTTCCCTTGCAGCTCGAAAGAAATTTGCACCTGCAGTTTTTGGAGTAAGTCTCTTCCTAGCAAGGGGACTGGACAATTTGGAAGGTATAGAAACTCATGCTGGACTTCTCATCCTCCAATAATACACCTCCTTGACTGGCAGAAGGGTCTCCTCTCTGAGACTCCGGTTGCCCCAATAATAGTTGTGTAATTCCTGGATAGTGGCCCTATAGGTTGCATCACTACCGAATGCTCAGCTCCGGTATCTACCATAAAATCCATCTGTTGGCCCCCTATCTCCACTGAGACCATAGGCTCCTGGGGGCTAAAGAAATGGAGCCCAGTCTGTCTCAGTCCTCATAGCCTGCTGCCTCTGCTAGGCTGATTAGATTGATGACCGGTCTCAGAACACAGCGGCTGGTGGCCAGAGGCTCCAGCCAAGCTCCCTGGTCATGGCTATTGCCCTTATCTTTCTCTGGACATTCATCCTTCCAGTGTCCTTTCTTTTTGCACAATGCACATTGATCCTTCTCCAGCCTTGTCCGGCCTTCAAAACCTGGTCTAGCCTAACCTCTTCCACGACCACATCTGCGACCATATCTGTGTCCCCTCACAATGCCAGTCTCTCTTTCAACCAGGGCAGCCGCTAATAGCTCAGGCTTTTTCTTAAGCCTCTGCTCAGCTTCCTTCTTTTCCTCTTGTTCATGGTTAACATACACCTTAGTAGCCACCTCTGTAAGCTGAGTAGCAATTCATGCCTGCGAAACCTTCCAGTTTCTGAAGTTTCCACTTAATGTCACCCTGCACCTGGCTAAGAAATGATGTATTCACCATGAGCTGATTTTCAGTAGCCTCTGGATCAAATGGAGTATAGAGCTGGTATGACTCACAGAGCCTCTCATAAAACTGACTGGGGTTCTCATCAGTCTTTTGGAGCACCTCTGAAATCTTTCCTATATTCATTGCTTTCTTTCCACTGGACTTTATCCCATTTAGAAGTGCCTCCTGATACCTTTGCAGATGCTGAAGCTCCTCTGCATCATTTAGGTCCCCGTTGGGGTCTATCTCTGGGAACTCTTCCTAGGCATAATGCCAGACATCTCTTGTACCATCTGGCACATTGTTCTCTAGCCATTGGAGGGCTGCTAGAGTCACTCTCCTTTGCTCCTCTGTGTTGAACAGTGTTAAAAGGAGCTGTTGGCAGTCTGACCAGGTGGGGTTATGGGTCAGAAAAATGGATCTCATCAAGTCTATGAGGGCTTGAGTCTTTTCCGTATAGGAGGGAGTATGTTGTTTCCAATTTAGGAGGTCTGTGGCAGAGAAGGGCTGGTAGATGAAAATCTGCTGCCCTACTTGAACCTGGCCTTGCTCATCATGATAAATTTGTGCTCAAGTCTCATGGAGGGGCATTTGTAAGGCTCGGGTGTGGCCAGACTGGAGGTGGCCCACTGCGTCACTTTGCTTTTCCTCCTTAACTTTTACAGGCAAAGGCTCGGATTCTCCCCTGTGGGGTGATGGTTGAGACTCACTTTCCTCTGAGCCTGATTCCTCAAGGGCCATTTGCTCCATGCCTTGTCTTAGCTCTAAGAAGGATGGATATATCAGAGCATAAGGGGGAGGAAATTCCCTATCCTCTGGAGGAGCTTGTAGAACCAGCTTTTCCTAACTCTCCTGTTGCCTTTTCTTTTTTCCGAGGTTCTAAGCGTAATTGATTTTTCAGCTGCCTTAGGCTCAGCCTGGACCACCAAGGCTTTACAATAGGTTACCAGACAGGGCTGAAGCCATTTGGGGTGAGTCTAGACTACGTTTAACCAGGAGTCAATGTATGGAAACTGATCTGGGTGCTCAGGCTGTCCTCCAACTCCGGTTACTACCCTGAACACATGGCCAATTGCTTCCCTATCTATTGTTCCTTCAGCTGGCCACCCGACATTAAAAGAAGGCCATTTTAATTCACAAAGAGTTTTCAATCTTTGCAGGGGTCAGTTGAACTCCATAATCTCCACCAAAACCTTTCTTGAAATTCTTTAACATACACTCCAACGGACTAGGTTTTGATGCTTTTCTTCCCATTTCCACTCTTGCGACGCAAGAGTACACCTGGCAGTCCAAGCCTGAAGCCCTGAGTGCCTGGATCTGCTGGTGAACAGTGGGGCTGAAGTGGAAGCCACAGAGTGGCAGGGGGGCTGAACAGCCTTGCATCTAGCCACAGAGATGGAGGAGCTGGGGTTTGTCACCCATTTGGTCACCAAGTTCTGGGCCAACGTGAATGCTCACACCTTTGCAGGAAACAAACCCCTGCACCTGGCAGCTGGACTGGGGTCCCTGACTCTCCCCTTCCTCCTTCTGAAGGTTGGTGCTGACATCAATGCTGAGAACAAGGAGCCCGTGTGCCCACTGCTCTCACCCGCTCCTCTGATAGCGACTCCGACTCTGAGGGGCCTGAGAAGGACACCCAAAGCAGCTTGCAGGGCCACGCGCCTCTTGACCTCACAGCACCAAAGTGAAGACCTTGCTGCTAAATGCCGCTCAGAACACCACGGAGCTGCCCCTGACCCCACCCAGCCCTGCAGGGCCAGATAGTAAATATTTTTGGTTTTGCAAGTCACACCTTCTGTGTCACAACCATTCGACTCTACCCTTGTAGCACAGAAGCGGCACCCAGGGATGATAGGTCAACAAATGCCTGTGGCTGTGTTCCAAAAATTTTTATATATAAAATCAGCGGTGGCTACCATACTGTAGTTTTGACCCCTAAACTTATAGTATAAAGGTATTAGATGAAGCCAAGAAGAATGTTTCTGACAGGAACAGTCACAAGAAGCAGAAGGCAAAAAAAAAATGTATATTGATAGTTAAAATTAGCATGTAGAATCTCTAAAAAATGCTTGCAAATCAACAAGGTTTTTTTCTACAGAACTTATCAGAGCTTTTCAAAATACTAAAATGCTTTGTGATGCTTCAAAGACTCTACAGATTTACCCAAAGTTAGTGCACCTCGGTGCGTCTCTGCTGAGGCTAAACCATGCCACCCTTCAGGACATCCCACCAAGTGGATCTTTCCAGCCTCCCCTTATTTCAATGTTTCATGGCTTTCCTTTCTACATAAACAGTATCCACTATCACTTAGGTCAGTGAGGTTTGGAGCTACATTTCATAGTCCCTGATTCAAACGCCAATAGAACTACTAATAGGAGCTTAAAGACTTGCAGCCACTTCTGGATAGAGGGAGATAATGGGAAGGTAGAGCCATCTACAGGAGACATGTGGTACTGCACAACAAGAGCCGTGAGGAGCAGGTGGGCAAAGGGACTGAAAAATGCATCACAGCACCTGGTAGAAATGGCTCTACGCCCTCTTTATTTAACATAGAGATTTAGCAACGAGGGCAGGGTTTTCAAGAGCAGACCTTTTGTTTTTGTTTGATGGGGTTGGGTGGAGAGACGTGGTCTTGACCACAATTTATGTTATGACAACATGTGTGAAGAAGAGAGGATATTTAAAGTAGGTGTTTCCTTTGCAGGCTTGAATGGGCATTCGACTTATACACAAAAGTGCACCCATTTTCAGTGTTTCCATATCAGCACCAATGTCATTTAACTGTAAGATTCTTTTTACCATAAACACTTGGGATGCTCAATGGTTTAAAGGACATTCTACACAAAAGTTTGAAAGCTCTTAATTACAGCAACTAAAACCTCACAATGGTTTTCTAGATATGTCTTTTGTGTAGTATTTTGAAAAATGGATTTTTCTTCCAAAGAGGTTAGGACAATAGCATTTATGCCATAAGAACTCTGTTTTTTTGGACCACATTTTGTGATAAAAAGCAAATGAGCTTTGCATTTAGGAGCTCCAGGAAATCCTTGTTGCCCTTAGAAATCTGCCCCCTCACCCCGACAAAGGGCCAGACAGCTTGGAGGTAGGGAATATCCCCCTCCATAGGCTCACCAAGACGTGCAGCTGGCTGTATGTTCTTTACTGATGTCCTGTGAGCCCTTAAGGTATTTCAACAAGGAGCATCTTGATTTTCTGTGGATTTATGGAAGAAAATGTATCTCTCCAAATGTGTATAGTAGTTCCTCCTTATCTGCAGGGAATAGTTCCAAGACCCCCAGTGAATGCCTAATACTGCAGATAGTACACAACACTATATATGCTATATATTTTTTTACTATACATGCATATATACATACCAGAAATACAGTTTAATTTATAAACTGGGCACCATACGTGATTAACAACCATAACTACTAATAAAATAGAACAATTAAGACAATAGGCTGTAATAAAAGTCATGTGACTGTGGCCTCCCTTTCTCTCTCTCAAAATATCTTACTGTTCTGCACTCACCCTTCCTGTGGTAATGTGAGATGATACGGTGCCTACGGGATGACATGAAGTGAGGCGAATGGAGACATTTTGACATATTGTTAGGCTACTACTGCCCTCCTGATGATACATCAGGGAGAGGATCACCTGCTTCACATGGCCCCAGAGCATCGCACCATGACAACGTATTTTTTGCTGGGTGTCAGGAGCAGACGATGCTGATGTTTGGGGATCCTGGAGAATTGAAGGGTTTTTCTTTTTTGTTTTTTTGTTGTGTTATTTTATTTATTTTTTTTTTTTGCCAAGACCTGCTGGAAGAACATTGCAATCAGATGTTGTGTCTTTATTTTCAATTCATCAAAGTGTTGCTGCAGAGATTATAATTCTTCAGTGAGAATATGAGTAATTTTAACACTGCATTCCATCCTAAGATATGCCATAATTTGGTTCTTTAATGTCTGTGCAATTTGAAACACTTCAGCACACTTCGATTATGTCCATATTGCTGGTTCTGCTTCATTTCTTCATCTTTCTCTGCAGACGACTCAACAAATTCTTCCAAATCCTCATTTGTTAACACTTCTTGATGTCCTTCAATATCTTCTGCCACTTCAGCAAGCATGTCAGCAACCCTTCTCCACCAACCTGTCTTGCTGCACGAATGATTTTCCTAACTTCTCCACTGACCCCAGAGAGGCTTTTAAAATCATTCATGGCTTCACTCCATAAGTTCCTGTAGCAGGCATCTACAATTTCTGGTTTTAATTCATCCAATGCAGCTTTGAAGAATGTTATTGCATTAGCAATAGTGAATGGTTGCACTGCATTATGTCCAGATTAGGGTCTGCATCAATTGCTGATAAAATGTGATCACATACAGTCAGTCATCAATGAACAACATAGATACATTCTTAGAAATGTGTCATAAGATGTTTGTCTCTTTGCATGAATGATGAAAGCGCATTTCCACAGACTTAGATGGAACAGCCTACTACACACCTAGGCTGTATGATAGGGCCTATTGCTCCTAGGCTACAAACCTGTACCACATGTTACTGTACTGAATACTGCAGGCAATTGCAACACAATGGTATTTGTGTACCTAAACATATCTAAACACAGAAAAGGAACAGTTAAAAATAGGGCATGAAAGATAAAATACGATATACCTCAAGAGGGGACTTGCGATGAATGTAGCTTGCAGGACTGGAATTTGCTCTGAGTCAGTGAATGAGTGGTGGCTGAATGTGAAGGCTAGGACATTACTGTGCACTACTGTAGTCTTTATTAAACACCGTACACTTAGGCTGCACTAAATATGTTTTTAATTTTTTCTTCAATAATAAATTAACCTTAGCTTACTGTAGCTTTTTGACTTTATAAACTTAATTTTTCTTAATTTTTTGACTTGTAATAACAGCTTAAAACACAGGTTGTACAGCTGTACAAAAATATTCTATAAGCTTTTTTCTTTTCTTTTTTTTTAGCTTTTTAATATTTTTTTTTTTGTTAAAAGCTAACACACAAACACCACCTGCATTAGCCCATGTAGGCCTACACAGGGTCAGGATCATCAACATCACTGTCTTCCATCTCCACATCCTGTCCCAGTGGAAGATTTTCAGGGGCAATAACATGCATGGATCTGCCATCTCCTGGAATAACAGTGCCTTCTGAACACCTCCTGAGGGATCTGCCTGAGGCTGCTTTACAGTTAACCTTTTTTAATAAGTAGAAAGATTACATTCTAAAATAACAATAAAAAGTACAGTAAACCCATAAACTAGTAACGTAGTTATTTTCATTATTAAGTATTATATATTGTACCTTATATTGTGTGCTATAGTGTTACACCCCTGGCAGCACAGTAGTTTTGTTGATACCAGCACCATCACAAACACATGAATAATGTACTGCACTGTGACATAGAAAGGCTACAATGTCACTAGATGATTCGTGCTTGTCCAGCTCCATCATAATCTTATGAGCCCACCATCCATACCGGGTCTGTCACTGACCAAAGCCTTGTTAGGCAGTGCATTACTGTACTTCTATGAACCTCAGTGTCCTCTTCTATGAAAATGGAGTGATGTAGTACTATGTCAGGGGATTATGTGAGAATTAATTGGGATGATGTATGTAAAGATTCTGAGCAATTTTACATACAATCCTCAAGATCAGGGCACAATACATTTATATTTTAAATAACTAAAGATATCAATTGAAAAACTAGAGTCATAAATCAATAAAGTATAATATTGCTACTTTTCTAGCAAGTCCTAAATCAACCTAGCTATAAAATTAGTAAATAAAATTCTCTTTGATTTTCTTTTTTCAATTATTTTAAAGCAAACCTCTGAGATTTCAGGGTCTAAGTTTTCCATTTATGTTTGTTGCTGTTTTTATTTCTGCCACTTTTTATGGGTTTGGTCCTTTTAACTGAAGAGAAGATAATGAGATGATCATGATTACTTAGATCTTGAACAAGTCACACACACACACACACACACACACACACACACACACAAGTCTAAATTTGTTTTAAAAGTGAAAGTAAATTTGTCCTAGAAGTTAAAACATTGATAATTGTCTAGCTGAAAGTAGACAATTATCTGTCAGAGAATGTATCTACTTCTGCAGGTGATAGTAAAAGTCTAAATAAAATACTAGAATTTTACAAATAAATCGATGCTGTTTTAATCCACAAATTGGTTTCCAACTACCTATTTAGCCAAGTGATTCTTTTTTTTTTTTTTTTTTTTTTTTTGAGACGGAGTCTCGCTCTGTCCCCCAGGCTGGAGTGCGGTGGCACAATCTTGGCTCACCTGCAAGCTCCGCCTCCCGGGTTCACGCCATTCTCCTGCCTCAGCCTCCCGAGTAGCTGGGACTACAGGTGCCTGCCACCACGCCCGGCTAACTTTTTGTATATATAGGAGAGACGAGGTTTCACCATTCACAGGATGGTCTTGATCTCCTGACCTTGTGATTCAACCTCCTCGGCCTCCCAAAGTGCTGGGATTACAGGCGTGAGCCACCGTGCCTGGCCCCCAAGTGATTCTTAAAATGTATAAATATGAACAGTGAGCCTCATGTCCTAGCTACCTGTTACTATGTAGCAAGCAGCCCCAAACCCAGTGGCGTAAGCAAGAGCAAGCATTCATGGACCTCATGAATCTACATTTGGGTTGGGCTCAGAGAGACTGGCTCATTTCTGCTGCATGTGGCATCAGTAGGGGCAGCTCCTGGGGCTGAGGTCATCTGAAGACTCAGTGTTCACCTGTCTGGAGACTGACAGCAGCTGTGGGCTGGAACACCCATCCCCAAGGCCCCTCCACACAGCTGCTTGGCTCCCACCCAGAATCTGGCTGAGTTCCAAAATCAAGCATCCCAGGTGAGAGTGGGGCAGAAGCTGTTTCATCTGTTTTGACGGAGCCTCAGAAGTCATATGGCATCAATTATCTCACTCTTAATTAGCTGAGGCTGACTTACAAAGAGCCACTAAGATTCAAGGAGAGCAGCCATGGACTCAGTATTTGAAAGGGAGTGGCAAGGTTCTGGTAGGGCAAGTAGGATGGGAAACATTTTTGCCACCATTTTCGGAAAACACTTTCTACCTCACTTACATTTCACTGAGTCAATGCAACATATTTATCTACTATGGCATTTTGCTAATGTCTTGTATCCAAATTAGAAATTAATTCATTCATTCAAAAAAAAAAAGCATGCACCGAGTCCTTGTTATGAGCTATGCACTTTACAAGGTGATGGATATATCAACATTAATAGGCAAGATTACATGTGAAAATTGTCAGTGCCTCTGCTTAAAATAAACATTGCCTCATAACCTTGATAATTTGTTTGAGAATGACTTAGAGCAGTTGTTAGAATCGAACTCAGGATCCAGATTGCCTATGTGCTAATCCTCACTCTCTTGTGTGCTCTTGTCTATCATATGGGCAAGTTCTTGAAACTTCTCTGGGCTTCTGTCTTCTTGTCTGTAACATGAGGCTAGCAATAGATCTGCCTGGTAGGGTTGCTGTGAAGAGGAAAGGTATTAATTCATGCAATTGGTTAGTGTCTGATAGTAAGCACTCAATAAGTGTTAGCCATAATTATTATTATTTATTAAGATTAAAATGGGTTTCAAAGTTTATGACATAACAATAGGTGAAAAGGAAGAGAATTAGAAAATCAATAATGCATACAATATCACCATAACAAAGTAAAGAAAAACCTTATATGTGGAAGAAATTTTATATTGGAAAAAAACGCAGCAAAACATTTTAAGTGATGTGTTGGGAGTGGAAAGACTATAGAAAATTTTTTTCTTCTTACCTCTATATTCTCAAAATTTTTTTCACACAAAAATGAATTGCTTGTATAATATTTACATCTGCTGACCTACAACTGAAATAATAAAGCTACTTCCCATTACAAGAAAAATCATATGTTTAAAGGTATATATCCTCCGTACTTCCAGTTCCCTTTAAAGCTGATCATATTGATCTGCGTTATACTTTGCTCTTGTCAATACAGCATACCTAGTGTTGCAGCCTATAGAGAAAAGAAAGAAAAATGGCTTCAAACTTAATGACATGTTGCAGTCTGAATTACTAATACATACTCGGTCAATCCCTGATGCCCAAAAGACCATCTGTCTCCCTTTAATGTCTCCAATAACCATCTATATGTTTTACATTTATCACTCTGGCCCTAATGCATTTGCCAAACGCATGAATATTTAAATATCTAAAACTATTGCATCAACAGAAAATGTGACAGATTTACAGTTGGGGTTTTTTCCTTTGAGTAACCAAAGGAAAAATCTGTGCACCTACGCTAGGGACTGCAGGGAAATTCAGTTTCACCTGAAGAGATCTAAGAACCCAGATTCCAGAACTTCAGGAATAACGATAGCTGTGCTTGTCAGTGCTTACTCTGTCCTAGGCCCCAGGCTGGTGTTTGTCCTCTGTTACCTCATTTCATCCTCCTAACAGTTCTATGAGGTCTGAAATATTATTAACTCCTCCTTACAGGGGAGGAAGCTGAAGCTCACAAAAATTAAATGACTTCCCGGCCGGGCGCGGTGGCTCATGCCTGTAATCCCAGCACTTTGGGAGGTCGAGGCGAGCGGATCATGAGGTCAGGAGATCGAGACCACGGTGAAACCCCGTCTCTACTAAAAATACAAAAAATTAGCTGGGCGTGGTGGTGGGCGCCTGTAGTCCCAGCTACTCAGGAGCCTGAGGCAGGAGAATGGCGTGAACCCGGGAGGGGGAGCTCGCAGTGAGCCGAGATCGCGCCACTGCATTCCAGCCTGGGTGACAGATCGAGACTCCGTCTCAAAAAAAAAAAAAAATTAAATGACTTCCCACAGCCAGGAGCTGGCAGGGTCGGGTCTCAAACATCTTTTTTCCCAGCACCAAACCTGTGCCCTGACCACTGGCCTCCTGCAGCAAGCAGCCACGCACTCACAGCAGTGCTACCACTGCAGGCTCTCGGCATTCGGGTTCACTGGGATGACAGGCAGAGTTTTAGCAATGACGCTCTAGCCTGAGCATTTCTTCACAGAAAAGTGATGGCC
This sequence comes from Homo sapiens, assembly GCF_000001405.40. Taxonomy (NCBI): domain Eukaryota; kingdom Metazoa; phylum Chordata; class Mammalia; order Primates; family Hominidae; genus Homo; species Homo sapiens. Next base: position 11,560,186 of record NC_000018.10, read on the forward strand.
AGGATTCCCACCACGCTTCGCTGTCACAGAAGAGGTCACTTCCTTGGGCCTTACAAAACCGTCCTGCTGCTGTCTCTTTCTTCATAAGAGGACAAGTACATCATCCTTAAATGGGATTGGGAGTGGGTGGATTAGGCTGTTTTCGTGTCGTTGTAAAGGAATGTCTGAGGCTGGGTAATTTACAAAAAAAGGATGTGTAGTTGTTTCACGGTCTGCTGGCTGTACAGGAAGCATAGTGCCAGCATCTGCTTGACTTCTAGTGAGGCTTTTACTCATGGCAGAAGGCAACGAGAAAGCAGGCATGTCACATGGCGAGAGTGGGAGCAAGAGAGATATGGGGGAGGTGCCACACACTTTTAAACAACCAGATCTCATATGAAATCAGAGTGAGAACTCACTCATCACCAAGCGGCCGGCCCAAGCCATTCATGAGGGATCTGTCCGCATGATCCGAACACCTCCCACCAGGCCCCACCTCCAACATTGGGGGTTACATCTCAACATGAGATTTAGAGGGGACAAACATCCAAACCGTATCAGTGAAGGAATGCAATTAAAGTTACAAGCCCAATGGCAAAGAATAACGGCATGAGAAATATCTTGATGCTTACATCAGCATCAAGCTCGCCAGAGAAATTCAATCCTGTAAGTCCAATTGGAGGTTCTAAGATGGTCGAAGGTGGGACCATGAGAAATGGGAGAAAACATAAATATGCACCATTTGGAATGAGAAAGCACAAATGGCTACCTACGCGGAGGGAGGCTTTTTAAAAAGCATGTGCGGCGTGAAGCTAGTAACTCTGTTGGTATTCAGCATTTTTCTAGTCTGACTTTCATAAGTACTACTTCAGCTAAAATACAAACATTCCCTGAAGGTATAGTTTGACTTTTATTTGGGGTTTGTTTTGTTTTGTTTTGTTTTTAAGGTTGAAAGAATGAAAGAATCGGTTGTTCAAGAGCCAACCCCACCCCAGCCCCTGAAAAACAAACAAAAAAAAGATTCATTAGATTTTCTTCTTTTCAGGAACTATCTGCTAGGGCTGAAGGCGACATTTTTCATGAAGCCACCGTGATCTCGTTGAACAACAAAATGTTATAGCCAGCAGTTACCTTGGAAGGTATCTCTGGCAAAAGCCTTATTTTCCAAAGGAGGAAACTTGGATGCACTTTTCCAAATTCACTTAGCTAATTAGTGAAGAGCCTTTCAGAACGAATAAGTTCAACATGTTAGCTCAAACAAGCCTTTCTTGTGAGTGTTTCCCTAAAAACTCCAGTTACAATGAGCCCATTGTTCCTTCAATAAGTCGTTAACATGATTGCTGTTGAGGGATGACATGCATCCAAGGAAGAACTGCTGATCGGGCCACTTGAGGTCACACCCACCCAAAAGAGAAGCTCACATATTCTGCTTTAATGAATCCATCCCACCAAAATTTGGAACCTGTTCCAAACAGCTGAATCTGCCACAACCTGCCTACGTGGGTTTTAGTATTAACTATCACTGACAGTGTCCATTGAAATGATATGCATAGTATATAAAGCTTTGTTTTCTAATATATTGAGGGAATTGGAGAGCCAGTTAAATAATCAAGCACTGTAATTAACACATTTTTATTTTCATTGCCCCCAAAGTCCCTACTGACACACCTAGGAATCATAAACTCATAGGCTGTCAGCACAGGAAGCTATCTGAGTGGTCATCGCAGCCCAGCTATCTCACTCAATGGTTCTCTGGTTTGTCTTCTTATCACATTTTCAAACATCAGAATCTTTGGTGGCACACTAGAAAGGCCCAAACAACTCACAACAACCCGAAACAGATCATCAAGAATTATGATGCTGTCATCCCAACAACATAACAATGCCCAGAAGAACAAAGCCATCATCACCTTCCCATTGGGCCACCCTTCATCCAGGGGCCACTGTTTGACCAAAACTCATTTCTGCTGCATCTCAGCTTGTCCTGACTAAACCCAAGCTCTCCTGGGCATGAGCTGGAAATGCTACTACTCGCAGCAAGCCTGCCTGACTCCACGTAATTCCCCACAACAGCTCAGCTCAAATTCCTCCCAATAGACACTACTGAAGAGTACCTCTCTGACTGGAGCAACATAAATTCATTCACAAGTGGTGTAAATCAGGCAATAGTCCTGTGAATAATCTAGGATACACCAGAGTGCCATGGCCCAGTGCTTAAGAAGCACTCCTCCACCTTAATAATAAAACATAGGGTAAAGACAGAGAACCATGAATGCACTAAGAAATCTGAATTCTAGAATGGGTTCTTCCATTAATTAGCTATGTGACTGGAAAAGCAGTCTTTGATTTTCACACTATCAATGAGACATTTGGAAGACATACTTTCTTAGGAGTCTTCTAGTTTAAAGTTTCATGGTTCTAAGCAATATCACAGTGGTTCCCTGAATGGTGTTACCCTCTAAAACTACAGACAGTTCCTGAAAGGAGATCAATTTACATAAATAAATTGGATGACTTTTCTTTCTGCTAGGTACTAAGCCAATTCTGTCATCAAAATGTATTTAAGCCACTAGTATAGAAAAAGCTATGCTAACTGGCCACAGAATGAAGGTTAGGAAACAGCCTAATAATACCAATTTCTTGACAGTCAGGAGGATTGGTTAAAGGCCAGATAACACATCCCTTGTTATAAACGCATCATCACATAATAATGATTTGGGTGTAAAGTAAAGTTTTTTCCCTGTGCTCTTCATCCTTCATATGAGCATAAAGCACACTTTTATTAACATCGAGAAATGGATCATTAAATACATACACGTAACACCATGAAGCATTTTACAAACTACACCAACTGACATCGCAAATAAAAAATGAACAAATTAAGACATAGGAGGAAAAATAATAATTTTCATCTGTTTTAACTATATAGCAATTAAAAAGTAATAATAGTTTAAGAAAATCAAACTATCTTCCACAACTAAAAGTATTCATTGTAATAAAAGTTAATTAGCATTTTTTATCAATAAGATAGACTTTTTTAATCCTGAATTACAAATTGAGTTTTCCATTTATTTTTTCTAGATCCCTTTAAAAATTGTATTTCTTCTCATTCAATATTAATATTTATCTTTAGACAAATGACTTAGTCACCACAAAATAGCACAGTGCCCAAGGCCATACCTATGAATTATGAAATGGCTTCAGAGACTCTCAAAGATTCTCTGAGGTTGCCACATAAAGAAAAGACAATTGATCCAACATAAAACCACTCAAGGAAATTTCATCCAGGGCTTGAATCCCAGGACTACTGGAAGCAGTGTTATCAAAGCTCCCTGAAATACCTCAGTGAAACTCATTACATTCCGGCCTACAGAATCAGCCCATCTTTCCCACGACCTGCTCACTCCCAGGCATGGGGCAAGCTGCCCATCCCAGGTATCAGTGGGTTATCTAAGGGTCTGCTCTGAGCTGTGCTGGAAATTCTATAGGGATTCCTGTTTCAAGGCTTCTGAGTTCCCAGAATTTGGGGTTTGACATGGACACACCCTCCCACTTGCTTTAGTTCAATTTTACCAGACAGTTTGAATTTTTGTAGAAGGTTGAATAATGGCCCCCAAAGGAAATCCATGCCCTGATCCCTAGAATGTGTGAATATCACCTTAAGCAGGAAAAAGGACTTTGTAATTGTGTGTAAGTTAGGATCTTGAGTTGGGAAGGTTATTCTGGATTATCCAGGTGGGCTCTAAATACACTCACGGTGTCCTTCTCATAGAGAGGCAGAGGGAGAGTTGACTCAGAAAGAGGAGAAAGCCGTGGACAATGCAGGCGGGGATTGGAGCGGGGTTGCCACGTGCCAGAGAATAGCGGCAGCCACCAGAAGCTGGAAGGGACGAGGCACACATTCTCCCTTCAGCCTTCGCGGGAGTAAGCCTCTGCTGAGATTCATTTCAGCCCCGTGACATTGATTTGGACTTCTAGATTCCAGAAACCTTAAAGCTCTTGTCATAGCCACCATGTTTGTGGTAGTTTCTTACAGCAGCCACTGGAAGCTAATACAATTTTCAACTGGACTTTGCACTATTTTCCACTGATCATGACCTCAGAAGCAAACTTGGATATGGTATTAAGCATCCCTAAAAGACCTTGTGCAGACACATCTATGCATATGGCATTAAACACCCCCAAGAGACCCTCTACAGACAATGTCTCCGCTCATGATATGAAAAGCCTGTCAGAGACCCTCTGCAGACAATCTCTATGCTTGTTGTTCCAAGAACCACTCTCATAACTTTTTTTTCTTGAGAGAAACATCCATTTTTGTTGATGTTAATAAGCAATTCAGCTTGCTAAACATAGGAAAATACAATTTTAGGTTCAGGTCTTAGTAATTAGTCTTCCTTTATATGCAAATACAATTAGCATTTTCATGCAAAGTAGCCAAAACTAAGGAATAAATTCTATTTTCAACCTACTGAACAGTTGTAATTATATTTATTGTCAGTTCAGACTCAATCCCAATTATAGGTCATAGAGGAAAGTTTTCAAATAAACAATTTATCTAAAATATGATCGATTTTAGAGGATTTGGTAAAAACAAAACAACTTTCTAGAAGTGGTTCTTCTCCCTGTTAACAGTTGGATCCTATACAGGCTTTGAGATATGTGTAATTTCCGACAAATGTGGTGTTAAATAAACACTTCCATATAGAAATATAATAAGTGCAACCATTCTGAATTGGGACCGCCACGTAATGTGTTTCATTCACATCAAATTCTCATTAGGAACACCTGGACTCATCACTGCTGCCCCTGATTAGTGCTGCTACCTCCTGGCCACAGCCGTGCTGTCTGCCAGCCTGGAGGTGCCAAGCAGCCAGATCATCACCCCAAATCTCCAACCTCACAATGATGCCATTGGTGCATTAACTGTCCTGTAATGGAGAATTTCCCACATAAATGATTCCCACTCACCCAGACACGGAGCCAATGAAATCTGAGGGCACAGCTGGCAAATGCCATCGTATGTGGAGAACTAACGTTGTTCACAGTGGTGAGATCGGCAAACTCAAAAGTGGTATTTTATCATAACAAAGAAAATGTGCAAAAATCTTCACCTTTTAACATCTCAGATATGAATACAACTTTTGTTACAGGAGCAGTTTTCAAGCTATAAACTCTTAGACTCCACAGGCCACTGCACCACCTCGGAGGCGATCACTTTGCTCATTCCCGGAAGTTGCTACAGGAACTAAGCCACATCTAGACATTGCCTAGTTATAATGATAGATTTTGGAAAGATGGGAGACATTTATTTCCTTTTCTAACCTTTTGAGAATCTTGGAAACATTGAATCATTTCATGCAAGTTTATGTACTTTAAGCAATGATATATCCAGGAATATTTTAAAGTAAGAGGAAGTTAAAAATGATCCAGGAATATTTTAAAGAGGAAGTTTGTATACACACACGTACACACACACATGCACACACATGTGAGCATGTATAAATATATATAACATATATGACTATAGGTATGTATTAGATGAGACTCACAGCAGCTGTAACTTGGACCAAGCTGAAATTAAGAGCACAATAAGAACTTCTTTGTCTCACCCACTTAGATATTCATGTGGACCTATGTTTTAATCTTCCCTGGGGACATTGGTGAAGGAGGGAGGAAGCATGCATGGGTCTTTGTGTGCCTAAGGGAGTTGAGAAAAGGAAGTCACCAGGGCAGGAGGAGCAACCAGAGCAGCCGTGGGGACTGTGACTAAGGCCGGCCTGCCCTGAACGGCCATGCGTTCTCTGACTGATGGCTGCAGGAGCCACACAACCTCCCATTTCCAGAGCCCATACACACTGTGGTCAGACCGACCCCAAAGGCACTGGAGCACACTGCCCTGAACACTGGGACAGCTTGGTGGAGGCTCAGGACCAGGCTCCAATCACAGCCAGTCTGTTGTTCTGTAGGGTGGGACAGGAATGGTGCTGCGGACTGAACTGTGTCCCCAGAGATGCTGAAGCCCTAACCCCTCTGTGGCTGCATTTGGAGACAGGGCCTTCAAGACACAAGTAAGGGTGAATTAGGTGACTGGGGTCCTTATAAGGAGAAAAAGAGACACCAGGGATGCATGCACAGAGAGAAGGCCGTGTAAGGACAAGGGGAGAAGGCAAGCCAAGGAAAGAGGCCTCAGGAGAAACCAACTCTGCCAACACCAACACCTGGACGTTGGACCTCCAGCCTCCAGAACTGTGAGAAAACAAATGTCTGTTGTTTAAGCCACTCAGTCTGCAGGCCTTTGTTATGGCAGCCCCAGCAGACTAATGCATATGGGTCTCAGACACAAGACTCTGCTCAGTAACTACAACAACCCTGGAGACACACTTGACTCTATCTCAGGCTGGCAGGAGCCACCTCCATACTCTATTCTCCAGAAGCAAGGACCCAGGCCCATCCTGAGGCCTGGCACAAGATGCTACCAAGGGCATCAGTCTGTGAAGCCTACAGACAGCTTTGTGAAGAACTGTTGCTCCAAATGAAGATTCTGGGGTCCCAGTGGCCCAGGTCTCCTGGGGAGTTAAAGAGCCACAGCCTGAGCCTGTCTCCCTCCTCACTGAGCAGCTGTGGCTGGGCTCACCCTTCCAGAGCCCTGCACAGCGAGAGCACAGCAGACAGAGGGGCCCCAGCCTGCAGAACTCCCCACTCCACAGACTGCCTTCTGCGTTTGACCACCACACCTTGACCATGCTTTAATTCGACTGTAATTTACTGGGACCATCAAGTCATTTTCACCCTTTTCCTGTAACAGCGGCAGATACAAACATTAACAGATGGAAAAGTGTTTTCTACTTTCAATGTCCCCATGGGATAAACTGTTCACGGATGATGTTATATGATCATGTAGACTGACTTATCAGATAAAACTCTGCTACTTACATTTTCTAGAGCGTATAATGTAACAGGAGTATTCAAGTGATCTTTATTTTCTAAATCTAACCTGAAATTTATATTAGTATCAAGAAGCAAAATGAGAGAAAATAAAATCACTTGCATAAAAAAACAGCTATCTATCCTAAAATTAAATATATAGAAGTCAACAATATTTCAAGGAAAAAAGACAAAACCTAATGACTTGATGTCTTTGCAGTGTTTCAGGATTTTTACTGCTAGGGTCAGATGGAGGCTGAGGGAAACCAAAAGGTAAGTCACTTCCATTTTCTGGATAGAGGTGTGCCAGAAAAACCCAGACTGTGATGGAGAAAAAGGAGGCCTAAGACCCCTTGCTGGGGAGCCAGCTGGGATGCGGGGTGCGTAGAGTCCTGGAGGAGGTGGAGGAAGAGGGAGTGCTCTTTAACAAGACCGCTCCTCTCCGTTTGGATGCACACGAAGCACTGGATTGGAGAATGGCAGAGGAGGAGGGAGAAGGAGAAGGAGAGGGGAGGGGAACACAGCCTGGCAGCCAAGGGGAGGGTCTGAGGAGAAGCACGAGGGACACTTCGGTCTCAGAGGTCAGGATGTATTTACTCTCTGCCTAATGCCCCACCAGGATTGTCAAATGCATTAAGATCCACTTCAAGAAGCTTGAGGTGCTGTAGTCCCAGCTACCTGGGAGGCTGAGGCAGGACAATTGCTTGAGCCCAGGAGGTTGAGGCTGCAGTGAGCCATGATCATACCACTGTACTCCAGCCTGGGTGACAGAGCAAGACCCTGCCCTTAAAAAGAAGAGGAGGAGAAGGAGGAGAAGGAGGAGGAGGAGGAGAGGAGGAGGAGGAGGAGAGGAGGAGGAGGAGGGAAGAAGAAAGGAGCAGGAGGAAGATGAGGAGGAGAAGAAGGAGGAGAAGGAGGAGAAGAAGAGGAAGAAGGAGGAGGAGAAGAAGCAGCAGTTTCAAAGGATAAATGCTTGAGGGGATTAATACCCAATTTTCCATGATGTGATTATTACATATTGCATGCCTGTACCAAAATACCATATGTACCCCATAAATATACACACCTACTATGTACCCACAAAAATTAAAAATTAAAATTACAAACAAGAGGCTTGAGATAAATTGTCTTTTTAGTTCTCTTTGTTTCAGGTCTGTGATCTCCCATCTGGAAATAATGAGGTTTTATTCATCCTCCAAGCTTCCACCAGTGATCATGAGCTCTTCCCTCCTGGGACAGGATCTGTCTCTGAAAAGAAGAAATTATTCTTTCCAGTTTTCCCCCAAGATCTTTGAATTGCTTTCTGTAGGTCGCCAGCCCTTCCTCTTCGTGGGCCACCAGGTCATCTGCTTTGACACACCATGCCACCTGTGCTGTGCAGGTCAGCTCATATACAGGATGCTCCATTTCTGTCTTTCAACCAAGTACGGTCCTTTCTTCTGCTCTTGCCTAAGATTCTGACCTGCTCTTTCAGGTGACACTCTCAGTGTGGACGCCTCTATGATGACCTATCCAGTGGGCTTTTCCCCTCTTCTTAGCAATCTTGGGGTAGAACTGATATTTTCTCCCGGTCCTGAATGTTCAGTGCCCACTGGACCGCGCAGCTTCCTCCTGATCCCTTCTCCGTGCCATTAACTTTGTCTCCACACCCTGACCCTACATCATGTCCCCTGCCTTCTTCTCCCAGGGGAGCTGCGGGCTCTCTGCTCTTTGCAACCAGCACTGCAGCAGACACGGGACCTAACTCTCCTCACAGGCCCCAGCAATGTATGTGAACATTCTCAGTCTTTTTTCAATTGTCCATATTGTTTTAATCTGGTTGTAGTGCTCTCACTTATGTTTTCATGGATTTAGTTTCTTCTTCCAGAATCTGGAACTTTCTTGCCATGTCAGACTTCAGACATCAGCTGCTCCTCACCTGCATATCAAGGGTTTTTCTCTCCAGATAATTTTACTAGATTGCTGTGGCACTCGAATCACAGACTTGGACTTGTCCAGGCTAGCAGTCATTTCTGAGTTTTCATCTCCTTCTATCACAGGATAAACTTATCAAGAGTGTCGTGTTTTGCAGAACTGTGTTGAACCACTACTGGAAGGCACCTTGTCTCCCTGTAAAAATAAAAATAAAAATAAAAATAAAAATAAAAATAAAAATAAGCCGTGTTTTATTGCCTGCAAAATTCCACCTAAAAGCAAGAGAACTGCAAACAACTGAACTCCCACAACCCTTCCACCATCTCCCACTGGTACACAGGGGCAGTGAAACTTAATGCCATGTAGTTGGTACCCCTTCCATCTCCAGCATCTTTGGACAGGAAAATACTAACAATGAAAACACTACCTATAACAATCTGTAGGCTAGAGCTAACATCATTCGATAGGGAAAGGTCATACAATTTGGCACTTAAGAAAACTGAGGCCGGGCGCGGTGGCTCACGCCTGTAATCCCAGCACTTTGGGAGGCTGAGGCGGGTGAATCACAAGGTCAGGAGATCGAGACCATCCTGGCTAACATGGTGAAATCCCGTCTCTACTAAAAATACAAAATATTAGCCAGGTGTGGTGGCAGGCACCTGTAGTCCCAGCTACTGGGGAGGCTGAGGCAGGAGAATGGCGTGAACCTGGGAGGCAGAGCTTGCAGTGAGCCGAGATCGTGCCACCGCACTCCAGCCTGGGCGACAGAGCAAGACTCCATGTCAAAAAAGAAAAAGAAAAAGAAAACTGAAAATGACCTGAACAATTGAGAATATCCCTAAGAAAGTTAAAAATTGAAAAAGAAACACAAGAAAGAGAGCTATGGAAATAATAAAATATTGGGACTAAATGTTTCAGATCTCTGAAAAATTGGAATGCTTCACAGGAAAATCTTAGTTAATTATAAGGTAGACATTTTTTCTTTTGTTAACTTTTAAACAGTGAATGCTGAAACAAAACTGAAATAAGTGAAAGAAATCCAGACATAGAGGAAAATGTTTCAGAGCTCAGGTCAGGGCCAGGAAGAGAAAGGAATGGGTGGAGCCCTGCCTGAACCTCTGCTCATCCTCCCGCCCACCTCCCCATTCCCCCTCTGCACACCAAGAGAACAGCACAGCTCCTCCTGGCCTGGCCAGCTGCCTCGTCTTCCTAGGGGCAAAAACCGGAAACTCCCCATTCTGTGTTGCCTTGAGCTCTCTCCTGCACCCCTCCACCCTCAGCCACAGCCAGTCAGTACTGGCCACTCCACCTGCAGCCTCTGGACCAGTCTTCCACAAGGGGCACAAATGGGAAGAGAAGCTCTGCAAAGCTCTCTGAGACTCGCCATCCCACCTTGTTCCTCGGTTCTGACTTCCGCCTCATTTCCCTGGGTTGTCCTTAGCGCTCCCCATCCGAGTAAATGCCCAGGCCCCAGGCCCTGCAAAAGCAAAGTGCCTGATTGTTTGTAGTCCCAGCCAAGGCCTGCGATGAACCCTGGCCAACATCGCATAAAATCTACTTTCCCACAATTGTTCAATTTCTAATAGTCCTGTAAAATACCAGGGGAAAAAAATGGGATTTTCACTTTAGTGGACATATTTCTAAGTAGACAGCTCAAATCATGGATAAAAATGTCATTGTATGTATACAAAATGTTAAGCAAATTGTCCTGAAATACCTATATAATACCTTGTCAAAGAATTAAATTCTGATTATGTATTTATTTGGAAAGTGCAAAGAAGAAAATAATTCACAACAAATAACTCATAGATGTCTAAGTTTCTTATCTTTCTGACTGTGTTACCAAGTGGTAGGTGGAAAGGACATCAAAAATTCCCCCAAAAAATAAATATTATGGTGATAAGGCTCAAGTTTAGGTCATTGTGGCTCTGATGAAACCGAAACATCTTTTTTAGCGAACGGCGCCCTCTTATGTTATAAGCACAACATAATGTTTTCATTAACATATTTGGGTTTGCTGCTTTCTTATGAGACACTCCTATTTTGCGTGTTTTTTTTTCTTTTTTAAGAGACAGTATCTTGCTTATGTTGCCGAGGCTGGAGTGTGATGGTGCATATCATAGCTCACTGTAGCCTGGAACTCCTGGGCTCAAAGCATCCTCCTGCCTCAGCCTCCTAAGTAGCTGGGACTATACACACACGCCACCACTCCCAGCTGCTTTGATCTTTCTTAGACAACTGTACATCAGGAAGTGCAGAGAAGTAATGAAGCACCAGCGGCACCCCGGGTAGAGTCCCTGATGAGACGGACAGCGGGTGGCACTGGGAACCTTAGGATGCGCTAAAATACGGAGCTTCTTGAAATCGAGGCATTTAACAGAAAATAGGAGATCACTAATTGCTTTGAGGAGAGAAATACTGTGAGGAAAAGATGCTGAGAAAGATATTTCAGACTGGGTGTGGTGGCTCACGCCTGTAATCCCAACACTTTGGGAGGCTGAGGCTGGTGGATCACTTGAGATCAGGAGTTCGATACCAGCCTGGCCAACATGGTGAAACCCCATCTCTACTTAAAATACAAAACATTAGCCAGTCATGGTGGCACGCAGCTGTAGTCCCAGCTACTCCAGAGGCTGAGGCAGGAGAATCGCTTGAACCTGGGAGATGAGGTTGCAGTGAGCTGAGATCACACCACTGTACTCCAGCCTGGGCAAAAGAGCCAGACTCTGTCTCAAAAAAAAAAAAAAAAAAAAAAAAAAGGAAGATGTCTCAAGTTCGTGTTTTTATAACTTTCTAATCCATTAAAAGGATTGAATGCTGTGCATCCACAGAGCAGACTGAGGACTCGGGAGGCACTCAGTTGATTTGAAACCCTTGCTGGTCCACGGGCCAACCTTGTGACCTTGGGCAAGTCATCTTCTCCTAGCTTCAGTTTCCACATTTGTAAAATTCATAAAGAGAGACTTCCCCAGGGATACTGCTGGATTCCATGAGATTATCCACATTATGTTCAGTCATTCTGAAAAGCAGTCAGGGTGCCCTGGGAGGAGCCTGGGAAGAACCCCTTTGCGGGAGGACCATGGGGCAGCGGGGAAGGGGAGACCATGGGCAATGGAGCCACACTAGCACTGCACTGGGGCACCTGCCCAGAATATGCAGGGGCTCAGGAAGCATCTGCTCACAGAGAAGGTGAAGAGCGGTTTAATGAATGAAGCCATCGCTGAGCAGCCTGCAAACGACCTTGCCTGGTGACCACCTACTCAGGTTCAGAAAACTAAAATGATCCTTGCTGCCCAAGAGCAGTCACCCTCGGATCCATCCAGCAATGAGTCGACACTCTTGCCAAGGTCTGGCAGTCTCGGCCCTTCCCACAGCCTTATGCCTTCCTTTGTTTGCAAGTCTGTTTCTTTCCCTGGAGATCTGTGCCGCCCCGGGCAGTAGCCACTGACTACACGTGGCCCTTGAGCATGTGCAGCTGGGATGTGCTTTCAAAGACATGGCACTTTTTTTAAATGTAAAAAAATCCTATTCATAATTTTATGTTGATAATTCATTTTCATAATTAAGGTGTCTTAGGTTAAATATAACATATTATTAAAATAAATGTCACCCATTTCTTTTCATTTTTTTCACTGTGGCTACCAGAAAATTAAAATCGCACATGAGGCTCACCTTACACTTCTATTAGACAGTGCTGCACTAGACATCAAGTGTTGAGGGCAGAGATTGCTTCGCTCTTTCTTGATTCCCTGGAGCTCCGGCCCATGGCACTATGCCTGACTGCCCTAGTATTTTTCATCCTGCGGACCCATCAGCAATGGACCTGAACAGTTCTCCTCCATGATCTCTCATGGTGTTGTTTCTACTGTCCCTAAACTCAGGGCTTACTGCTTCTGTTTCTTCAAAATCCTCCTCCCTGGCATATGATCTAGTAAAGAACCCCAGAAACGCAGAATCACAGGCTTGGAGTGTGAACGTAATACCTTTCCCACCGCTGCTGAATCCTCTTCATATTTCTTGCTTTGCAGATGAGATTGCAAATGCACCCGTCTCCCAGTGATTTTTCTCTGTTCTGATTCTTGTCAATGATGCAACACAGAAATGAAACAAGAATATATGCCAACCATGAATAGTCTTCTCATCTCATACAGACAGCCCTGCTCATGGCTTAGATTTAAAGTCCAAAAATTAAAAGTAGAAGAGCCATTTCTTAGTCTCCAGCTCCTGCGTTCAGTTGCTCTGAAAGGCCGTGGGGAGGTTGGATTGATAACAATGTGTGCAGCTGATGGGTATTTAGACTAAAAATTAAAGCCAGAGTGAAGTTTCTGGGAGCCCAAGTTTTGATCAATCACAGAATAGAATCCCCATGACTCTCATTATAAAGCTACTTTTCTTTTTTTTCCTCTACTGAGATTTACTCTGACTAGTTGCTGAATTTCCATCGCCTAATTTTTAAAGCAAACATAAGTCTTCCTAACATTTATCACAGAATGCTATCTCTGTGGTTTCCCACCGTAAAACAGAATCTCAAACTACCTCTTATCTAATTCCTATCAAAAGCCTAAACAAGAGAAAACACATTTATAGAGGATTATTTGGAAGATACATAATCTATCCACTTCCCTAAGAAATCCATGCATTCTACATTTGAATTAAGTCAGATTATCGTTAGTCTAAATACACAAATGATCATTTCAGCTTAAGTTTCACCTAACAATACTTTCAAGAGATGCATTTTTATACCATGCCCTCAGCATGTGTAAGAGATCATTTCAAGAAAAAAGTCCACGAAATTCATTGCTGCATTGCTACAAAAATGTTAACGTATGATTTGCTAGCTATGTGTTCTCAGACTCCCTTATAAATCCCAAGTAGAGAATTGTTTTAGTGTCAGCTTGAAGAAAAGTTCATAATCGTCTGTATTTTCCCTTAAATAAAAAATACCGTGTAACTGTTTCAGTATTGCGTAGTTTAAAATCTGCCCAAAAAATAATAATAATAATAATAATAATAACCTGGATCCTGGATTCAAGAGATCTACCAAACTTATATAAGAAACAAATGATTAGTATCTGAATAAAATCTTTTAGATAACAGAAAAAGAGGGAAGATTTATTATCTCATTTCTAAAACTAAATAAAATCACCCCCAGAAAGGGACAAAACAAAGAAAAAAACTGCAGGCCAGTCTCACTGTTAAACATAGATGCAGAAGTCTTAAACAAAATGTTAGCAAAATAAATCCATCACTGAACAAAAGGGCTAATACATGGAGTTCAAGCCATTTCAACATTAGGATATCTGTTAAGGTAACTTCAAATGAATGGTTTGTGAAAGCAGAAAACCATCTGATTATCTCAATAGATCTGAGGGAAATACTAAAATTTAAAAACATTTATAAACTTAAAAACAAACTCATAGAAAGCTTAAAATAAAGAAAAACTTTGTTATCCCAATTAAAGAGTATACCACAGATCTTCAATGTTAAAACAGCAAAAAGATTTGCTTTAAAATCTGGAAGAAGACAAAGACACCTGCTTGTGCTACTAGTCAACATTTTACTGGTGGCCCCAGCCACGGAAAGAAGAAAGAAAAGGAAGGAGGGAGGGAGGGAGGGAAGGAAGGAGGGAAAAGAAAAGAGAAAGAAAGGAAGGAAGGAAAGAAAGAAAGAGAAAGGAAAGAAAGGAAGGAAGGAAGAGAGAAAGAAAGGAAGGAAGGAAAGAGCGCAAGAGGGAGGGAGGGAAGAAAGGAAGGAAGGAGAAAGAGAAAGAAAGAAAGGGAGGGAGGGAAAGAAAAAGAAAAAAGAAAAAGAAAAGAGAGAGAGAGAAAGGAAGGAGGGCGGGAGGAAGGAAGGAAAAGAGAAAGTTAATGACAAACTCATTATTTTTTATTTATATGACTGTCCACAAAGGAAAAGCCCTTGGAACTAGTAGGAGAGCATAGACCTGTTGCTAGATACAAGGCAAATGTGTCAAAGATGACAGCTTTCCTATGGACCAACACAATCTAAGGGAGAATTGTAATGGATAAATAACCACTGTTGTCTATAGCATCAAAAAATGTTTAAAAATCTAAGCATAAGAAATGTACAAAAACTACTTGAAGAAAACTATAGACTTTCTTGAAGGATCTTTTCAACAGCCCAATTAAATGGAGAAATGTACCATGTTCTTAGGGAGAAAGATATAATGTTGTGTTTAAAAGTGACCTTTCCTTCCACATAATGTAACAATAAATATTACTTCCAATGACATTCCCAAAGCAATTTGTTTTTATAAAACTTGATACATCTATTTTAAAAATTAATTGGAAGGGTAAAAAAAATTAAAAGCAATGAAGATAGAACTCAAACATAGTCTGATAATAATTAAATGTATTTTCTTCATTTAAGAAGACAAGTAGGCCCATGGAATAAAAAATAAAATTCTGAGAAAGACATATTTATATATGGGAATTTATAACATGTTAAAAGTGGCACTTCAACTAGTGGGGGGAAAAATTAGGACAATTATCTGTCTCTCTGGGAAAACATAAAACTAAATTTCTGCCTCTTCCCATTCCCAGAAGTGAATCCTAGATGGAAACAAGTGCCACATATAATAATTTTATATTACATAAGTAAACTTACTTAAGCAACACAAATTAACCCATTTTAGAACTAAGAGTTTTGACTACCTATTTTTTAAGTTCTATGTAAAAAATTATTTTAAAAATTTAAAGACATAAAATGTATCAAAAATCTTCCCACTAAAAGAACTCAGCCCCAGAGAGTTTAATCAGTGAATTCTATCAAATTTTGAAAGGATAAATTGTATGTGAGCTTTTATAGAAAATAAAATAGGTGGGAACACTTCCAAGTGTATTTTATTAAGCTATTATAACACTAATTTTAAAGAACCTGACAATGATGTGCAACATATAGAACAAACTAAGAATTATAATATATACAACATTCCTAAAAATCATTTAGAATAAAGACAACCCAGCGAAAAAATTAATATAGGCCACGAACACAGAGTTTACACACACACAAATCTCTAAAGTACAAAAAGATGGTCATCTTCACCAGTAACTACAAAAATACAAAGGAAAACAATAATAAGATAAAAAACCCATTATCTATCATATTGGAAACCATTTTTTAAAGTGACAGCAGCCAGTGCCATGGTGGCAAGAAGAAATGGGCGTGCTTGTGAACTGTGGAAGCCTGCCTGGGGAGGAGGAGAGTGAGAATGTCTATCAGAAATGTAAATAGACTTAGACTTAGAAGCAGTCATTAATGTATATCAGTCTATACATCTAAAATAAATCATGTAAGTACAAAATAATGAAATAGTGAAGGTAAGAGCAGAAGTTAACAGAAAACAATGGAGAAAATGAACAAACCAAAAACTTGTTCTGCATTAAGAATCCATAAATGTGATAAACTCCTCACTATATTGATCAAGAAAAAAGAAAGCAAACACAATCCACCAATAACAACGAAAAAGATGTCATCACTGTAACTCCCACAGATGTTAAAAGAATAGATAACAAGAGAATGTTATGAACTTAATGCCAAGAAATTTTGGGGCAAGATAGTCAAAATGAACACATTCTTTGAAAAATACAATTTACCAAAATTGACTCAAAAAATTAAAAAGAAATATAAACAGCTTTATAAGTGTTAAATGAATTTATCACAAACTTTCCCACCAAAAAAACTCAAGCCCCAGAGAGTTTAATCAGTGAATTCTCAAACTTTCAAAGAACGAATTGAACATGAACTGTAATAGAAAATAAAGGAGGTGGGAACACTTCCAAGTGTAATTTATTAGGCCATTATAGCACTAATTTTAAAGAACCTGACAAACATCGCAGAAAAAGAAAATTACAGACTAGTGTCTTTCATAAACATAGACACAGAATTTTTTAACAAAATACTTGCAAATCAAATCTAATAAACTATAAAAATAGTAATACAAAATGACCAACTAGGGTTTTTCCCAGGAAAGCAAGTTTGCTTTAACTCTGTAAAGTCGATCAACAGAATTCACAATGTTAGCAGTTATGTAACACAGAAAAAGTATTTACCAAAATCCAATACCCATTCATGATATTTGCCAAACTAGGTATGAAAGGGAACCTCTTCAATTTGATTAAGAGCATCTTTCTAAAAAATCTACAGATAACATCACAGTTAATGGTAAAACACTGAACGCTGGCTCCCTCAGGTTGAGAAACAGTCCAGTATTTCCAGTCTCACCACATCTGTTCCATTTCACCTCTGTCCCCTGAGAAGCCCCTTCAACAAGAGCACTGGGATGCTCGTATGATTTGATGCCCCCATCTCAGGCTCACAAGGGTTGAATAAGTTGGCAAAAACACAGGATTTAAAGCTGCTTCTGTCAAACTCCTGGGCCTGTCATCTTAACCACTACCAGTGTTGCTCAGCTGCTTCTAGAAATAGTAAGGATTTTCTTTTTTTAGAGCAAAACTGATGAAAGAAAGTATCTAATTTTACCTCTCTAAGGTCGAAAAAGGTTTCAGCTCTCTCCAACACAAATAGCACACACACCCCTCAGGCACCTGGCAATATTTTTTAAATCCCTCTAGAAATAACTATTCCTTTGAAGGGACCATTTTCAGTGATGAGTCACCCCTTCAGTCTCCCTGGGTTTAATAATAGCAAAACCTGTTGGAAGTTAAAGGGGAAGGGGAAGGTGGGAGGCAGACAGAAGGAAGAGCCATCAAGGGCATCAGCCAGACAGCCGGGGGAGCTGCTGAAATGTTCTCATCTTCTTCTCCTCTTATTGTCATATTCCTTTTATGTCTTAATCTCTCTAATGGGGGTTAATACCAAAGGCCTGTTTCTGATTCTACGATCAAAAGGAGAGATAAGGGAGGAAGTTCTTCCTTTATGCTGTGCTATGAAGGATGTGGTTATAGGGTCTGTGAAAGTAGGCAGACCAAAAAAACAGTAAGATGTCAGGAAGCATCCTGGTAGAACCTCCCGGCAGGACCATCAAGCATGCTGGAGGGGCAGGGAGGAAGTATAAGGGACGCTTGGGGCCTGTGGTCCACCAGCAAGCCGAAAGCCAGAGAGAACCAAAATCATCCCCACCAGAACCATCTGCCAATTCTCGGAACTTCCCGAGGCACCACAGTGTCCCATGGGAAGATTTTAACATCTCACCGCATTACAGACAAGAATCTTGGAATGACAGATCCAGAGAGAACACTGTGTAAAGATAGTCCTCAAATATCTTCCTCCAGCCTCGGGATCTCCTCCTTTAGATCCACCATAGATGCTGTATTACACGTTTCTGATGGAGAAGAAAACTGAAATGAAAGCCACATGCATGCCTAAAAAAATTATTTCTCTCCTTATATTATATGCTGAATTTTTAATTTCAGTTTTATGAATGAGAAACATAAACCTGACTTCAGGAAAAATTTGTGTTGATCCGGAATGGAGGTGGTGTTTTGCCATAAAAATATACATGTATACCATTTGCCATTCAGAATTACATAACCACATCTCTTTTTTTTTTTTTCAAAAAAAAAAAAGGAGAATGTAGACAACTTTGTTGAACAGTCAGGCATTATTTTATTTAATTCTCACAACATCTTTATGAGGTAGGTGTGATCATTCTCATTACTCAGAAGAGAATGTAAACAGTCGGTTTTCTCAAAATCATGCAGCCAGTGAGGGGAAAGCCAGGATTCAAGCTTGGGACTGTGTGACACTAAAACTGAGCTCTTTTTACCTCCTAGAAAGAGATAAAAGTCAGAAATATCACCTTGGGAAAGTAGACAGTGTATACAACCAGGAGACTTAATTTAAGCTACCTTTGAGGAAATGCAGGAGGAGGGGGCTGTACTCAGGGGAAGGCCCCCTAGGAAGCTGCTGGGGCGGGGGAAGGATGAGAACAAGGGCCTGCCATCATTGAGGATGTGAAGACATCACTGGAGTTAGACGCACTGCTCTAATCACCACACACTTCCATCCCTGATTCATTACAGAACTGACACCAGATAAACTCTCCCAGGGCCTCCTGAAGTGGACAGCGCCTTCAGGTGGAAGCCTAAACAACAAGATGGGTGTGCAGAGCAGCTGTCCTCAGCCCTGACCAATCTCTGTGGGGTATTTGATTCTCCATTGCAGTGATTCTCAAAGTGTGGACTCCAGACCCAGAGCAAAAATCCCCTGGGAGATTGCTGGAATCAAAATTTCTCAGGCCTAACCCCAGGTCTCCTGAATCCAGATCCTAGCTGTCCCAGTGGTGAAGTTGTATGGTAAAGACTGAGAGCTGCTGCTTCATGGCCTCCCCCACGCATAGCACACAGCATTCTCCCTGTAAATATTGAATGAACGAACAAATGGTTATTTTTGCTATAGCACAGCGCAACCACATGCCCCCATCATGAGCACCGAGGCCAGCCAGCAGAAGTGCCCCAGAGTAAGCAGTCATAAAAGCCAGTTCCCTAACAGTGCAGAGGGGCCCATAGTCCCTGACAGGAGGCTTGGCCCCTCACGGTGAGGAAGCCTCCCCAGCCTCACTCCACGTCCACTGTATTCACTTCCCTCACTGAGCTTATTTTGCTTCCTAGGATTTTGGCCCTTTGTGGGGGACCTCTTTTAGCCTCTTGAATATTGTTAATTTGATCAAGTTTGTGTTTGTATCCCTTGGTGAAAATATGCCAAAGTTTTTGGTTTGCTTTTATTTTATTAATGTCCCTGTCTCGCTGTGCACGTCGTAGATGGTGTCTGTTTATAACAGAACTTCCTAGAATGAGAGGCAGACACAGGTCCAACAAGTCTCTATCCAAGCTGGTCCTGAGGAATGAGGATCTCAGTAGACCAGTGCCCTCCCTGAGACAAACGTGGCCAGTCACCTGTGAAAGCCTTATGGCCCTGCACCTCCACCTGCTCTCCTGCATGAGGCTTTTGCGATTGGAGAGATCCACTCCCTGAAATTATGCCCTGAGTCTCTG
Source organism: Homo sapiens (assembly GCF_000001405.40). Taxonomy (NCBI): domain Eukaryota; kingdom Metazoa; phylum Chordata; class Mammalia; order Primates; family Hominidae; genus Homo; species Homo sapiens. The sequence goes on from NC_000018.10 coordinate 11,579,982, forward strand.
ACTGCCAGGTTAGTGACAGGAGAGCGCTAAATCATCTCGACCGAGGAGGCTGGGGCACAGGTAAACAAGCGACATCTGTGACACGCGGATGACTTGTCCATCACGGGAGTGATTCGGGGTCGATGTCGGCCACTGGCGGGCGGGACACGGGCTCCTGACACATTTTCTCATTATAACCCGGAGTCTTGTGTTATCTTTGGGAATAATACAATTTCACAATGAATATTTTAGAACTGCAGTGGACACTTCAGAAAAATTTTGAATCCACTTAAGAGGCACTATAGGACAAAAGGGGCCCAGGATCTCTAACACCCACTGGTTAGCACACTGTGGTATGAGGAGACTTCAGAAAGAAATGAGGATCCCGAAATTGCATCTTTAACAAATTCCTTGAGGGGACAGACACCAGCCCTTCTTGGTTTTACCTGCCTACGTCTCCCTCTGTCTTCCACACTTGTCCTCTGCCTTTGGCTCTGTCATCCCTTCCAGCCCTTCCCTATCTTGCCAGTCCATCTGAACCACCTTAAAGCTAAACAAGCTGACAGGGAGCCCTTAAAAGTAGACTTTAATCCATGGGCTAGGCCAAAATTAAGAGGCATAATCAAAGACTTTCCTAAGTCTAAAAAAGATAATAGTCCACCAAGAGTAGCTCAGAAAAGCTGTAACCCCAACTGGCAGACACATCAAGTAGCCTGCAAGCTGGCAGGCCTTTAAGATGCAAAAGCCTTGATGGAAAGGTTCACTGTAGAGGACATCAAGGGCAGTGGTTCCATGGAGCAGCTAACGGGTTCAACAGGGTTGCCAAGATAGGACCAGCTTTCTTATGGGTTATACAAGACAACAAACTTGTAAAGATTCCCTGAGGTTTTCAGTTTTGTAAGCAGAGGGCCGATGAAGCCATTGGAGGTTGGTAAGCATATTTACATACTCAGGCATAGACTCTGATGTCAGAGGGACCACAGCTTAGACATTTCTATTTGTCAATTGCTTAAAACCTGAAATCAGAGATTTTATTAGATTAAACTTGAGGACAGGAAATTACCCCCTTTGAAATTCAACTACAGCATCTGAAAGAATGTTTTGACAGTGTAAAAGATTAAAAATAAGCCACAACTCAAAATTACCTTTAAAGTCTCCAAATCAAACAGTTATATGCCCTAACATGTAGAAATAATTGCTTAACCCCACAGTAGGAGAATGTCCCAGATAAAGACTCTTGCAGATACTTCAAGCAAAGTGCCATTGAAAAGATTATTGGACGTGAAAGATAAGAAACTGAAGTAGAAAAATATTGTTACAATAAAAACCTTAGCTGAATTGAGTTTAACAAAGTTTAATTGACCAAAGAACGATTCCAGAATAGGCTCTGAGACTCCAACTCAGCCACCTGGTGGAAGAGGATTTATGAACAGAAAAAGGAAAGTGATGTACAGATAACAGAAGTGAGGTGCAGAAACAGCTGGATTGGTTACAGCATGGTGTTTGCCTCATTTGAATATGGTTTGAACAATTGGCCACCTTTGATTGGCCGAAACTCAGTGATTGCCACAAGATGCTACAGTCTGTTTACAACTCCATTTAGGCTACAGTTCACTATATATAGGGAAACCTTTAGGCCAAACTTAAAGCTGACAAGGAGTCAGCTTTAAGCTAAATTTGTTTTAACAATATGATGCCTGCTGGGTGCAGTGGTTCATGCCTGTAATTCCAGCACTTTGGGAGACCAAAGCAGGCAGATCACTTGAGCCCAGGAGTTCGAGACCAGCCTGGCTAACATAGCAAGGTTCTATCTCTACAAAAAAAAATACAAAAAATTAGCCAAACATAGTGGTGCAGCCCCTACCCAGCTACTCGGGGAGACTGAGGTAGGAGGATCACTTGAGCCCAGGAGGTGGAGGCTGCAGTGAGCCAAGGTCACACCACTGCACTCCAGCCTGGGCAAGAGTGAGACCCTGAGAAAGAGAGCTAGGGGAGGGGGAGGGAAGGAAAGGATGCCCACACAGGAGAGAAATAAGTGTCTAGCTCCCCCCACTGTTGTACAGCCCAGGTGATGGACATCTTCCATGATCCCCAAACTCTCCATGCCTAAGCCTCTAACTGACCCTCTTGGACATTTCCTCCTTCTTTGTGATACCAGGCCTGCTGATTTAATTGAGATTTACTGTGTTCATGGGATTACCAGAAGACTGGTATGTCTGAAGATTTCTTCCCTGAAACCTGAAGATGCAAATTGTAGTTATTTGAAATACTAGCCTACCAATGTCCTTATATTTAAATAATATATATTTATTAAATCACATTTTTATATGTATATATATATATTTAAAACGAAGATTGAATAATTCTATAAGGATCTAGACTCCCATGAGTGAAGAGTTCCACTGACTGGCAGAAGCACTGGTGCCAAGGCCATTACAGCCCGAACCCTTACAGAACCCTTTAAACTGAAATTTACAGGGAGATGGAAAATCATAGAGGAAGATCAGATGGGTAGAAACCTAATCATCTTTGTACCAGTCCTTGTTGCACTCCTTTCTTTGGAGTTAAAACAGCCAGCAGATAATGCCATCAATTACCCAGCATATCACAGCTATAAAATAGCCTTACCTGTGATACCAAACCCCAATATCCTCCTACCCTAGGTACCAAGTTCTCTTATTTCACAGTTGTACTTCCCTGTACGGATCTTTGCTTTCTCCAGGATTCCTCTAAATTAGAACAGCCAATTTCTCTTTATTTTCTTCCTTGGAAGGTCAACGATATAACTGCAAATTGTGCCTCAGGATTCCACAGAAGACTTTTATTGCTTTTCATAAATCCTTAACCAAGACCTTAATCAGTTGCTTCAATGGGTTCTTATTTTTTCTTGAACTACTACATTTCTATACAACTTCACTAAGCTCATAGTATCAGGGCCCTTCCACTGGAAACCTAACCATGAGTGGGCATTTTGGGATTTAAAATTAGCTCTTTAACAGCTCCCTATAAGAAATCTACCTAATCATTATAATGTATCCAGTTGTTTGTACACAAACATTCTGGACAAGCCTGTGGGGCTTTCACTCAGCCTTATGAGTGTGACAGAGACCAACAGCTTACTACAACTTTTCCCTGATGGAAAAGGCATTTCTGCCTGGTTGCAGAGCAGTGGCAGCATCAGCTAAGCACGTAGAGACCTAGGATCGCCTCAGAGCATAGTTGTCCCTGGTGGTATATATAATCATTGCCACTCATGGGGAAAATTCATCACTTTCAGCAAGCAGAAGCACCTCATGTGAACTCTCATCATGCCTGGACATCTGTTATGCTTCTACTGGTAGAAGGAAAAACTCACAGTTGCTAATGTCTTCTTGGGAACTTTCCAGGCCTTAAATAAATTTCTTACAGACTCTCATAGAAAATCTAGATCAAATATCATTTGTTGATAGATACATCTGAAATTGGATTTTCGGTTCTAAGAAACCCATGAGGGTATCAATTTGTCCTGGTCCTCAGGACTGGCATTTCATAACACGTCACAACTCATCTCTAGAGTGTCACCTCTTACCAGAGGCAAAAGCAATCCAAATGATGGAGCTCAACACACTCATTAAAGCCTGTCACTGTGGCTCAGGATAAAAGGATTGATGTATACACTGACAGCAGGCACACTTATAGGGAGACACACGAGTTGGGGAAGCTCTGGAAATAGATCAGAGGGAAGCCCAATTAAAAATGGTCACCAGATTGATGAACTCCTAAATACCGGGATGCTCCCTAAAGCAGATGCCATTATAAAGGTAGAAGCACACACAAAGGAGTGTATTTAGAGGTGAAACGAGATGCTCTGGGCAGCACGATGCTAGGCGGGCAGTCCTCCCTACAGCTAGGCCTGCTAACACAACACACAAGTGAATTATTTGACAGGATCACAGACTACTGTGTGATATCAAAAATTGGTTCCAGAGTCAGACAAAAAGATATCGGTAATAATGTGGCTCTGTATTGTATGAGGGTAATCTCTCCCACTCTTGCATTAGCCTTCTGGTGGTGCCATAGAACTTCACAAATGGAGCCTTACAAACATTATATGTAAAATTACCCACCAGAGTAAGGTGTACCTAACTCTGGTAGGGAGACTGCTACATTTGTGGAGTGAGTACCTAATGCATATCTCATTTGTCACCAACATGATCCTCTGAAAACTTTAACGGTAGAATATGGATAAGACACCAGCCCTCAAGACCTCCTTGGACACTTCCAGATGAATTTCATACAATCACCATCATCCTACCTAAAGAACTCCAGTCTACATCTTCAATATTAGAGGAACCCACTTCACCGAAACCGTCATCGAGAAGCTTTGAAAACTCCTACCACTTACTCAAAAATTCCACTGTCTACATTATCTTTAATTTTCTTTCTTCTTTTTTTTTTTTTTTTTTTTTTTGAGACAGAGTCTTGCTCTGTCACCCAGGCTGGAGTGCAGTGGCGTGATCTCGGCTCACTGCAACCTCCGCCTCCCGGGTTCAAGAGATTCTCCTGCCTCAGCCTCCCGAGTAGCTGGGACTACAGGCGCCCGACACCATGCCCAGCTAATTTTTTGTATTTTTAGTAGAGATGGGGTTTCACCATGTTAGCCAGAATGGTCTCGATCTCCTGACCTCATGATCCACCCACCTCGGCCTCCCAAAGTGCTGGGATTACAGGCGCGAGCCACCACTCCCAGCTTATCATCTTTAATTTTCAGGAGAATTCTAGAATTCTAGAGGACAAATATTAATTTAAAAGCTATTTATTTAACTCCCCTTTTTGTGGGACTTGGCATTATAGCCAGTATGGGAACCAGAATTGCTGAAATCACAAAAGCCTCCTTAGCCTATACCCAAATCTCAAAGGAAATAACCAACAACATTGATGCCATCGCTAAAACCGTAACAAACATGCAAGAACAAATCGACTCTTTAGCAGCTGTAGTCCTCCGAAATCACTGAGGACTAAATATATTAACAGCAGCACGGGGAAGAATTTGTTTAGCCTTAGATGAAAAATACCCCTTTTGGGTAAATCAACCAAGAAAAGTACAAGATGACATCAGACAAATCCTAAATCAACCCTTCAATTTACGGGAACAAGCCTCTCAGGGTTGGTTAAATTGGAAAGGAACCTGGAAATGGTTCTCCTGGGTTCTTCCCTTTTTAGGCCCACTTGTCAGTCTCCTACTTTTTCTACTTTCTGGTTTTCTAAATATTTCATGTTTTCTAAATCTAATAACCTGGTCTGCTGTTCAGGCCATCAAGCTCCAGATGATCCTCAGTGGATCCTCAGAGGATGGATCCAGATACCATCCTCTCAATATTCAAGAATCACCCTCTACAGAAGACCCCTAGACTGCCCATCAGTGGGACATGACAGAGGTGAAACCCTGCGCTATTTCCCTTGGCCCTGGCTGGATACTGCTTTTACCAACCCATGGAGCCACCCTGCCCTGACAGCTAGCAAGAGGCCAAGACCCTCAGAACGACAACCACTGCCCCTCTGTCAGCAGGAAGCAGTTACAGAAGACTGACCTTCATCCGTTTTCCCAAAGAGTTGGGTCTGGGGCTCTTGAGGGGGGAAATGTTTGAGTGGGTAGTTAGGCAGACATAAGCAGGGCAGGAGAGGGCCCTCCATCAGGAATGTCAGGTGATAGTCAGGTGTCTCTCTAAAGAAATGATTGGTTGCAGCTGGCACCAGGAAATGGCACTCTCCCAATAAACAGAAAACACCTGAAACTGCTGATTAGCCACTTCATGATTAAGATCTTAGGAGTTGAGCAAGTGGGCTCAAGCATGCGCACTAAGAGGCAAAATGGTGTAATTTAACTGATATGTGACCAACCTCTAGGAACCCTCGACTAGTAAGGGAAAAATGCCTCACGCGAGCACGCACACAACTTCGGTAAACACACTGTGCATGCCGCCCCTCCCAAGTGCTGGCAGGCCACTGTGCATGTGGACAGCCCACCCCAAGGGAAGAATCACAGAAGAGACTCAAGATCCTGGAAGCAGGACAATGTATAAAACCCCAAGTCAGGCCGGGCATGGTAGTTCATGCCTGTAATCCCAGCACTTTCGGAGGCGGGTGGATCACCTGAGGTCAGGAGTTCAAGACCATCCTGGCCAACATGGTGAAACCCCGTCTCTACTAAAAATGCAAAAACTAGCTGGGCATGGTGGCGTGGTGACGTGGTGGTGCACGCCTGTAATCCCAGCTACTCCAGAGGCTAAGGCTGGAGAATCACTTGAACCCAGGAGGCTGAGGTTGCAGGGAGCTGAGATAGTGCCACTGCACTCCAGCCTGGGCCACAGAGTGAGACTCCATCTCAAATAAATAAATGAATAAATAAAACCCCAACTCAAAGGTCAACTGTGCACTTGAATCTCTCAAGTTGCCCACTTGGCCCTCTTCCAAGTGTACTTCCTTTCATTCCTGCTCTAAAATTTTTTTAATAAACTTTCCTTCCTGCTCTAAAATGTGCCATGCTCTCTCCCTCTGCCTTATGCCCTTCAGTTGAATTATTTCTTCTGAGGAGATAAGAAGTGAGTTGCTGCAGACTCGTACGGATTCACCACTGCTGAAAACTCTGTTCACAATAGGACTTATGCCTCTATCCTTAATGCTGTGATTTATATTCCCTTCTTAGTGTAGGTATAATGCTCGGCTATAACTCACTTGATTTATCTAAAACATACTGAGGCAGGAAAATAGGGTCTGGAGGCAGGGAGCATAATAAGGCCGATTCACACTTCAGCTATAACAGGAAATATCCTCTCTATACGGCATATGTCGTAAACAGCTCTGTAACTTCATCCTCTCCATTTACATAGGGTGTACCCCAAGTAACCAATGGAATCCTCTAGGGGGTATTTAAACTCCCCAAAATTCTGTAATAGGGCCTTGAGCTCCTATGCCCAGACCTCTCCCACAATGTGAAGTGTATTTTCATTTTCAATAAAACTCTTCATTCCTTCCTTGCTTTGTTTGTGCATTTTGTCCAATTCTTTGTTCAAGATGCCAAGAACCCGGACACCCTCCACCATTAGCAATACCATTGAGCCATCTGTTGGGTTTGGACTCACTTTCATTTGGGCAGTAGCCACTTTTTAATTGGCACCAATTTTCCTCTGGGTGCCACACAATACCCTTTAGTTATTTAAAGGAATCAGTCTGTTTCCTACATAATTGGACACAGCTACTATGTAACATTTCATATGGCAAAGAGCACAACAGACCAGATAGCCGAAAGCCCAAATCCCTTCTCAACTGCGAGAGAGACTTCTACCTTTACAGGATCTAGCCAAACTTTCATAGAAATAAAACTTAGGAACTAAGAAATGAAGGACAAGTAGAAGATGCTTCATTTTTATAAACCCTACAACCCTACAGTTGGGGGTGGGCAGTGCCAAGGCCCTTGCACCCCTAAAGATTTGCTGAAAAAAATCACTAACCTTAGGCAGATTGATTAATAAGAGAAAAGGCATACAAATTTAATTAATGTGTATACGTGGTAGCCTTGAGAACGAAGAACCAACCCACCAGTGAAGTACAGAAACTTCTAGGCCATCTTGAGGTTACAGAAAGAATGTGGGTGCACAGTCAAAAAGCCCAAAACCAGGTCTTAGTGGCAAGACAGGTTAAGAGCAGGAAAAAGGAAGAGGCTTGGTTAGCAAAGGTGGTCTATTATGTAGATGGTGCCTCACAGGTAGTAGCCCTCAGAGAAAATAGATGGAAAATGTCTGTTTTCAGAACTTTAAAGGTGTCAGACTCTCAGCTTACCTCTCCTAGATCTGGAGAGACCTAGAAAGGGAAGGCCTGGCTGCATTAATGAAGATTCTCTACAAATACAAATTCCACACCCCCCACAAAAGAAAAAACAGCTTTGCAGAGCCACCTCACTCTGCTGGCCCTGCAGCTGTCATTTCAAAATATGTCAAAGAAATATACTTGGGGGTAAAATATTTTTATTTCCTTCAGAAGATCTATACTTAAGATTTATGACTTAAACAGAAGTTCACACTGTCTTACCACAGGCATATCAGATGATCTTTCTGGTTTAACCCTTTTCCCATTTACCGCAACAAGACTCATTGGCAGTGCTTGCAGCTGCAGCATTTACCCCGAGATAACTTTGCCACAAAATATCTCACTTTTATTATCAGTTTCACATTGCTCTAGTATATTGACTTTGTAAACAAAAGACATCATTCTATTTATAGCATCCTGATTTAGTGGTGGTATTTCCGTTTACAAAATAGAATAATTCCCAATAGCTGAAAATGTCAAATCCTAGAAGACAGCATTCCTGTGCATAATGTTAACATCATTCTCGAACATTTGTTGGCCAAAGATTTGATGAATCCAAGTTTTACAAAATAGATGATTCCGATGATTCTGATGTTAGTTCTGTTTAGAAATAACTCCAACAACAGCTTTTATATTTTATTTTTCGCATTGAAAATCAGTCAGATTTGCTTCAGCCTCAAAGAACGTGTTTATGTAAAATGAAATGAGCGCTGGTAACAAGCTGCACTTATTTTTTCTAAACGGGAAAAGGGTTAAATTTCATTGCCTCATGCAACACTATACTCAAGATAAAATTGTATGGCATACCAGATGACCACATAGGAGTACGTAGATATTCCACATGACTCGTGTGATTTTCAGCACAAACCTCTTGGCTACTGCCTACAAATTAGACAGGGACTTGCTTTCTTGGTAAACTGACATCTACCTTTAGGATGCCCCATCCTAAAGTATCACTCAAGGCCCATTTTGGCATGTCAATTTACATTCTTAGAAAAAGACATACCCTTTTAAATAACTTAATTCATGAAGAAGGAAAACTGATCCTGAATTTGTGAACTTGACTCTCATCCTAGGCTGCTTTTTTCTTTCCACACACCTCCTCATGTCAAGCTTTAAAGTAGGCTTGCAGCTGCGCACGGTGGCTCACGCCTATAATCCCAGCACTTTGAGAGGCCAAGGCGGGTGGCTCACGAGGTCAGGAGATCGAGACCATCCTGGCTAACACGGTGAAACCCCATCTCTACTAAAAATACAAAAAATTAGCCAGGCGTGGTGGAGGGCACCTGTAGTCCCAGCTACTCGGAAGGCTGAGGCAGGAGAATGGCATGAACCTGGGAGGCGGAGCTTGCAGTGAGCGGAGATCGCGCCACTGCACCCCAACCTGGGTGACAGAGTGAGACTCTGTCTCAGAAAAAAAATAAAAATAAAAAAATAAATAAAGTAGGCTTGGAAAGTGTGAAAAAATCTACACATTATGATTCTAAGAACTACAGGGGACTAGACAATGTCCCTAAGGGTATAGATCTCCTCAGCAGCGAATTTCATGAGAGTGACCGACAGTAGTTTGAAAAAGGGCAGCCCTGGTCACGCAGTGTTCAAGACAGCTCATGTGTCATCTTACGGGAAGAATGCTGTCCTTGATCCCACAAAATTTTCCAGAATCTTTAATATTCCCACAAGGATCTGGAAAACATATGATGAAATCAGATGATCTTTCTTGTTTAACCCTTTCCCACTATGTCCACTACGACAGGCTCCACAGATCAAGGATGGGATATATTCCCTGGTTTATTTGGCTATTCTTGGCTCCTAGCCTAAAAGTGAGCTATACACTCTGATCATGATCCTTCTTCTTTGTTGATGAAAAGAGTAAATAAAACTCTGTAAACAATTTTTTTTTCTTGAGACGGAGTCTCGCTGTGTCCCCCAGGTTGGAGTGCAGTGGTGCGATCTCAGCTCACTGCAAACTCTGCCTCCCGGGTTCACGCCATTCTCCCACCTCAGCCTCCCGAGTAGCTGGGACTACAGGCTCCTGCCACCACGCCCGGCTAATTTTGTTTTTGTATTTTTAGCAGAGACGGGGTTTCACCGTGTTAGCCAGGATGGTCTCGATCTCCTGACCTCGTGATCTGCCCGCCTTGGCCTCCCAAAGTGCTGGAATTACAGCCATGAGCCACCGCACCCAGCCAAACTCTATAAACATTTTTAGAGGTTTGTTCTGAGCCATATATGAGTGATCCTGGACTTAGGCACACTATCAAGAGGTCCTGGGAACATGTGTCCAAGGTGCTGGGGTTACAGCTCAATGTTATACATTTTAGGGACACAGAAGTTCAGACAAAAGTTATACATCTTAGGCAGACATCAACACAGGTAAGACCTACCTTGGTTTGGTCTGAAAAGGCAGGACATCTTGAAATTCGGGGGCTGGAGTGGGGGATCAGGAGGGAGGCTCACAGGTCATTTACAGGTAGAATTAAACATTTCCAATAGGCAATTTTTTGAAAGAGTTGGCCGGGCATGGTGACTCATCCCTGTAATTCCAGCACTTTGGGAGGCCAAGGCAGGTAGATCACCTGAGGTCGGAAGTTTGAGACCAGCCTGGCCAACATGGTGAAACCCCATCTCTACTAAAAAAATAAAAATAAATGGAAAAAGTTAGCCAGGCATGATGGCGGGTGCCTGTAATCCCAGCTACTCTGGAGGCTGAGGCAGGAAAATCTCTTGAATCCAGGAGGCAAAGGTTGCAGTGAGCCAAGATCGCACCACTACACTCCAGCCTGGGCAACAAGAGTGAAAACTCCATAAACTCTGCCTAAATAGTTGAAGTCAGCAGAAAGAAATGTTGGTACTTAAGTGGGGTTGTGGAAGCCAAGGTTCTTGTTATGTAGATGAAGCCTCTAGGTAGCAGGCTTCAGAAAGATTAGATGGCAAATGTTTCTTATCAGACACCAAAAGGGTCCAGACTCTTAGTTAAATCTCTCCTGGATCAGGAAAAGACCTGGAAAGGGAAGGGATTCCTCTATAGAATGTAGATTTTTTTCACAAGAGACATCTTTATAGGGCCAATTCAAAATACATCAAAGAAATATCTTTTGGGGTAAAATACTTCAATTTCTTTCAGAGCGTGCTGTCATGTGCTGCTACATTAGAGTCAGGTTGGAATTTGGTATCATGTGGCTACAAAGAGTTTGTTTCATCAGTCTTAAGATCTTTTTTAACATTAATGCTGGTCAGTTGTGCCTGAATTCCAAAGCAGGGAAGGTATAACCAAGCATGTCCTACCCCCACTTCTCATCCCAGCCTGAACTAGTTTTTCAGGTTTACTTTGGAATCCTCTTGGCTGAGAGTAGGGGTCCATTCAGTCGGGTTTGGGCTTAGAATTTTATTTTTGGTCTACATCTTAGAATTTGCATGCTTTGCAGGGTTCAGATGTGTAATCCTCCAGGTCTAAAATTCTGTTACTCAGCCACTGTCTCACCAAATGATCCAACAAATGACCATTCGACAGACACTACAAAACATTATAAAGTTTGCTGAAACTCAAGTGACCTCCCACACAGCTACAGATACTGTGACCAGCACTGTGGATCTAGAACGAGCACTGCCCTGAGAAGGTAACCATCCTGGAATCTTGGTTTAAGTGTAACTAAAAGATGGGGCTGAGGAGTGGGGTTTCTATAATCCATAGTATGCAAAACACACTGCACAGAATCCGTAACTTGCAAAACACATAAACTATACAGAAACTACATCTTAAAACACAAACCATTAAAGTTCCACCTGCTTTAGCAACATCTGATTCAGACTTTGTTCTAGAAAAATAAAACCATAGTTTCAGCTATTGACTTGCTTCACACCAAACTAGTAAGTTCCCTAGTTTTTCTTTTTCTTTTCTTTCTTTTTTTTTTTTTGAAAAGGAGTCTCGCTCTGCTGCCAGGCTGTAGTGCAATGGCACGATCTCGGCTCACTGCAACCTCCGCCTCCCGGGTTCAACTGATTCTCCTGCCTCAGCCTCCTGAGTAGCTGAGACTACAGGTATGTACTACCAAGCCTGGCTAATTTTTGCATTTTTAGTACAGACGGGGTTACACCATGTTGCCAGGATGATCTCGATTTCTTGACCTCCTGATCTGCCCGCCTTGGCCTCCCAAAGTTCTGGGATTACAGGCGTGAGCCACCGCACCTGGCCTAAGTTCCCTAGTTTCTAAATTCTAACCAATTGCTGCCAAGCCCTACCTACTACCTCCCACCTAAAATCACCCTATGTCAAACCTGCTCCAAAAAAACTCGTGTTTAATCTACTGAATTCCTTTGGTGAGGGCTCCCTCACCTGGCAAGTCTCTGATGAACTCTTGTTTTTCTAATCACAACAGATTTCTCTCCAACCATCTTGTGTGAGGCCTTTGACTGAAGCCACCTGGATGAACTTGGATAAAGATGTGCTTTGCCCCCATGTGGAGGTGATTGTCAGGACCCCATATGGCCATCTGGATGACCTCCTCCTTGCCCAAACAGGAGAGCCTAGCATCTGGTAGGCACACATTTGTTGGAGAAAAATAAGCCACCAGGCTGGGCGCGGCTCACACCTGTAATCCCAGCACTTTGGGAGGCCGAGGCGGGTGGATCACTTGAGGTCAGACATTCGAGCCAGCCTGACCAACATAGTGAAGCCCTGTCTCTACTAAAAATACAAAAATCAGCTGGGCATGGTGGCAGGTGCCTATAATCCCAGTTACTTGGGATGCTGAGGCAGGAGAATCGCTTGAACCAAGGAGACAGAGGTTGCAGTGAGCTGAGATCGCACCCGTGCACTCCAGCCTGGGGGTTAGAGAGTGAGACTTCATCTCAAGAAAAAAAAAAAGAAAGAAAGAAAGAAAAAGAAACCACCAACATGAAATAAATAACATTTTGCTTAGGTAAACATGTATATGTATAGTTGCCTGTTCATCTCAGGAAAATTAATGAGAAGCAAAAGCTTCAAATGCATAAAGATGTTCCCAGTTGATAATAAAACCGTTCTTGCAGAGCAGAGCCACAGGCTATCTTTGTGCTGCAAGTTGAACCAGGTAGATATTTTTTAATTTTCTTCATTTCTTTTCAACTTCTCAAGTCTTCTCCAAGGAAAGACCATGGTACAGTGCAGACTTGGAGTAATTTTAACCATTACAATCGGTACAGAAGATGCTACAAGAAACACACCAGTAGGCTGGATGCAGGAAAGGGTCCAAAGAAACAGGGACACAGGCATTCAGGGCCTGTGCCTGTGAATAATGCAAGCTCATGGCTCTTTGGCAGTAGGGTGAGAGCTCACAGAAGTCTCACCAGGCCCCTGCTTCTGCTGGGATATTGCCTAGAAGAATTTTGTCTGCTCCAATAACACCTCTCTTATATCTACTTGTCTCTTATTCTTGATAAGGAACCAAACAATGCAAAGAATATGGGAAAGAACATTTCAGGCAGAAGAGCCAGCCCATGGGAGCCTTAGTGGGGGAGTGGTATTCATGGAGAAGCCGAAAGACCATGACGCATGAAAAAGAAAGTGGCCTCGGCCGGGCGTGGTGTCTCCTGCCTGTAATCCAAACACTTTGGGAGGCTGAGACAGGTGGATCATGCGGTCAGGAGTTCAGGACCAGCCTGGCCAAGATGGTGAAACCCCATCTCTACTAAAAATACGAAAAAAAAAAAAATTAACCAGGCATGGTGGCAGGCACCTATAATCCCAGCTACTTGGGAGGCCAAGGCAGAGAATTGCTGGAACCTGGGAGGCAGAGGTTGCAGTGAGCCGAGATCGTGCCACTACACTCCAACCTGGGTGACAGACAGAGACGCCGTCTCAAAAAAAAGAAAAGTGGCCTGACATGAGGCTGGCAGGGAGGAGGGAGGCAGTATGCTGCTATCTTAGTATGAACACTTTTCTAAGTTAATTAAGACAACTTCATATTTACACCTCTGCTGCTGAGACATGAATCAAGTAAATGCCTTTTTTAAGACTGCTCAAACCTATTTTCTGTTCTCTTTTCCCTGTCCTCTACTCAAGGAATTCTCATTTACTTGCTTAATCATAAAACTGTGGTTTGTGTTTGCATTTTTTGGGTGGTCTTTCTTCAGTGTCTCCTAACTGCCCCTGGTCATACTTTGCTTCTTCTTGGCCTCTCTGCTTTTTGGGGTTCAGTTTTTTAATGAGAAGGGACCTTATTTTATTTTGAGTCAGAGTCTTGCTCTGTCGCCCAGGCTGGAGTACAGTGATATGATCTTGGTTCACTGCTGCCTTGACCTCTGGGTTCGAGGGATCCTCCATCCTCAGCCTCCCGAGTAGATGGGACGACAGGTGCATGCCACCACACAGGCTAATTTTTTTAATCTTTTGTAGAGACAAGGTTTCACCATGTTGCCTAGGCTGGTCTTGAACTCCTGGGCTCAAGTAATCCTCTCATCTCGGCCTCCCAAATTGCTGGGACTACAGGGATGAGTCACTACCCTCAGCCCAGAAAAAAAATCTCAGGACCCCCAAACTTGCTATGCCTAAAAGGGCTCTTAACTACATCAGTGAGAGGGGTCTTCAAGGAAGGAACAGAGCTTCCTTTCCTTCCTCCAGCATTTAGGGGTGCCCTAAACCTAGAATGGCCAAGAGCACCCAGTAGGTGATCTGGGAATCTGCCTGCTCTCAGGATGCAAACCACTTGTCAATTTAGAGTTTTTACCTAATTAGTCTGCATTCGTGAACTTTTAGAGCCTAGCCATCTGCCAGTAAAGAACTTGAGTTTAGTCAAAACATGGAAACCTTGAGTTAAATCAGCAAGAAAACAGAGTACCTGCAATGAAGTCTGGGGTGGGGGGAGGTGTCAAGGGTCATAACATCCTTATATTCAGATTCCATTGCATAATTGATCAGAAGTTTGTGCTGTGAAATCTGTAGGTCTGGTTTGTTGAACGAGGTAATGGGGGAAGCTGGACTCTTACTGGGCTGAGAAATACAAGGCTTCAAAGGCTAGTAAAGGGATTTCATTTTCTTTAGTCATATGGTTAAACACAGGAACCTTGATGAGGAGATTTACGGGTTGCTTTCTCAGATCAAGAACTTTTTAGAATTATGACTCTCTCCCTAGTGGTTTGCCAGCTGCTGCATTCTTATTGATATAACAAAACATTTGAACATGCTGAAATTAACCTTTAGGAACAAAAAGAGAGGAGAGAGAGAACTACTGATTTCTTCAAGAAAGTAGACGTAAGCACACTGAAACTCTGTGCTGATACAGGAACCATCTGCCTAGCAGCTATGGCCCTGAAATCACTGAAGAAAGATAAAGATGCCGCTCCCTGGTAGGTACTCAGACGATTTCATATGGCAGATGGAGTCTTCCTGCTGGGGGCTTCAGGAAAAGCCACCGCCGTTGCCTAGTTCAGACCAGAAAGTCTTCCTAGTCTACGCCAAAACATTACATCATCTTCTCAACATGGCTCCAGATCCCCTCCCAGACAACCCCCTTTACCAAAGGGTCAGAGCTGAGGTATCTTTGTGATTCTTCACCAAGAACTTTTGTATTGCACCTATTATTCACAACTCACATATAGGTGCGGGTGGTCTCTTCAGCAGCCAACGCCATGTATCAAAAGCACGTAATGGAGAAGTCATGTGACAGGTGGTCAAGGGATCCTCCATCCTCAGCCTCCTGTCGTCTTTTTCTTTTCTATGTCCTTAACAACAGGAGGCTGATATATTCTGAAGACATGAGTTGCCATCTAAAAGAGGAGTAGAGTAAAGCAGGAAGTCTATGAGCTCTGGGATTTCACAGCCTAGGCTGCTCTGAACCTTTCGCCTGCTGTGTGGATTGGGCTAATGTTCTTTTCTGTCTTATAAACAATATGATTTCTTCAAGCACATATTTTGTATGGTATTTTTAGTCTTCTTCATTGGCAGCATTGTTCCAAATTACAGTCCACCATTATCAAAACTGGAAGCTCTATAGCTAATTTCAAAAGATCTTTATTGACAAGACAGCCATTGTGCCAGCACAGAGTATTTTGACTTCTGAAAAAGAAAACCTATCCATAGCTAAGATGACAACAGCCAAAAATTCAGAAGTTTTATACTTTGCCCTAATTTTTATTTTACATCAAAATTAAATATCATTAATATTAGCCCTTTGCAGAATTGGAGATCTGCATCCCATGTGGACTGAGCTCTGGAGCTAAGTTCCCTGGTTCAAATCAAGGTTCTTCCACTTGCAAGCTGTATGACATTGAGTATATTGTTGACCCTCTCAACGCTTCATTTCCTCATGTGTGCAATCAGCATAATAGTTCTACCCTGTAAGGTTGTGATGGGTTTTAAATGGTTTAGCCCAACATCTAGCACATAGTAGGTTCTCAGTGAGTGTTAGCTAGTGGTATTGAAAGGAACATAGAGTGAGCGGCATCATTTTGTGGAAAATTATTCTTCAACTCCAAGACCTTTCTGAGAAATTGTTCAGGGATCAGTCTAGTGCATAAATCAGAAAGACCTCAGGAGTAATGAAGAAAGAGAAGACTTCCAACCTGAATACATCGTATTGAAGCATACACATATCAAATAGCATTTTTAAAAGGTAAAAACCCACAAAGATAGAGACAATGAGAGAAAATAACATCAGATGAGAGATACAACAAAATGTTAAAAATTGGCGGGGAGGCTGAGGCAGGCGGACCATGAGGTCAGGAGATCGAGACCATCTTGGCTAACACGGTGAAACCCCGTCTCTACTAAAAAATACAAAAAAATTAGCCGGGCGTGGTGGCAGGCACCTGTAGTCCCAGCTACTCGGGAGGCTGAAGCAGGAGAATGGCGTGAACCCAGGAGGCGGAGCTTGCAGCGAGCCGAGATCATGCCACTGCACTCCAGCCTGGGCAACAGAGCGAGACTCTGTCTCAAAAAATAAATAAATAAACAAACAAATAAATAAATAAATATAAAAATAAAAAAATAGAAAGAGGCTGGGCACGGTGGCTCACACCTGTAATCTCAGCACTTTGGGAGGCCGAGGTGGGTGGATCACGAGGTCAGGAGTTTAAGACCAGCCTGGCCGGCCGGGTGCAGTGGCTCACACCTGTAATCCCAGCACTCTGGGGGGCCGAGGCGGGTGGATCACGAGGTCAGGAGATCGAGACAATCCTGGCTAACACGGTGAAACCCCATCTCTAATAAAAATACAAAAAAAAAAAAAATTACCCGGGCGTGGTGGCGGGCGACTGTAGTCCCAGCTACTCGGGAGGCTGAGGCAGGACACTGGCATGAACCCGGGAGGCGGAGCTTGCGGTGAGCCAACATCGCACCACTGCACTCCAGCCTGGGTAACAGAGCGAGACTCCGTCTGAAAAAAAAAAAAAAAAAAAAAAAAGGTAAAATAGAAAAAGCACATGGACAGGTGCAAGTGATACAGCAACGTAAAGAAAGCTAAAACCAACTACCTAAAAAAGCAAAGCCAGAAAGCAGCAAGTAAAACTATGCCCCATAAAGTATTAGAAATTATAGGCATCAACCAATGTTGAAGATAAAGAGGGGTATGCTGGAAACAGCAAAACCGGTAGAAGGTATGAAGTAAAGGGCAGTTCATTCCCCAAAGTCACCTACTCTGACCAGGCAGAATACAAAAGATTTACTCTTTGAGAAAAAACAAAATCAGGCCTATGGGATCTGGGCCTCAGAACACCAGGCACAGAAAAAAGGAGGGACAAGGTAAGGGGCTAAATGCAAAAACACCAAAAAAAATTGAGTCCCACAGTCTACTTTCCCTACTCAGAACTCAAAATCCTGGCAGCAGCCTTCTGGCCCAAAGACAGAAGACTGTAAAGTCCTCTCAGAGAAACTGACAGGCACAGAGAGTAACAGATACTGGTGTTTGGGGTCCCTCAAAGAAATCATTTGGTTCCCAATCAGTAATCCCACAAGAATTCCATTATTTAACCAACCACACACCCAGCTTCCAACAAGCTCTTTAGTGCCTCACTCTTCAATATGAGCGGACAGACATATACTGAGAGACATTTTGATCAGTCAACATTTACTCAGTGGTGCTTTAGTAACAAAGACAATGAATGAGAACAGTTTACAAAACCAAAGGCATAAACTTCTGGCTCCGGCTCCAGCATCTGAGGATCATGGAAGTCATCACCCCCATCACCGTGGCAAGAAGAGAACAGAACAAACTGAAAATCATCAAGTCTTCTTAGACGCGTCAGATAATTGAGACTTCAGGGCAATCACCACCTTAAAAAAAGGAGAATCAAGCAGGTATATACAGATAATCATAGCTCACCGGGAGCAGAAGCCTGCCCTGGAGTCAGGACTGGAGTTAGAACACCTAAACTGTAATTGATGAATTCCTGGAGGCTCAGGGTGGACAAGCTTAAGAGTTGAAAACTCCAGGGAGTATGGAGGACAGACACATGGGGGAAACCCATACTTCCATGAATTTTACTTCCAGGAACCCTACCAGGGTAGGCAGAAACAAGGACACCATAGAAAATTTTAGCAAACAGTAAACAGTAACAGCAAACAGCAAACAGTAAACACTGCCTAACTCCTAGCCAGATAAGCATAAAACCTCTCACTAAAGACCTATTTAACTCAGTTCCTCTTACCCAGTAAATGATGTTTGGCTTGGAACAAAATATTGCAAGGCAGACAAAAAGACAACATACAGTATGAAAAGACAGAGCATCAGAGCCAGACTCTGATATGGCAGAGATTTTTGAATTATCAGATCAGGAATTTACAACAATCCTAGTAAGATGATGAGAGTGCTAAAGGCAAAAATGGAAAACGTGTGTAAACCAAAAATAAAATTCTAAGCCCCCCACCCCAGCCATCTGAATAGACTCCCTCCTCTGGGCCAGAGCACTCCAAAGTTAGCCTGAAAAACTGCTTCAGGCCATGACAGGAAGGGGTGGTCAGACAGGCCTCATTATTTCCTCCTTCCTTTTAGAATTCAGGAAAAACTGACCAGCCTTGAGCATCAACACAGCCTTTAGGTCTGATAAGAAACATTTACAATCTATTGTCTTTGGAGCATGCTACCTGGAGGCTTCAGCTTCATGATAAACTGTGGTCTCCACAACCTCTCATCACAGCCCAGACATTCCTTGCTATTGACAACTCTTTCAACCAATTGCCAATCAGAAAATTTTTAAATCTATCTATAAGCTGGAGGCCCACGCTTCAAGTTGCCCTGCCTTTCTGGACCAAACCAATGTATATCTTAAATGTATTTGATTAATGTCTCATGTCTCCCTAAAATGTATAAAATCAAGCTGTGCCCTGTCCACCTTGGGCACATGTTCTCCGGAGGGTTGTGTCACGAACCACCAGTCACTCATATTTGGCTCAGAATAAATCTCTTCAAATATTTTACAGAGTTTGACTCTTTTTTCATCAACACATGCAAGAAAAGTAGGTAGGTAAAGTAAGTAGACAGATAGAAATTCTAAAAAAGAATAGAAAATGTTATAAATAAACACTATAACAAGTGAAGAATGACTTTGATTAGTTCATCAATAGACTGGACATAGCAAGGAAAGAATCCGTGAGCTTGAAGAAATGTCAATAGAAACTTTTAAAACTGAATTGCAAAGAAAAAAGAATGAAGATGATAGAATATCAAGGAACTGTGGGACAATTATAACAGGTATACACATAATGCAAATACAAGGAAGCTTGGAGAATGCCAAGCAGGATAAATATCAAAACATTCTACACTTAGCATATCCTATCAAACTGCAGAAAACTAAAGATAGAGTAAATATTGAATGAAACCAGAAGAGAAAAATCACCTTACCTGTAGAGAAATAAGGATAATAACTACAATTGTACATCTCTTCAGAAACCATGAAAGCAAGAAGAGAGTGGAGTAAAATATTTAAAGCATTGGAAAAAAAAAAAACACCAACCTAGAGCTCTGTATCCAGCAAAATTAACAGTTAAAAGTAAAGGATAAATAAAGACTTTCTCAGACAACTAAAAACTAAGGAATTTATTGCCAGTAGACCTGTCTTGCAAAGATATAAAAATAAATTCTTCAAAGAGAAGGAAAATTATATGGGTCAGAACCTCAGATCTACATAAAGAAGACCATAAGAGAAGGAATGAATAAGGGTAAAATAAAATATTTCATTTTTCTGACTCTTTTTTGTTAGCAGAGAAACTATTTTAAAATGTTTATTTCAAGGCATTCAAGTTAACATAGAATCGTTTTCTGCTACATTTTAAATTCTACCTCAATTTTATTGCAAGGTTTTCTTTGCATTTTTGTAGAGCCGGCTTCAACAGCAACAAAAGTTTTTTCAGAAATCTGGAATTGTTCAGAGCCAAAAGATGAAAGCGTTTAAACAGCTATAGAAGAAATTTTTACAGGTTGGTTGTACTTGGTAACACAATATATTCTCATGAAACACAATACATATATTGAAGAAAAAAATACTGTTTTTCTTTCCAAAATTGCGTTCAAAATATTTTGATTATAACTTCATGATTCTTAAGCACTTTCCATGTTTATATCATTGGTCCAGTTTTAACATAAGTACTAAATATTTTTAGTTTTAGGATACATTAATGTGTGTGGTGTTATTCAAACAGGAAACAGTAAATTGGCAGTTTTTCCTGGAAATATACATATTTTGCAGAAAATGCACGCTTTATTACCAGTTTAACTGTGGCTCTTTTTTAGTGGAGTAGCGATAGACAAAAGCAGGGAGAGTCGACACCATTTCTAGATGTCATAATAGTCTTTCTAGTGCCAGTGTTTCTCTAAGAGAAGGTGCCCTATTGTAGCAAATGAGTGTTTTTATTTCAAGTTTATTTCCTAAGTATTTATGGCATATTTGCTTTCTGTATTATTGAAGTGACTACAAATTGCTTCACATGCCAAATTATGATCTTAAGACAGGGCCCAGATGTGCAACAACATGAAAAAGCCAGCAGAGGATGAAGTGTTTTTGACTGAGAATTATCTCCTGTCACATTTGCACCTTTGCAAGTTGTCCTCAGTGACATGACCAACTTTGGCAAAGTTTCAGGATACAAAATCAATGCACTAAAATCACGAGCTTTCCTATACACCAGCAACAGCCAAGCCAAGAGCCAAATCGGGAACACAATCCCACTCACGATTGCCACAAAAAGAATAAAATACCTGCTGGGCACAGTGGCTCACGCCTGTAATCCCAGCACTTTGGGAGGCTGAGGCGGGTGGATCACAAAGTCAGGAGATCCAGACCATCCTGGCTAACACGGTGAAACCCCGTCTCTACTAAAAATACAACAAAAATTAGCCGGGCATGGTGGCACACGCCTGTAGTCCCAGCTACTCGGGAGACTGAGGCAGGAGAATCACTTGAACCTGGGAGGCGGAGGTTGCAGTGAGCCAAGATCGCGCCATTGCACTCCAGCCTGGGCGACACAGTGAGACTCCATCTCAAAAAAAAAAAAAAAAAAAAAGAAAAGATAAGAAAAGAAAGAATAAAATATCTAGAAACACAGCCAATAAGGGAGATGAAAGATCTCTACAGTGAGAATTGCAAAACACTGCTCAAAGAAATCAGAGATGACACACATAGAAAAACATTTTATGCTCATGGATAGGAAGAATCAATACCATTAAAATGGTCATACTGCCCAAAGCAATTTACAGATTCAATGCTATTCTAATCAAACTACCAACATCATTTTTCACAGCTTTAGAAAATTAATTCTAAAATTCACATGGAACCAAAGAAGAACCTGAATAGCAAAGGCAATCCTAAGCAAAAAGAACAGAGCTGGAGGCATCGTGTTACCCAACTTCAAACTATACTGCAAAGCTGAAGTAACCAAAACAGCATGGTACTGGTACAAAAACAGACACATAGACCAATGGAACAGAATAGAAAGCCCAAAAATAAGGCCACATGCACAAATACAACCATCTGATTTTCAACAAAGCTGACAAAAACAAACGATGGGGAAAGAACTCCCTAGTCAATAAACAGTGCTGGTATAACTGACTAGCAATATGCAGAAGGTTGAAACGGGACCCCTTCCTTACACCATATACAAAAATAAACTCAAGATAGATTAAAGACTAAAATTTAAAACCTGAAGCTATAAAAACCCTGGAAGGCAACCTAGGCAATATCATTCTGGACATACGGATTGGGCAAAGATTTCATAACAAAGACACCAAGAGGAATCACAACAAAAGCAAAAATTGACCAATGGGCTCCAATTAAACTTTCTAGCTTCTGCATAGCAAAAGAAACTATCAACAGAGTAAACAGACAACCTACATAAAGGGAGAAAATATTCACAAACTATGTATTTGACAAAGGTCTAATATCCAGCATCTATAAAGAACTTAAACACAAGAAAAAAATAAACAATCCCATTAAAAAGTGGGCAAAAAGCATGAACAGACACTTTCAAAAGAAGACATACATGTGGCTAACAAGCATGTGAAAAACTGCTCAATACCATTAATCATTAGAGAAATTCAAGTCAAAACCACAATGAGATACCATCTCACACTGATCAGAATGGCTGTTACTAAAAAGTTGAAAAATAACAGATGCTGGCAAGGTCATGGAGAAAAAGAAATGCTTATACACTGTTGGTGGGAATGTAAATTAGTTCAGCCATTGTGGAAAACAGTGTGGTGTTTCTTCAAAGACCTAAAAACAGAACTACCATCTGACCCAGCAATCTCATTATTAGGTATATAACAAGTGGAATATAAAGCATTCTGCCATAAAGACACATGCATGTGAATATTCACTGCAGCACTGTTCACAATAGCAAAGTCATGGAATCAACCTAAATGCTCATCAATCACAGACTGGATAAAGAAAATGTGGTACATACACACCATAGAATACTATGCAGCCATAAAAAAATGAGACCATATATTTTGTGGGAACATGAATGGAGCTGGAGGTCATTATCCTTAGCAAACTATCACAGAAACAGAAAACCAAATACTGCATATTCTTGCTTATCAGTGGAAGCTAAATGATGGGAACTCAGGCACACAAAGAGGGGAACAACAGACACTAGGACCCACTTGAGGGTGGAGGGTGGGAGAAGGGAGAGGATCAGAAAAAATAACTATTGGGTACTGGGCTTAATACCTGGGTGACAAAATAATCTGTACAACCCACCCCCATGACACAGTTTACCTGTATAACAAACCTGCACATGTGCCCCTGAACCTAAAAGAAAAAAAATTATGACAGAATAGCAACAAATGGTAATTCACAAATGGTTGTGAATAAACACATTTTTACATGTAATCTTTAAAAAATAATAGAAGAGTAATGTAAAGCATTCCATCAAATCCTAAATAAATATATACCTGTATTTTTCTGACTATTATCTGCTAGATAACAGTTGGTTCAAAATAATAATAACAAATTTGGTGAGTATAGCTTATCCATAAGTGAAATGAATGATAGCAATGTTACAAGGATAGGAGGAAGGAATTGGGAGTACTCTGTTACAGTGTACTTGCACTACCTGTGAAATGATACCATGTTCTTTGAAAGTGGACTTGGATTATTTGTATGTTGCAAACCCTAGGGCAATAAGTTTAAATGATTTAAAGAATTAATATGCTGAGAGAAGGGAGAAAATGGCATCATAGGAATTAATAAAATGCTCAACTAAAACCAAAGAAGTGAAAAAAGAGAAGACAAACGAAAGGCAAGGGCAAAGGACAGAAAACAATAAATATGGTAGATTTTAATCTAACTACATCATTAATCACATTACATGTCAACAGTCTAAATACACCAATTAAAAGACACTGACTATCAGAGTAGATCTGAAAAAACAATCCAACTATATCTTGTTTTTAAAAATCCACTTTATTTTATTTTTACAGCATTGCTTCAATCACATTTATTCCCATCTTACGGCAATTCACATGAGTATAACATTGAAATTTACATGCTAAGCTGTCAGTTTTTCCATAGGTTGAAGAAATCCACTTTAAATACGAAGATACAGGTAGATTAAAAGTAAGTCTTTTAATTACGCTAACACTAATCAAAAGAAAGCTGGATTAACTACATTGAGTTCAGACATTAAATTTGCTGTTGAGTCTGAAAACAAAGATTTGTTTCACATATATCTACATACACATATACACAAAAAACATATAACAAAATAAGGAAGAAATAGTCATCAAAATTACATTATCCATTTCTGCAACCAGTCACAGCTGGTGTAGGTTGAGCATCCCAAATCCAAAACTTCAAAATCCGAAATGCTCCAAAACCTGAAACTTCAGAGCAAGGAAAGGTATCCGGGATGATATGGTGTGGATCTGTCTCTGCCCAAATCTAATGTTGAACTGTATTCTCGGTGTTGGGAGGTGGGGCCAGGTGGGAGGTGATTGGATGATGGGGGCAGTTACTCATTAATAGGTTTAGCACCATCTCCCTTGGTACTGTCCTCACAATAGTAAGTTCTCCTGAGATCTGCTCATTTAAAAGCATGTAGCACCTTCCCCCCTCTCTCTTGCTTTTCTTCCCCTTTGCCTTCCGCTGTGATTATAACTTTTCCGAAGCCTCTCCAGAAGCCCGGCAGAAGTCGCCATGCTTCCTGTACGGTCTGCAGAACTGTGAGCCAACTAAACCTCTTTTCTGTATAAATTACCCAGTCTCAGGTATTTCTGTATGGCAGTGCTAAAACAGACTAACACAAGGGATAAAGAGGGGCATTACAAGAAGTCAATTCTCCAGGAAGACATAACAATCCCTAAGGTGTGTGCACCCAACAGCAAAGCATCAAAACACACGAGACAAAAACAACAAGGAGAAATCATTAAGTACACTATTATAGTTGGAGACTTCAACACCCCTCTACCAGTAATGAACGGATCCAGCAGGCAAAATATCAGGAAGGACACAGCTGAACTGAACAGCACAATCAATCAATCAACTGTATCTATTTGACATTTATAGAACACTTCATCCAGCAACAGCGATGTACACATTCTTTTCAAGCTCACATCATGGAGCATTCATCAAGACAGATCACATTCTGGGCCCTAAAACACACCTTAGCAAACTTTAAAGGATAGAAATCGTACAATGTCTGCTGTCAAACAATAATGGAGTTAAACTAGAAATCCGTCACAAAAAGATAGCAAGAAAACCCCAAAATACTTGGAGATTAAACAATACACTTCTAAAGAACACTTCTGGGTCAAAGAAGAAGTCTCAAGAAATGTTAAAATATTTTCAACTAACTGGAAATGAAAATATAACTTATGAAAAGTTGTGGGCTGCTTTGAAGCAGTGCTTAGAGGAAAATGTATAGCACTGAATGTATGTATGAGAAAATAAGAAATATCTAAAAATCAATAATCTAAGCTTTCACACTAGGAAATTTTTAAGTGTAAATTATGTTCAAAGTAAGCAAAAGAAAACAAATAATAAAAATTAGAACAAGAATCAATGGAATGAAAAACTGTAAGGCAATAGAAAAAAATCAACAATATAAGCTGGGCTCCTTGAAAAAAATCATTCGAATGGATAATCATCTAGCCAGGAAAGAAAAGAGAGAGAAGAGGCAGCATGGTGGCTCATACCTGTAATCCCAGTACTTTAGGAGGCCAAGACAAAAGAATCCCTTGAGGCCAGGAGTTCAAGACCATCCTGGGCAATATAGCAAGACCCCCATCTCTATGAATAGTAAAAAATATAGAAATTAGCCAGGCGTGGTGGCATGTGCCTGTAGTCCTAGTTACGTGGGAGTCTGAGGCAGGCAGATCTCTTGATTTCAGGAGTTTGAGGCTGCAGTGAGCTATGATCATGCTATTGCACTGCAGTCTGGGTGACAGAATGAAATCCAGTCTCCAAAAAAAAAAAAAGAGAAGACTTCAATTTCTAATATCAGAAATGAAAGAAGGGGCATCATTACTAATCCTATGGACATAACAATAATAATAAAGGAATGTAATGAACAACTCTATGCCCCCAAATCTGATAACCTAGATGAAGCAGACCAATTCCTTGAAAGACATAATCTAGCAAAATTCACACTAAAAGCTTAATGTTACTAAGCTATACTCATAATTTAATATTATTAAACTATTGGTTTATAATAGTTAATAATCTGAATAGGCCTATATCTACTAAGAAAACTGAATCAATAATTAATAACCTTCCAAAGCAGAAAGCTCCAAGCCCACTGGTGAATACTTTCAAACATTTAAGAAATTATACCAATTCTCAACAATCCGTTTCAGAAAATAGAAACAGAGGGAATATTTCCTAACTCATTCTATGAGGCCAGCATTACCTAATACCATAACCAGCCAAAGACATTATAAGAAAGGAAATCTAGAGACAAATTTGATAGATTATGAAAAGAGATGCAAAAGTCCCCAACAAAATATTAGCAGTACAACCAATGGGCATTATGAACCGACGAGCCGTAGGCAGGAAACAGCTGACCACCAAACACTTATGGGAGGGAGGAGAAGATGGCATCCTACGAATAAAAGACCAGAGAAAGTAACAAGGTGCAGAAAACAGCTGAGAAGGGAAAAACTCTTCTGTGTACAAGCAAAAAATCCTTAGAAACATCTCCCACCCATTCAAGAAAGCATAAGAGAGAAAAGAGCAAAAATAATTGTCTGTTAGCACATACTGAGTAGGAAACAGAATTGGGAACAAAAGACCATGGAGGGCTTCCCCAGTGGAATTAGTACCACCCTGTGCATGATGCATCCCAGAGACCTAGAACCTGTCTGCTGCATCTCCAGAGGCAGCTGTGGAGAATGGTCAATCAAACTACCCCAACAGAGTACCCCAACGGCAATGACAATAAATTAAATGAGTTGTAAAAAGAAAACAAAATGGTAAAGATAATTATACACCACAACCAAATGGGATTTGTTCCACTGAGAATGTGAAAATGTCCCAGAAAGAACTAATGAAAAATGACCCATGCAAAAAGCACATAATCAGAATTTCAGATTCTTTGGCCAAATACATTCTGAAAATAGTCTCAAGGGGAAAAGTGATCAGGAATAAGGATTTACCCAACTTCTAAGCAGAAACACAAGAACTTAGAAAACAATGCTGCAATTCAAAATTCTGCGGAAAATTTCTTACCAATTTACAATTTTATAGCTCTCTAAACTATCAATCCTAGTAAAGGAAGAGGGTCTTTTCACACATGCAAGGTTTCAAATGTTTTACCTGTTATGCACAAGTGATCATGGATCCACGGGAGAGGGTTTGCTTCACAGCACTGAGAAAGGACGCCGAGAGTGGGAGTCAGTAAACGGAATTCCACACAAAAGAAATCTGATAGAAATTCCCAGAATAATAATGAAGATATCTAGTAACCAAACGTATAAAGTAATTTTAAATATGCAGTCTCTTTATAAGAAAATTTAAAAGCTTTACTGAAAAACATTAAAGAAGAGCTAAATATATGAGGTGATAGATCTTGTCGTTAGACAGGCTCAAGGTCAAAAAATAATTCTTCCAAAATTAATTCATAGATTTAGTCTAAGTCCAGCTCAGACTTCAGTGGTGATAAAGTTTATAAGCTGGTTATAAAATTTATTTTGAAATACAAATTGGCAAACATGTCAAAGACATTCCAGAAGAGAGCAATATGAGCCAGGTAGGAGTACGCAGAGCCTGCTGGCATGGAGGTTTACTTTAAAGCTGTGCTGATTTAAGGCTCTGGGGGTAGAAAGCGGGAAAGCAGCAAGCAGACGATCCTAGGGTTCCCACAGAACCAGTCAGAGTTCACATTTCCCCTAGCTGGAGTGGAATAAACCTAATCCAGAAAGGGTATCACCTCACCAGGGGGCAAAATAACCCATAAAGTAAGGTCATTTCAGTCTCAAAGGATCAAACCGTTTCCAGGTAATTTTTTTACATTCACAACAACTAGTGTTTATTGAGAATGGGTAACTTGCATTACAAATATTACCTAATTTAATGCTCTTTACAACCCTATAACTTAGGTATGTTATTGTCTCTATTTTGGCAAATGAGGAAATGGAGGCACAGAGAAGTTAATAACTTGCTCTAGGTCACACACAATTCAGACATAGTAGTGCCAGAATGCATAAGGAACCTTCCTTTTAAGATTAATGTAAGGCTCAGAGATAGCCCTCAAAAAGTTTCTGGCCACGTGGGAACTTTTATTACTGCAGTGAAAGCAGCCCTTGTGCTAATTGGCACAAGATTACTAATTGGCATTGGTCACTTTCTGTGATCAGAGCCAGCAGCCCTGCTCACTGTTAGAGAGTTAAGTCAAACCGCTGACTCATGGTTATTTTACTCTTCCATGGTTCAGAGGAAACAGAGGCCAGTCTGCTTTCTTCTATTAGCATTTCCTATATAAAGTCTTCTATTAGCATTTCCTATATAAAATAAACCTCATAAATCTCTACAAGGGGTTACATTCTCCATTACTCAGCTCCTGCATTTCTTTTTTTTTTTTTTTCCCTATAGGTTACTGGGGAACAGGTGGTGTCTGTAACAAGAGCAAGTTCTTTAGCGGTGATTTGTGAGATTTTGGTGCACTGATCACCCAAGCAGTACACACTGTACTCAATTTGTATTCTTTTATCCCTCTCCCCTTCCTACCTTTTCCCCCTGGGTCTCCAAAGTCCATTGTGTCATTCTTATGCCTTTGCATCCTCATAGCTTAGCTCCCACTTATGAGTGAGAACATACAATGTTTGGTTTTCCATTCCTGAGTTACTTCACTTAGAATAATAGTCTCCAATCTCATCCAGATTTCCCAGTAATTTGACTGCATCACAGAACAAGTCTCAGAAACATTTAAAAGAATATAGAGCAGTAAATCTAGCACCCAACAACATGAAAATGACAATGTTTGTAATGGGATCAAAAATTAAGGACCTCCCCCGCCTGGCCAGCCACCCCATCCGGGAGGGAGGTGGGGGGTCAGCCCCCGCCCGGCCGGCTGCCCCGTCCGGGAGGGAGGTGGGGGGTGCCTCCGCCCAGCCGCCGCCCCGTCCGGGAGGTGCGGGGTGCCTCTGCCCGGCCGCCCCTTCTGGGAAGTGAGGAGCCCCTCTGCCCGGCTGCCACCCCGTCTGGGAGGTGTACCCAACAGCTCATTGAGAACGGGCCATGATGATGATGGCGGTTTTGTCCAATAGAAAAGGGGGAAATGTGGGGAAAAGAAAGAGAGATCAGATTGTACTGTGTCTGTGTAGAAAGAAGTAGACATGGGAGACTCCATTTTGTTCTGTACTAAGAAAAATTCTTCTGCCTTGGGATGCTGTTGATCTATGACCTTACCCCCAACCCTGTGCTCTCTGAAACATGTGCTGTGTCCACTAAGGGTTAAATGGATTAAGGGCGGTGCAAGATGTGCTTTGTTAAACAGATGCTTGAAGGCAGCATGCTCGTTAAGAGTCATCACCACTCCCTAATCTCAAGTACCCAGGGACACAAACACTGCGGAAGGCCGCAGGGTCCTCTGCCTAGGAAAACCAGAGACCTTTGTTCACTTGTTTATCTGCTGACCTTCCCTCCACTATTGTCCTATGACCCTGCCAAATCCCCCTCTCCGAGAAACACCCAAGAATGATCAACAAAAAAAAAAAGAAAGAAAGAAAAGAAGCAGAGTTGGACTCAGCGGGAAAATAGGCGTGCTACCACCTCAGGATAGTTCCAGGGAAGAACCCCACCCCAACTCCAATGAGGTCACAGTGGCTGGAGCTCTGAGGGGCCCAGGCTCCCTGAGCCAGGAGGAGAGGAGAAAGTCCAAGGAAAGATGGCTGGCAGTCACCCCTACTTCAACCTGCCTGACTCCACACACCCATCGCCGCCCTCCACTCCACCCAGCCTCCACTGGCACCAGCGCTGCCAGCCCTCTGATGCCACCAATGGCCTGCTGGTGGCCCTGCTGGGTGGGGGCCTGCCTGCTGGCTTCGTGGGCCCCCTTTCTCGTATGGCTTACCAGGCTTCCAACCTGCCCTCGCTGGAGCTGGTCATCTGTCGATGCCTCTTCCACCTCCCTATTGCCCTGCTACTTAAACTGCGTGGCGACCCCCTTCTGGGACCTCCTGACATCCGAGGCCGCACCTGCTTCTGTGCCCTGCTCAACGTCCTCAACATTGGATGTGCCTATAGTGCGGTTCAGGTGGTGCCCACTGGCAATGCTGCCACTGTTCGCAAACATTCTTCCACCGTCTGCTCCGCCATCCTCACCCTCTGCCTTGAGAGCCAGGTTCTCAGTGGCTACGACTGGTGTGGACTGTTGGGCAGCATCCTAGGACTAATAATCATTGTGGGACCTGGACTCTGGACACTACAGGAGGGGACCACGGGTGTCTACACCGGCCTGGGCTATGTGCAGGCTTTCCTGGGAGGACTGGCGCTGTCCCTGGGGCTTCTCGTCTATCGTTCTCTGCACTTTCCCTCCTGCCTCCCAACAGTGGCCTTCCTATCTGGCTTGGTGGGGCTGCTGGGCTCTGTGCCAGGCCTCTTTGTGCTGCAGTCCCCCGTGTTGCCCAGTGACCTCCTGAGTTGGAGTTGTGTGGGGGCAGTGGGGATCCTCACCTTGGTCTCCTTCACATGTGTGGGCTATGCGGTCACCAAGGCCCACCCTGCCCTGGTGTGTGCTGTCCTGCATTCCGAGGTGGTGATGGCCCTTATACTGCAGTATTTTATGCTCCATGAGACTGTGGCACCTTCTGACATCATGGGGGCAGGGGTTGTGCTGGGCAGCATTGCCATCATTACAGCCCGGAACCTCATCTGTGAGAGGACAGGGAAGGTGGAGGAGTGAGATAGAACTTGGGAGCCTGGGGGTTGGGAGGGACAGGGATAAATAAAGGCAAAGACTGAAGACAAAAAAAAAAAAAAAAATTAAGGACCTAACCATTCAGAGGAAAAAAATGACCCGTCATGAAAATAAAAATCAATCAACAGAAGCAGACATAGAAATGATGTATTAGTGACTAGAAAAGGAGATTAAAACAGTTAGTATAAATATGCACCACATGTTCAAAATAGTAAAGCATCCACAAAATTAGAAATATAAGAGATATAAAAATGACTCAACTCAAATTTCTAGAGATGAAAAAGACAATGTCTAACATTAAAATACACTGGATAGCAAATAACAACTTGGATGAATCTCCAGGGAATTATGCTTGTGGGGAGAAACAGTCCCAAAACATTACAGTATAATTCTATTGACAAAACATTTTGAAATGGCAAAATTTCAGGAATGGAGAACAGATCAGTGGTTGTCAGGACTTAGAGATGAAAGAGGTGGTAGAGGGGCAAGAGAGAGGTGGCTGCAATTATAAGAGGACAGTACAAAGGGGACTTGTAGTGTTAGAACTGTTCAGTATTACAACTATGGTGGTGAATACATGAACCTGCACAGGTGATCAAATTGTATGCAACGTAATAGACACAGATAGAGACACCTACACACAGGGTGCAAGTAACACCAGGAATCTCTGGATAACATTGGTACATTGTATCAATGTCAGTATCCTGGTTGTGATATTACAGTCAACCCCCTGTAGCCTGAGGTTCTGCATCTACTGATTCAAACAACTACAGATGGAAAATATGTGAAGAATAAAGCAATAAAAAATAATATAATCAAAAACCAATACAGCATAACAGCTGCCATACATAGCCTTGACATTACATTAGGTATTAAAAGTAATCTAGAGATGATTTAAAGTATACAGGAGGATGTGGGTAGGTTATATGCAAATACTATGCCATTTTATATCAGGGACTTGAGCATCCATGGATTTTGGTATCTGCGAGGGTCCTGGAACTAATCCTGCTTGGATACTGAGGGATGTCCCTATAGTACAACTTAGCAAAATGTTACCATTGATGAAAACTGGGCAAAGCATACAAATGATCTGTATTATCTCTAACAATAACATATAAATCTAGGGCCGGGCGTGGTGGCTCACACCTGTAATCCCAGCACTTTGGGAGGCCGAGGCGGGCAGATCATGAGATCAGGAGATTGAGACCCCCATCCTTGCTGACATGGTGAAACCCTGTCTCTACTAAAAATACAAAAAATTAGGCAGGTGTGGTGGTGGGCGCCTGTAGTCCCAGCTACTCCGGAGGCTGAGGCAGGAGAATGGTGTGAACCCGGGAGGCGGAGCTTGCAGTGAGCAGAGTTTGCGCCACTGCACTCCAGCCTGGGCGCCAGAGTGAGACCGTGTCTTAAAAAAAAAAAAAAAAAAGA
This sequence comes from Homo sapiens, assembly GCF_000001405.40. Taxonomy (NCBI): domain Eukaryota; kingdom Metazoa; phylum Chordata; class Mammalia; order Primates; family Hominidae; genus Homo; species Homo sapiens. The sequence goes on from NC_000018.10 coordinate 11,612,056, forward strand.
ACAAAGTACCAGTTAACTGTAGGTCTACATCAAGCCATCTAGTAAACATACCATTTAATTCACAAAAAAAAAGTGGAGCTCTCTGACGGGACATAAAAAATACGTTAGCAAGTAATGGCCAAAAATTTTCTAAATTTCATGAAAACTATTAACCCAGAGATCTAAGAAGCTCAATGATGTCTCACACCCCTATGGGTCTTTTCAATGAAAACACAATGCCATATTGGCATGAAGGTAAATCTATAGATCAATGAAATGTAAAAAAGACTCTGGAAATAGAAAATTGGAGGCAAAGTAATGTGGAAAAGAATAATCTTTCCAACCAATGCTGGATTGATAGAAAAGCTGTATGCAAAAATAAATGAATAACTCTCAACCCTTACACTTCACACCATACACAAAAATTAACTTAGAATGGATAAAGGATCTAAAGGTAAAACTAAAAACTGTAGAACTTCTGGAAGAAAATAAATTCTTAGTAACCTGTAAATAGCATGGGTTTCCTAAACAGAGTATCAAAAGTTGGAACTACTACAGAAACAGAATTATAGACTTCATTACAGTTAAGATCTTTTCATCTGCAAAATACATTGTCTCTCCTCTCTGTCTCTATGGACATGCCTATCTGGATATTTCCTATAATAGGAATAACAGCGTGTGACCTTTTATGACTGGCTTCTTTCATGTAACATAAAGTTTTCAAGTTCATCCATGTTGCAGCCTGCATCAGTGCTTCATTTCTTTTCATGGCCAAATAATATTCCACTGCATGCATACACTACATTTTATTTATTCATTCATCTTGATAGACATTTAGACTGTTTCCACTTTTTGGCTGTTGTGGATAATGCTTCCATGAATATTCATGTACAAGTGCCTGTGTGCACCTATGTTTTCAATTCTCTTGGATTTATGTCTAGAAGTGGAATTGCTGGGTGTGAACACCATTTCAAATATTGTTGAAATATTGTATTCACTGATTTATGTAATAGCTATTGCTGTGAAAAGATTAAAGCAAAAAGTGGAAGCTGGCTTTAAAAAAAAAAAAAGAAAGAAAATGAAAAGACCAGCCAACACCTCTGCACGGCTGCCCAGTCTGGGATGTGAGGAGCGCCTCTGCCCGGCCAACCCATCTGGGAGGTGAGGAGTGCCTCTGCCCGGCCGCCCCGTCTGGGATGTGAGGAGCGTCTCTGCCCAGCCGCCCATTGTCTGGGAGGTGAGGAGCACCTCTGCCCGGCCACCCATTGTCTGGTTGGTGAGGAGCGCCTCTGCCCAGCCGCCACCCCGTCTGGGAGGTGAGGAGAGCCTCTGCCTGGCCGCCCATCGTCTGGTAGGTGAGGAGCACCTCTGCCCGGCCGCCACCCCATCTAGGAAGTGAGGAGCGTCTCTGCCTGGCCGCCCATTGTCTGGGAGGTGAGGAGCGCCTCTGCCTGGCCGCCACCCCATCTGGGAGGTGAGGAGCGCCTCTGCCCAGCCGCCACCCTGTCTGGGAGGTGAGGAGCGCCTCTGCCCGGCCGCCCATCGTCTGGGAGGTGAGGAGCGCCTCTGCCCGGCCACCCATCATCTGGTAGGTGAGGAGCGCCTCTGCCTGGCCGCCACCCCATCTAGGAAGTGAGGAGCGTCTCTGCCTGGCCGCCCATCGTCTGGGAGGTGAGGAGCACCTCTGCGAGGCCGCCACCCCATCTGGGAGGTGAGGAGTGCCTCTGCCCGGCCGCCACCCTGTCTGGGAGGTGAGGAGCGCCTCTGCCTGGCCGCCCATCATCTGGGAGGTGAGGAGCACCTCTGCCCGGCCACCCATCGTCTGGTAGGTGAGGAGCGCCTCTGCCCGGCCGCCACCCCATCTAGGAAGTGAGGAGCGTCTCTGCCTGGCTGCCCATCGTCTGGGAGGTGAGGAGCGCCTCTGCCCGGCCGCCCCATCTGGGATGTGAGGAGCGCCTCTGCCCAGCCGCCACCCCGTCTGGGAGGTGACGAGCGCCTCTGCCGGGCCGCCACCCCGTCTGGGAGGTGAGGAGCACCTCTGCCCGGCCACCACCCTGTCTAGGAAGTGAGGAGCATCTCTGCCTGGCCGCCCATCGTCTGGGAGGTGAGGAGCGCCTCTGCCCGGCCACCCCATCTGGGATGTGAGGAGCACCTCTGCCCGGCTGCCACCCCATCTGGGAAGCGAGGAGCACCTCGGCCCGGCCACCACCTCTTGTGGGAAGCGAGGAGCGCCTCACCCTGGCTGCCCCGTCTGGGAGGTGAGGAGCGCCTCTGCCCGGCCATCCCATCTGGGATGTGAGGAGCACCTGTGCCCAGCCACCCCGTCTGGGATGTGAGGAGCGCCTCTGCCTGGCTGCCCCGTCTGGGAGGTGAGGAGCACCTCTGCCCGGCCGCCCCATCTGGGAGGTGAGGAGCGCCTCTGCCCGGCCACCCCGTCTGGGAGGTGTACCCAACAGCTCCGAAGAGACAGCGACCATCAAGAACAGGCCATGATGACGATGGTGGTTTTGTAGAAAAGAAAAGGAGGAAATGTGGAGAAAAGAAAGAGAGAACAGATTGTTACTGTGTCTGTGTAGAAAGAAGTAGACATAGGGGACTCCATTTTGTTCTGTACTAAGAAAAATTCTTCTGCCTTGGGATGCTGTTGATCTATAACCTTACCCCCAACCCCATGCTCTCTGAAACATGTGCTGTGTCCACTCAGGGATAAATGGATTAAGGGCGGTGCAAGATGTGCTTTGTTAAACAGATGCTTGAAGGCAAAAAAAAAAAAAAAAAAAGGGAGCAGGCTACTAAAAATACAAAATTAGCCAGGTGTGGTGGCGTATGCCTGTAATCCCAGCTACTCGGGAGGCAGAGGAGGAGAATCGCTTGAACCCAGGAGGCGGAGGCTGTGGTGAACCGAGATCGCACCACTGCACTCCAGCCTAGGCAACAAGAGCGAAACTCCATCTCAAAAAAAAAAAGGAAACCGCATCTCTACTAACAATACAAAAAGTAGCTGGGCAAGGAGCTAGGTGATTAAGGTGATTATAGTACCAGCTACTCAAGAGGCTGATGCAGGAGAATCACTAAACCGCATCTCTACTAAAAATACAAAAATTAGCCGGGCAAGGAGCCGGGTGACTATAGTACCAGCTACTCAAGAGGCTGATGCAGGAGAATCACTTGAACCCAGGAGGCGGAGTTTGCAGTGAGTTGAGATTGCACCACTGCATTCCAACCTGGGCAACAGTGCGAGACCCTGTCTCAAAAGAAAAAAATAATATAAAGTGACCAGGTGTGGTGACTCACACCTGTTATCCCACCACTTTGGGTGGAAGCAGGAGGATCACTGGAGCCCAGAAGCTTGAAACCAGCCTAGGCAACATAGTGAGACCCTGTCTCTATATTAAACACACACACACATGCACACACACACACACACACACACAAAGGCAGCCAGACTATGCACTAGGAACTGCCCTGGGAATCCCTTGGCGTTCTCACAACAATCCCATTTCACAGATGAAGAAACCAAGGCACAGAAATATTAAGTAACGTGTCCAGGTGCGGTGGCTCACGCCTATAATCCCAGTACTTTGGGAGGCTGAGGCAGGCAGATCACGAGGTCAGGAGTTCGAGACCATCCTGGCCAACATGGTGAAACCCTGTCTCTACTAAAAATACAAAAATTAGTTGGGTGTGGTGGCAGGTGCCTGTAATTCCAGCTACTCAGGAAGCTGAGGCAGGAGAATTGCTTGAACCCGGGAGGCGGAGGTTGCAGTGAGCCAAGATCACACCACTGCACTCCAGCCTGGGTGACAGAGCAAAACTCCGTCTGAAAAAAAAAAAAAAAAAGAAGAAGAAATACTAAGTAACTTGTCTGAGGCCACTTAGTTACCAAGACGTGGGAGCTGGGACTTGAACCCAGGCAGTCTGGCTGGATTCATGCCTGCAGCCTCTGCACTCCTGCTACTTACTGTGTGAGAAGCACCTGTTCTGTGGAAGGTTGTGGGCTGAGATCTTTCCATGAGTTCCACTCATTTACCCCCAAGCCTGTTCTTAAAGACGGGCATGACAGTTATGCCCATTTTACAGATGGGGCCCTGAGGCTCACAAGGGCACACCACTCGCCCATTTCCACAAAGCTATAGCTCGTTAGCAGAGGGCAGAATTCGGCCGCCTCTCCCCTAGCTCGAAGGCTGTGATTGACACAGAGGTTTTTTTTTTTGTTGTTGCTGTTTGTTCCTTTTTCTTTTTTTTTGAGACAGGGTCTTGCTCTGTCATCCCGGCTGGAGTGCAGTGGTGCGATCTCAGCTCACTGCAAACTCTGCCTCCAAGATGCAAATGATTCTCGTGCCTCAGCCTCCCAAGTAGCTGGAATTACAGGTGTGCACTACCACGCCCAGCTGTTTTTTGTAGAGATGGGGTTAGTAGAGATTTGTTTAATAGAGATGGGGTTTCACCATGGTCTCTGCTAAACCCTGTCTCTACTAAAAATACAAAAATTACCCAGGCGTGGTGGCACATGCCTGTAGTCCCAGCTACTCAAGAGGCTGAGGCAGGAGAATAACTTGAACCTGAGAGGTGGAGGTTGCAGTGACCCAAAATCATGCACTCTAGCCTGGGGTCTCGCTTTTGCCCAAGTTAGAGTGCAGTGGCACAATCACAGTGGCTCACTGCAGCCTCAAACTCCTGGGCTGAAGGGAATCCTCCCACCTCAGCCTCCCAAGTAGCTAGGACTATAGGCATGTGCCATCCTGGCGAGTTAATTTTTTGTGTGTTTTTATTCTCTCGAGACAGAGTCTTGCTCTGTTGCTCAGGCTGGACTGCAATGGCGTGATCTTGGCTCACCGCAACCTCCACCTCCTGGGTTCAAGCAATTCTCCTACCTCAGCCTCCTGAGTAGCTGGGATTACAGGTGCGTGCCACCATGCCTGGCTAATTTTGTATGTTTAGTAGAAACAGGGTTTCGCCGTGTTGGTCAGGCTGCTCTGGAACTCCTGACCTCGTGATCCACCTGCCTCGGCCTCTCAAAGTGTTGGGATTACAGGCATGAGCCACTGAGCCTGGCCTGGTGAGCTAATTTTTAAATTTGTTATAGAGACAAGAGAGACAAGAGTCTCTCTTATGTTGCCCAGGCTGGTCTCGACCCCCTGGCCTCAAGTGATCCTCCCACCTCAGCCTCCCAAAGTGCTGGGATTACAGATGGGTGTCACTGCACCTGGCCTCTGAGGAGGATTTCATTATAAACCTGCCCTGAAGGGAGGGAATCCAGTTTTACGAGAGGGTGTAGCCTGGTGAGGCCTGGATGACCTCCGGAGGCAGGGGCTTGTGCCTGGGCTGAGGCCTAAGGCTCAATGGGCAGACATGAAGTTGCCCCAGGCAGAGGGTACAGTGTGGGCAAAGTCAGGAAGTTGCAGGGCTTGGATCACTCCAGGAAGAGAGAGGAGTCATATGTCACAGGAGCTCGAGACCCAGAGAGTGAGGCAGGCAGGCAGGCAGGGACCAAGCTTGGGCACAGCCAGGAAGGCAGGACAGGGCATGGTGGGGCCAATGGAATCATTACCCAAGTCGGGGATTTTCAGGGAAACAGCTTAGATAAGGCCAGGCGTACAGTAGCTCCCACCTGTAATCCCAGCATTTGGGGAGGCTGAGGTAGGAGGACTGCTTGAGCCTGGGAGTTCGAGACCAGCCTAGGCAACATAGTGAGACCCCATATCCACAAAAAATTTAAAAAAGGAGTTTGTGTTCCTGTAGTAGCATAGTTGGGAGGTTGAGGTGGCAGTATCACTTGAGCCCGGGAGATCAAGGCTAAAGTGAGCTGATTGAGCCATTGCACTCCAGCCTGAGCGACAGAGAGATACGCTGTCTCAAAGGAAATACAAATTAAAAAACCAGCCGGGCATGCTGGCGTGTGCCTGTAGTCTCAGCTACTTGGGACACTGAAGTGGGAGGATCGCTTGAGCCCAGGAGTTCAAGGCTGCCGTGAGCTATGATTGTGCCTCTGCAGTCCAGCCTGGGTGACAGAGAAAGACCCTGTCTCTTAAAAAAAAAAAAAAAAAAAAAAACTTAGATAAGAGGATGCTGTGCCTCCCTGGGGGTCTTCAGTCACCCATGGTCCTGGCAAGAGAGGAGGGCCAGGAGAGAGCTTCACCCACTTGCTGTCCTGCCCATGTGACATCCGCAGGTGCTGCCATGGCCACAACTGTTGTTACACTCGAGCTGAGGAGGCCGGCAGCAGCCCCAAGACAGAGTGCTACTCCTGGCAGTGCGTCAATCAGAGCGTCCTGTGCGGTGAGAGCCCAGCAGCACCATGCCACCCACCCCGAGTATCCCCTGGGCACCCTGGCATAGCCAGATGACTTCCGTGCCCCTGTTGCAATAACCACTGCTTCCAAGTCTCTATAGACCACCCCTTGGGTATATCTAATGTAAGTGATATTTATTTTATTTATTTTTTGAGTCAGAGTCTCACTCTGTCACCCAGGCTAGAGTGTGCTGATGTGATCTTGGCTCACTACAACCTCTGCCTCCTGGGTTCAAGCGATTCTCATGCCTCAGCCTCCCAAGTGGCTGGGACTACAGGCATGCACCATCACGCCCAGCTAATTTTTGTATGTTTTTCAGTAGAGGTGGGGTTTCACCAAGTTGGCCGGGCTGGTCTCAAACTCCCCACCTCAAGTGCTCTGCCCACCTCGGCCTCCCAAAGTGCTGGGATTACAGGCATGAGTCGTGGTGTCTGGCCCTAATGTGAGTGATCTTTAACAATGAGGACTTGAAAAAGAAAACCCTGAAGAAACCTAATTCTTTGATGTCTGGATGACAAGGAAGAAGATAGAAATGGCACCAGATAATAAACAGTGTAAATGTTTATCAGAAAGAGGCTGGTGGTCGGGACCAGTAGGAGGATCGCTTGAGTCCAGGAGTGCATCTCTACAAAAAAGTTAAAGGATTTTTTAACGTTGGCCAGGCGTGGTGGCACACATCTGTGATCCCAGCTACTTGGGAGGCTGAGGCAGGAGGATTGCTTGAAGCCCAGGAGGTTGAGGCTGCAGTGAGCTGTGATCGAGCCACTGCACTCCAGCCTGGGTGACAGAGCAAAACCCAGTCTCAAAAATAATAATAATAATAATAATAATAATAATAATATTTTACATAACCAACCACTTCTAAAGATTAAAAAAAACCCTACAATTAAAAACCTCAGGTCCCTCAGGCAATCATACCAGATATTGAAACAAAGCAATAACATAAGGACTGCAGTATTTATTTTATTTTTATATTATTTATTTATTCTTTGTTAGTTTGTTTTTAGAGTGTGGGTTTTGTTTTATTTTTTGATTTTTTTCTTTTTTTCGACCCATGGATTTATTCTTGTTGCCCAGGCTTGAGTGCAATGGCGTGTTCTCAGCTTACTCAACCTCCGCCTCTTGGGTTTGGGTAATTGTTGTGCCTCGGCCTCCCTCTGCCTCTTGGGCTTGGGTGGTTGTTACACCTCATCCGCCCTCCACCTCTTGGGTTTGGGTGGTTTTTCTGCCTCGGCCTCCTGAGTAGCTAAGGGAGGAGTCTTGAGATTATCATCCACTGAGGGTGGAAGAGGAGAGGGTGGAAGAGGGGCAAGGAGACACTCCTTGAGATTATCATCCACTGAGGGTGGAAGAGGAGAGGGTGGAAGAGGAGCAAGAGGACACTCCTTGATATTATCATCCACTGAGGGTGGAAGGGGACGAAGGAGACATTCGGGAGGTGTCTTGAGGCTCAGGGAGTTATCAGTTATAGAATGTTGTTGAGTTGGAGGAGGTGGCTGGCGGCCCATCCTGTTTTTTAAAGTTTCAGCTGTGAGGTAGGGCCAGTAGGGCAATCCTGAAGAATGACGATGCTCCGCTGCCACCATTCTGACCTGTAGGGCCGAAGAAGGGAATGTTTTCACACATATTCATTTGATGGACAAAATTACCGCCACCAACACGGTCTGCACCTTCTGTTGCTTGGTGATAGATTTTTGCACCTTTCCATCCTCCAGGTTTCAAAATAGCAGTATCAGTGTCATAATATCACCCTTCCACTGAGTACTGCCGACAGCTGGGGGGTAAAGAAAAGTCATTGGGACACACTGTTGTCTCCACATGCCACTGTGTCTGTCTGCAAATGTAGGCAGGCTGGGGTCCTGCCCCAGGGAAGACAGAGTCATAGCAGAGTAATAAAGAAGCATGTTTGAGACACAGGAGTGTCTATGTCTATCCTCATTCCTCCCTCACAGCCATCACCAGAGCATGTTTCTTGCACCAGGTCAACAGACAGTAAGAGAGGCATGAAAAGCCCATTGTCCACACATGTTGCAGCTTCTTTTTGGAGAATGTTTTCCAGGCCTTTTATGTTCTGTCTCTGATTCTCAGAACTCTGCAAGGTCAGTGTGACCACCCTGCTCCAAATCTAAGAAAACAGAGGTTTCCAGAGGAAGGAGAAATTGTGCCCAGGGTCACACAGCTTGCAAGAGGCAGAGTGGAAGTTGATTCCAGCTCTGCCTGCAGGACCCTCTCATTTCCCCTCTGTTTCCCTTCTTGACAAAGGATCTTCTTCACTCTGGAGGTGCCACCCATGAGAACAAAGAGCTCTGGAGAGATGTGGATTCCTGAAGAGCTGCAGGGGAACTGGGAGAGGGTTTTCTGACAGAACAATCTTACCTCAAGAAGTCAGTTGGGCATGGCTGTAATATTTCTTTTCACTCCCAGGTAATACCAAATTGTAAGTGCACTAGGACATAAAGAATACTTTTGTCCATGGAAAAATGAGGTGGGAATTCTAAACAAAGCAAGTTTTAAAACTGTGTTTCACTTCAAGTGTACAAGTCCCATCACGTGTAATCATAGGACTCGGCAGCTTTTGAAGGTACAGAGGCCACACAAGAACCAGCTTAGCTGAGCATCATTTAAGGCCTTCATTTGGAATTGTCCCTGTGGGTAATAAGTTACATTCACTCTTCACTAATTTACAGTCAGGGCCCATTTGTTATTACAAATACGGAACCTCTGACACTTAGAATATTAGATCAGGGGCCCCACTGGGTGGGGATGAAGGTGTTTTTGCGCAACACGGTTACCAACAGGGATGGGACTGTGAGGCTTGTAGGCAGCCCTTCTCTCTGCCATCTCCCTCTGCAGGGCTTGAGCACAGAGCTGTAGGGAGAAAAATGTATCCATGTCCTGACCTGGCAGACTATGTCCAAAAGCAAGGAAAACAAGCAAACTTACCCAGTTGCAAAGAGGCTTTCTTGCAGAAGGGGGGATCTGAAAAAGCCAATACATGAGAAATTGAATGTTGAGAGAGTCTAAGGGCCGTGGCATCATCTGCATCAGCACTGAACTATCCTGCAACTGCGGGGAGGAGGCTCCTTACTTTGCGTTTGTGGTAGTCCTCTGCCCGCCGCCACAACTCTTGCACACGTTGAAACATTTTCCTATGGATTACAATCACTTTCATCAGATAAAGCACCACTTTCAGGATGATTTTAAATAATCTGCCATGTTTCTGTTATCCTCACAACTGTACCCTTACACAATCTATCTATACCTAGAAAACGTATTTCAGATGGCTATAAGAGTACAGTCTGAGCCGGTCACGGTGGCTGACGCCTGTAATCCCAGCAGTCTGGGAGGGCGAGGCGGATGGATCACGAGGTCAGGAGATTGAGACCATTGTGGCTAATATGGTGAAACCCCTTCTCTACTAAAAAGACAAAAAATTAGCCAGGCGTGGTGGCAGGCACCTGTAATCCCAGCTACTCGGGAGGCTGAGGCAGGGGAATCACTTGAACCTGGGAGGCGGAGGTTGCAGTGAGCCAAGATCACGTCATTGCACTCCAGCCTGGGTGACACAGCGAGACTCCATCTCAGAAAAACAAAAACAAAACAAAAACAAAAAAACAGTACAGTCTGATCCAAACTGTTGTTATATTGATTCCTCCTCTTGCTTACTGCCTGCTGACTTCTGAGATGATAGTTTCCTTCCCCATTCTCAGTATATCCCTAATTCATCCTTCATTGAGCATCTTTTATCATAAAGCTGTATTCTCTTTGTATTAATATCCTTACCGTGTTTCACAGGGCAGAAACAGCTGGGCTTATAAACAGGCATAGTCCTTTTGAAGGATGTGGTTGATCCTACAACAACACACTTTCCTAAGGATGACAACAACTCACCCCACCCCTAGAATGGCTGGTATGAACCGAGTTTCCACACAGTCTAGCTGGCAATGGGGTCAGGAGACGTTTTGCTACTTCACATCTTTTGGTCACTGGTAAATATTAAGGTACTTTGTTTTCTGTTTTGTGAACTCTCTCTCTCTCTCTCTCGATATGTCTTCTGACCATTTGTTTCTATTTCTGCATTTACTGGGTCTAAACACTGTACAGAGGTTAAAAACAACACTCCAATGGGCGTTTCCCAAGAGGGTGGGGTTCAGTTTCTGAACTCACTTGTAGGTGTGTATTTCTTTCATATCCAATTTCCCATTTTCCTCTGCCTCTGATACCTGCCTCTCCTTTTCTGCATGCTCACATTCTTTCATGCTTAGTTTCCTCAGATTAGAAGGGAGAGAAATGCACACACATGATCCACCAGCCCGTGTGGGATTCCCTCTGCCCTTCTGGCATCTGAAGGCTGTGATTCAAAGATCCCCCCTGCAACCTTCCCACAAATGAACCAACTGATTCTCACAACCGAAGGGAGAATTGACACCTCCCATTGAGGGACAAAAAAAAAGTCACACTCTGGCCTGCTGGCAAGTCACCTGTCATTTCCAGCTCATCTTCATAGTTCCATAGTTAGTCCTATTCTTTAGTAAATATAAAGACTATTAAAAGCTTCTATGAGGTGCACTATGTGTGTCTCTGGGGTCAGTCTTGTGCTTGACACAGCGAAAGCTCATTTTAGTTCAGTGTGAAAAACCAGACCTCACCAATTCATCACAACTAACTCCATCGGAAGCAGAGGATTGCTCCTCATCTGACTCCTCCTGTGTGAGACCTGATTCTCAGTCAGAGGCTGATGCCGGAACTGAGACCATCAGCCATAGAGAGATCCTTCCAGAATATGGTGTCATTAACCCCGCAGTTCACTACTGCACTTTGCCATGATTCAGGACTGGAACTCTTGTGATCGACTTTAAAGATCCTGGTTGAGAGAAAAGGCAATCTGAATGCTGGGCACATCTATTGAATTACAAATGATTGGAATGGCTCCTAAGTCAGGGTGTTATGTCCTGAAAATAGGTGACAACGGCAAACCATCCACCCTGGTGTTGACTGACTTTAACAAGGTTCAGTTCACAGAGATTGAGGGCAGAAAAAGGAAATGGCCTAAAGAGGGTAAGTTTGCTGTGTTGCCCTCACACCACTTGATTCATGGTCCTGATCCTAAGGATCTCACCTGATACTTGGTTTTATAGGAAGGATGTGTAAAATTCCCAGAACGCTAGGAAACAGGGACTAAAACACTTCAAAGAGAAAGTTAATGAACTTGTTTCTGACCACAGGGCATCCTTCAGCACATGCTGTCTGGAGTGGCCTCAAACAAGGAGTGTGTGGTGAGGTGCTGAGAATGCAATGGGAGCAGGGTCCTGTCCCCACGCTAAAGAAGCTCACAGTTTAATGCAAATGAGAAGCCAGTGAGGACATCACTACTCCTGCTGTGCACTTGGGAACTAGAAACACAAAACCTGACTCTGGAGGGAAGCTAAGGAAGCATTCTACTCTTGAGTTGACATAAGTGCATCTGAAGCTTCTGATCTCCGATGAGAACAATGGGGGACACCAAACAGAATATAAAACCCATGATTGAATACATCAAATTGCTAACATGGCAGTAAACAGACATGAGGTGAAGATGGAGAAGAAGGAAACCCAGGACGAAAGTCAGCCTCGCATTTGGAACCCATTTCCCTGAGTTTCATTGCTGAATTCCAGAAGGAACTACTGAGATGCAAAGAAGCACAGCAGCTTTTGCACACATGCGTGGGATTAGATGGAAAACAAGTGGATTGAGGGTCTGCCAATGAAAGCTACCCATACTGAAGTCCACTGGCTCTGGTTGAGACCCAGAAGAGTCATGCATCAGAATAAAGGTGGACAGGAAATACCCTGGCCTTTGTAGGGACTGAGCCTGCACCGACGACCTCAATTGCAGCCTGTATGGAGGACCCCTGACCATCCCCCAGAAGTAGACTCCCATCTCTTCTGCAGCAAGATAACATGCTGCTAGGCCTCAATTCATTGCTAAATATTTTGTAACAAGTATCTCACATTTAACAAAAAAAGATCAGTCATATGGCAGCAAAATACAATGTAATATGACCAAAACATGAAAGACTGTGAAAATGAATCTGGAGGTGACCCAAGCATTGAATTCAACAATCCAGGCTGGGTGTGGTGGCTCACACTGGGAGGCTGAGGTAGGCAGATCACCTGAGGTCAGGAGTTCAAGACTAGCCTGGCCAACATGGTGAACCCCTGTCTCTACTAAAAATACAAAAATTGGGCCGGGCACCGTGGCTCACGCCTGTAATCCCAGCACATTGGGAGGCCGGAGGTGTGCGGATCATGATGTCAGGAGTTCTAGACCAGCTTGGCCAATATGGTGAAACCCCGCCTCTACTAAAAATACAAAAATTATCCGGGCATGGTGGCATATGACTATAGTCCCAGCTACTCAAGAGGCTGAGGGATAAGAATCGCTTGAACCTGGGAGGTGGAGGTTGCAGTGAGCCAAGATCATGCCACTGCACTCTAGCCTGGGTGACAGAGTGAGACTCTGTCTCAAAAAAAAAAAAAAAAAAAAAAATTGGCCAAATGTGGTGGCACACTCCTGTAATCCAAGCTACTCGGGAAGCTGAGGCAGAATTGCTTCAAACTGGGAGGCAGAGGTTGCAGTGAGCCAAGATTGCACCATAGCACTCCAGCCTGGGTGACAGAGCGAGACTCTATCTCAAAATTAAAAAAAAAAAAAAAAAAAAAAAGGCTGGCTGTGGTGGCTCACGCCTCTAATCCCAGCACTTTGGGAGGCTGAGGCAGGTGGATTACCTGAGGTCAGAAGTTCGAGACCAGCCTGGACAACATGGTGAAACCCCATCTCTAGTAAAAATACAAAAATTAGCTGGGCGTGGTGGTGGGCACCTGTAATCCCAGCTACTTGGGAGACTGAGGCAGGAGAATTGCTTGAACCCAAAAGGCAGTGAGCTGAGATTGTGCCATTGCACTACAGCCTGGGCAACAACAGCAAAGCTCCATCTCAGGAAGAAAAAAAAAAAGAGAGAGAGAGAGAGAAAGGAAAACCAATGCCAGTACTAGCAACTCCTCTTCCCCCGAAAAATGACAAACAAGAATGTAGGAAGGGAAAGGAATTATACAGCTTAAACTAATGAAGCAGAAAGGACAAACTCAATTTTGAACCCACTGAATTTGCCACAAATATTGTAGAAAATATTCTCAAGGACTTTACAGTTGTCTACTTTGATTGGCACATGGTTCATACAACAGTATTTGTGTCAAGGCACATCTTACTGGTTTTTGGCGGTCTTCCTCTTTCCATTGATTTTGTCATGATGGTTGATTTTCGTTGTCACCTTCCTCTTACGGATTTTAGCTCTAACTTTTGTTTCCACATGTCTCCATAGAGTAATGACGTCTTTCAGGCCAATTTTATTTCCTGGAAAGGAAGAAACTCTTTTCTTTGTGTGCATACAAATGGACCTCAGCCCTTGGTGAGAGTGAGGAGAGGAGAAGGTGAGAAACCTGAGGGCAAGAAGCTGTTCTTTCCCTTTCCAGGGCAAACTCATTTCCACACTATGGGGACTCCAACAGAGCCATACCTTTCTGTCTACAGCGGTTGGACCTCCAGGCTCTCTGCTGTACATCCGTGGATCCATCATGTCCATTTCGAGACCACAAGATAGTCTTCAGGAGAGACATCTAGGAAATAATAATATAAGAATGACGGCTGGGCACGGTGGCTCATGCGTATAATCCTAGTACTTTGGGAGGCCAAGGAAGGTGGATCACGGGGTCAGGAGTTCAAGACCAGCCTGGCCAAGATGGTGAAACCCCGTCTCTACTAAAAATACAAAAATTAGCTGGGCATGGCAGCGGGCACCTGTAATCCGAGCTACTCGGGAGGCTGAGGCAGAGAACCATTTGAAGCTGGGAGGCAGAGGTTGCAGTGAGCCGAGATCACACCACTGCACTCCAGCCTGAGCGACAAAATGAGACTCTGTCACACACACACACACACACACACACACACACACACACACACACACACACAAGAATGACATGAGGCTGGCACGGTGGCTCACTCCTGTAATCCCAGCACTTTGGGAGGCCGAGGCAGGCGGATCACCTGAGGTCGGGAGTTTGAGACCAGCCTCACCAACATGGAGAAAAGCTGTCTCTGCTAAAAATACAAAATTAGCCAGGCATGGTGGTGCATGCCTGTAATCCCAGCTAGTCGGGAGGCTGAGGCAGGAGAATCACTTGAACCCAGCAGGAAAAGATTGTGGTGAGCTGAGATTGTGCCATTGCACTCCAACCTGGGCAACAAAATTGAAACTCTGTCTCAAAAAAAAAAAAAAAAAAATAGGCCAGGTGCGGTAGCTCACATCTGTAATCCCAGCACTTTGGGAGGCCGAGGCGGGTGAATCACAAGGTCAAGAGATGGAGACCATCCTGGGCAACATGGTGAAACCCCATCTCTACTAAAAATACAAAAATTAGCTGAGCATGGTGATGCACGCCTGTAGTCCCAGCTACTCGGGAGGCTGAGGCAGGAGAACTGCTTGAACCCAGGAGGCAGAGGTTGCAGGAGAACTGCTTGAACCCAGGAGGCAGAGGTTGCAGTGAGCCAAGATCCCACCACTGCACTCCAGCCTGGTGACAGAGTGAGACTCCGTCTCAAAAAAAAAAAATGACATGAATATACTTCACACAACTAAACTGTACACTTCAACACGGTTAGATGGTTATTATCATCTTATAAGTATTTTACCACAGGTTAACATGTTTCACAACTTGAAAAGGAAGTAATTACCTTCAGCTCTCTGAGTTCTAGAATTTTGTAACATTTCACCCCCTGCTCCTTCCTGATCTGCACTGGAGCATCTTCCTTCTGTCCCTGCTCTACTCAGAGTTCACTTTCCCTTCCCTCACATCAGCTTCATTGAGGCTGGTTTGAACTTAACGCAAAACATTCTCACTAATGACTGAATTCCCACCAAGATTTCCATATTATCACAGTGTGCTTTTAATCTTCTAAGATATTAAATATTTGTTCTCATCATAGCTAAAATGCAATGCAAATCCCATCTCAGATGTGGGTCAGATACCTATGAATCTCCTGAGGTAGTCATTGAAATGACTTTTTTCTTGAGATGGAGTGTCACTCTCAACCATGCTGAAGTGCAGTGGCGCTACCTTGGCTCACGGCAACCTCCACCTCCCAGATTCAAGCGATTCTTGTGCCTCGGCCTCCCAAGTAGCTGGGATTACAGGTGCCTGCTACCATGCCTGGCTAATTTTTGTCTTTTTAGTAGAGATGGGGTTTCACCATGTTGGCCCATCTGGTCTTGAACTCCTGACCTCAAGTGATCCACCTGCCTCAGCCTCCCAAAGTGCTGGGATTACAGGCATGAGCCACCACACCTGGCCTGAAATAATATCTTTCAAATTCTTTGTAGAATTTGTTTTTTCCTGATTTCTGCACATAGGATAAAAAAAAAAAATCATGTACTAGGATTTCGAGAGAAGCAATGGGTAATCTAAAAAGATGAAAAGAGCAACCACGTCAATCCCACAACTACTGCTAGATTTCATAGGAAAGGTAGCTGGCCCAGTTTGGAGCTAGGAGAAATGTCAAACACATGAAGAAATGATAAGCAAAGAAATGCCATCACGCATGAATGCTTCATGGCACCCATGATGTCCCTGCTTAGGAGGTAATGGTATAGATGACTAGATGACAAGGACAAAGATGAGAGGTGTGAAGTTGTCCAAGTCCAACAGCTCAACTGAACTTTCCTAAATGGAATTGTTAAAAAGTGGTAAATTTAAAAACTTCCCCTGGCTCACGTGGTGGCTCACGCTTGTAATCCCAGCACTTTGGGAGGCTGAGGCGGGTGGATCATTTGAGGTCGGGTTTTGAGACTAGCCTGGCCAACATGGTAAAACCCCGACTCTACTAAAAATACAAAAATTTGCTGGGCATGTGGTGGGCACCTGTAATCCCAGCTACTTGAGAGGCTGAGGCAGGGGAATCGCTTGAAGCCAGGAGGTGGAGGTTGCAGTGAGCCGAGATCACACCATTATACTCCAGCCTGGGCAACAGAGGGAGACTTGTCTCGGGGGTGAGAAAAGGAAGGAAAAAAAAAAAAAGCTTCCTCCAATTTATACCGAAAATTCTCTGTTCAGGACTAAGTGGCATAGAGAATGTTAAATGTGCCTAGATATCTTCATAACTCATATATTTTCTGTTTTCTACATATCTTGAAAGGCAGTGCCAAATGACGTGTAATTATCTAGGTGGTAAAACTGAAACATACTTTATATTCCCTTGAATATAAAAAAGCATTGTGGTATTAGTACTTTTATCTTGGATCATTGTTCAGAAGGAGGTTCAGCCCTCAGACAACCACATTTTTACTGTCATGAATGGCAAGACAAAATGTAGAGCTCAACTTACCCAAAGGAAAAAAGGCTCAAAAGACAAATTATGGCACAACTTAGCAGCCAAATTCTTACCAAGTACAGACTTTTGCCATATTGATCTCTCTCCAGTTGCAAGTGGGAAAATGCACTTTGAATGATGTCATTCAAAATTACCCTGCCCAGACACACTTTTCATTGATTCTCTTGGAGGGCAGTTCTAAGAGATTCTCTGGGGCTTTCTCTGCATCATGAGACGCAGTGCAGTTCTGCCCTTCACCTTCCGGCAGTTTGTCACCTCGTCCCTATGACCTCAGAGGAACTTTGTCTCAGGCCAATTGTTTGTTCCTTGGCCTCTTTCATTTCCCCTAAAAATCATTTGCTGCCCCTCTAAATGGCCTACATCTCCATCTATCTCCCTCTCCCCTCAGAAGAGGGTGCTCTTTAAGCATCAACCATCCGGCCCTTCTAGCAGTCTCATTTTTCAGCTTGTTCCCATGTTTATGCCTGTTCTATGTTTTTCTTTTCCTGTTAAGCTGTCTGTTGTCAGCTCATTTCTGCAGTGAATCTTCAGAGAGGAGATTGGAAGCTTTCCTTCCACCCATACGATAGAACTATAAAGCAGAAGAGTTTAGAAAGAATTTCCTTTTTAAGTGACGAAACCTCATACTCCATTTGTAATAAATAGCACAAAGGTTAAAAAAGCTTATTTTTCACCAAAAGCTCTGTTGACATTCTATTAAACAAACACCGACCTATTTAATTTTTGTAATGCAAATGGCAGATATTTTCATAATTCTTATGCTAATAAATCATTTCCCTGATTTTTTGGGTAAAACCACATATTCATAATGAAGTCCAGAAACGTGAATTGTTTTATATAATTTATTCTTATTTGTGATTACAAGTATACCTCTACAGAAAGTTAGTATACTCACCCAAAGGTAAACTGTCCAGAGGATAATGAAAACTTTATAACTTCTCGGAAACGCAATAATGAAATGTAACCAAGGACTTCCACGAAAGCCAGTCCCACAATGATGATGGTCAGCCAGAGTATTGATAACCTGGAATAATAATAGTTGAAATAATGAAAAGGTCAATGACACTGACAATATTTCACTCAGAAAGAATCATCCTTAGAAACCGTCAACCTCCTCCAAAAGGTAACCACATCCCTCAGATATCACCGTGGGATTCCACTGCTACAAAAAAGAACAGAAGTTAGAAGTCACATGTTTTTCAGATGGCTAGTAGTGTTTGTAGGCATTGCCAATGTGGGGTGTTGTCTTTCTTGGTATAAAGCAGGGATATCCAATCTTTTGACTTCCCTGCCTATATTAAAAGAAGCAAAGTTGTCTTGAGCCACACATAACATACACTAACACTAACAATAGCTGAGGATCTAAAAA
This sequence comes from Homo sapiens, assembly GCF_000001405.40. Classification (NCBI taxonomy): domain Eukaryota; kingdom Metazoa; phylum Chordata; class Mammalia; order Primates; family Hominidae; genus Homo; species Homo sapiens. The sequence continues at coordinate 11,630,120 of NC_000018.10, forward strand.
AAACCTCTTTTTTTTTTTTGAGACAGAGTTCCGCTCCACTCAGTCGCTCAGGCTGGAGTGCAGTGGTGCAATCTCGGCTCACTGCAACCTCCAGCTCCTGGGCTTAAGCCATTCTCCTGCCTCAGCCTCCCGAGTAGCTGAGATTACAGGTCTCTGCCACCATGCCCGACTAATTTTTGTATTTTTAGTAGAGATGAGGTTTCACCATGTTGGCCAGTCTGGCCTTGAACTCCTGACAGGCGATCTGCCTGCCTCGGCCTCCCAAAGTGCTGGGATTACAGGTGTGAGCCACCGTGCCCAGCCATTTTTTTGTTTTTGTTTTTGTTTTTGTTTGTTGTTTTTGAGATGGGGTCTCACTCTGTCACCCAGGCTGGAGTACAGTGGTGTGCTCTCGGCTCACTGCAACCTCTGCCTCTCAGGTTCAAGTGATTCTCCTGCCTCACCTCCTGAGTAGCTGGGAGTACAGGTGCCTGACAGTGCACTCAGCAAATTTTTGTATTTTTTGTGGAGATGGGGTTTTGCCATGTTGGTCAGGGTGGTCTCGAACTCCTGACCTCAGGTAATCTGCCCGCCTCAGCCTCCCAAAGTGCTGGGATTACAGGCATGAGCCACTGTACCTGGCCAAAATCTCCTAATGTTTTAAGAAAGTTTACAAATTTGTGTTGAACTGCATTCAAAACTGTCCTGGGCCATGCAGCCCGTCACTCATGGGTAAGACAAGCTAAGTATAAAGTAATTATCTTATCTTTTCTTTTCTTTTTGTTTTGAGACAAAGTTTTGCTCTGTCACCCAGGCTAGATTGCAGTGGCATGATCTCAGCTCACTGCAACCTCCGCCTCCCAGGTTCAAGCGATTCTCCTGCCTCAGCTACTGAGTAACTGGGATTACAGGCGCCTGCCACCACCCTCGGCTAATTTTTGTATTTTTAGTAGAAACAGGGTTTCACCATCTTGGCCAGGCTGGTCTCCAACTCCTGACCTCATGATCCACCTGCCTCGGCCTCCCAAAGTGCTGGGAATACAGGTGTGAGCCACTGCACCTGGCCAGTAGTTATCTTTTCTTTAAAGTTATTTACTTGTTTTTTAAATTGATGTATAACATTGGATGCATTTATTATATATCACATGGTAAAAGAATCCCTCTAAATAATACTTCTTTCTCAGATTATATGAATCTTTGTCATTTAAATCTCAGCATAAGTAAAAAAAACAATACAATGAAGAGATTACTTCATTCACAAATAAGTATCAAATTTTAGTGCTTAAAAATTAACAAGGTGGGCCGGGCGTGGTGGTTCACGCCTGCAATCCCAGCACTTTGGGAGGCCAAGGTGGGTGGACCACGAGATCAGGAGATTGAGACCATCCTTGCTAACACGGTGAAACCCATCTCTACTAAAAATACAAAAAATTAGCAGGGCATGGTGGCACGCGCCTATAGTTCCAGCTACTTGGGAGGCTGAGGCAGAAGAATCACTTGAACCCGGGAGGCAGAGGTTGCAGTGAGCCGAGATCGCACCACTGCACTTCAGCCTGGGTGACAGAGCGAGACTCTGTCTCAAAAAAAAAAAAAAAATTATCAAGGTGGAGATCATGAAAATGGCATGAATAGTGTGGGATTTCTCTAAGATTGTTGATATTAATTCCATTAGACTCTTATGTGAGTGAAGACGAAGACTTCCCCTGAGTAAGTTCAGACAGCTTGTGATAACATTTCTACGTTGATTCCTCAGGATTTAACTATATATTCTTGAAAACATCTCAATTTTAAATGTTTCTTTCAAGATGGTGAATTAAACAGAGATAGCCCTTCAACAGGTTGAACTCAGCATATGCTGAGTCTGAAATGGAAATGATGGAGTTAGAGAACCATACAACAATGGTAATGATTTCAGAAACATGGTGTTGAGCAGAACAAAGCAGACACAAAAGAGTATCTATGGCATGGCATGCATCTGTATACGCGAAATTCCAGAATAAGCAAGCTAACCTATGATAAGAAAGAGACTGGCTGGGAAGAGTGAGAGTTCACTTTCTGGGGTGACATAATAGTGTAGATCTTGGCTGGGCACGGTGGTTCACGCCTGTAATCCCAACGCTTTGGGAGGCCGAGGCGGGCGGATCACCCGAGGTCGGGAGTTCAAAACCAGCCTGGCCAACATGGAGAAACCCTATCTCTACTAAAAATACAAAATTAGCTGGGAGTGGTGGCACATGTCTGTAATCCCAGCCACTCGGGAGGCTGAGGCAGGAGAATCGCTCGAACCTGGGAAGCAGAGGTTGCGGTGAGCTGATATTGGCCCCATTGCACTCCAGCCTGGACAACAAGGGAGAAACTGTCTCAAAAAAATAAATAAATAAATAAAATAATGTAGATCTTGAAAGGGGGTCGGTTTATGCTGGTGTATGTACTTTCCAAAGTTAGTAAACTTACACTTAAGGTTATATATTTTGGCCAGGCGCGGTGGCTCACGCCTGTAATCCCAGCACTGGGAGGCTGAGGCAGGCGGATCACGAGGTCAAGAGATGGAGACTATCCTGGCGAACATGGTGAAACCCCGTCTCTACTAAAAACACAAAAATTAGCCAGGCGTGGTGGTCTACTAAAAATACAAAACTTAGCCAGGCGTTGTAATCTGAGCTACTCAGGAGGCTGAGGCAGGACAATTGCTTGAACCCCAGAAGCGGAGGTTGCAGTGAGCCGAGATCTTGCCACTGCACTCCAGCCTGGGCGACAGAGTGAGACTCTTGTCTAAAAAAAAAAAAAAGAAAAGTCATCAAACCAGATGACACAAATCAAATGACATTTCACTTTGTTTTGGTCCATTTTGTTTGTTAGAGACAAGAGTGCAGCGGGGCCATCTCGGCTCACTGCAACGTCCAGCTCCTGGGCCCAAGCGATCCTCCCACCTCAGCCTCTCCAGTAACTGGGGTAACAGGTACGCACCACCAGGCCCAACTAATCTTTTTTGGAATTTTTTGTAGAGATGGGGTTTCGCTATGATGCCCTGGCTAGTCTTCAACTCCTGGACTCAAGTGATCTGCCCACCTCGGCCCCCTAAAGTGCTGGGATTACAGGCCTGAGCTGTGTAATTTCATGCCGCGTGACACAGCCCAGTAAAAAGGAAGAAACCCCGCGGGTCCAGCGTCTACTTACACAGATGCACTGATGGCTGATAAATTCCAGCAGGAGCCCAAAGAGGAGCCAAAAGAGCATCCACCGCACCCGCATGTCCTGGTCCTCTCAGGGCGCCCTGAGGCGGCCAGGACAGAGGTGGAGGTGGCTTAGGGCAGGGGGGAAGTAAGGGAAGGGAAAGGAGGAGAAGGGGGCTGTTGGGCACCTGGAGGAGGTGGAGGAGGAGGAGAAGAAGAAAGGGGTCTGGGAAAGGATCCAGTTCAAATTAAGTTCTCAAGCGCTGGTGGAAGGTTTAGCTACAGGTCACGGAGATCAGGGAAGCAACAGGACACGCGGGGCAAGGGAGCGTGAGGCTTAGGAGCAATTAGAGGGAGACAAAAAGGTTCTGCTATCCACCAAACCTTCTTCGGTCTGGGCCCTCCCTTAGCTACCCTGGGGCTTTAGACTCCCTCTCCACCAGTCCCTGATGACTCCGGTGGTGCCTCACAATGGACAATGCCAAGTAGCGCCCGCATCATTCCAATGACCCCTCCCCCATCTCAGTCTCCCACACTCCTCCCGAAGACAGGTCCTCTCCGGAACCTTCACAAACCTGATTTCTGGTCCTCCCCAACCAGCTCCCTGTCCCTGCTTCTGGGCGCTCCTTCCTTCCTGAGCTCCCAGGGTTCCTCAAAGTCAATTTGGTGACAAAACATAAAAAACAAATGATGGCAGGATGGCAGGAAGAACCTCATACCCAAGCAGAGTGCCAGGTTTTACAGCCTCCGCTCAGCCATTCATATCCTAAGCAACAAAACATCAGCAGGATGCGGAAGGTCCCGATAGTAAACCATCTCCATCACATCCATGTAGCCATCCGTCCATCAACCTGTATCTCAGGAACAAATGTAGATACATTCATTTTAAGCATGCATGGTACATTTACAAAAATTAACCTGACTTATTTTGTTCCAGCAAATCTCAATATATTTGAGAGCAATCAAATCACACAGCATGTTTCTGATCATATAACTGTGCTAGAAGTCAATGATTAAAAGCTAATTCAAAATTATTATTTGCTCGGAAATTCAAAGTGCCCTTATAAGACATAAACACAAGAAAGAATCCAAAATGAAACAAGATTGCCTTTCAACTCAATGATAAGATCATAACATGGCAATAAAATGTCTCCCTCTGTCCTGGGAATTCCTCTTTGTGGCACAAGATTGTGTGATCTCAAATCACCCCAACCCACCTAGACATTTTAACATCCGAAACCGAGTGATGATGTCCTTATCTATATCATCTTACTGCCTGTGTGTGTGGACTTTAAATTCTGAACCCAAATGAGGGGGAGAAAACCAAGTTGACCTTCATGATTGACCTCTCAGGGATGTCCAAGGAATCTGTGCATTTCAAGAAACAAAGTTCATCAGCTTCTCTCCTAAGGTATTTGCCCACAATACCCAGAGGGCTTGGCAGCATCATGTGTGATGGGTGGGGAGCTCCAAGCAGGTGGGCAGGACCCAGGGGCCTGGTGACCAGGACAGACCCCCACTGTCCATCACCTTTCCTGGCCCTGTCCTCTGCTAAACTTCCCGCAGGCCTTCTGCCTGATCACACAGAGTATGCCCAAACTCTCTCAGGCCTCTGGCAGCTGAAAACCACTGCTTTAAATCCCTTTGCCATTTACTATGACATAAGGTTATTGTAAACAGGAAATATTCTATTGATGCTACAAATGGAAAGCCAATGCCTTTACCATAAATAGAAAAACAACCCTAAGAAGCAAGCAAAACAAAAACAAAACAGGGGCTGGGTGTGGTGGCTCATGCCTGTAATCCCAGCACTTTGGGAGGCCGAGGTGGGCGGATCACAAGGTCAGGAGTTCCAGACCAGCCTGGCCAATATGGTGAAACCCTGTCTCTAATAAAATACAAAAATTAGCCGGGTGTGGTGGTGGGCGCCTGTAGTCCCACCTACTTGGGAGGCTGAGGCAGGAGAATAGTTTGAACCCGGGAGGCAGAGTCTGCAGTGAGCCGAGATTGCACCACTGCACTCCAGCCTAGGCGACAGAGCGAGACTCTGTCTCAAAAACAGCAACAACTACAAACAAACAAAAAACAGGGTTAACAAAAGTATGGAATTCAATTCTTTTTATATGCTGCAGCCATGTTCCGGCCCTAGATTTGGCTGGGCATGGTGGTTCACGCCTGTAATCCCAGCACTTTGGGAGGCTGAGGCAGGCAGATCACGAGGTTAGGAGTTCGAGACCAGCCTGACCAACATGGTGAAACCCCGTCTCTACTAAAAATACAAAAATTAGCCAGGCATGGTGGCACAGACCTGTAATCCCAGCTACTCAGGAGGCTGAGGCAGGACAATCCCTTGGACCCGGGAGGCGGAGGTTGCAGTGAGCCGAGATCGTACCATTGCACTCCAGCCTGGGTGACAGAATGGAATGAGACTGTCTCAAAAAAAAAAAAAAAAAAAAAAAAAAAGAAGCCCTAGATTTCGGTTGTGTTGGTTGTAAAAGGAGAGACCAAGTAAGTGGGGGTTGAAGTCAGATTAGAGCAAAAGTGAATGGCAGAGAGTACTATAATGTCCATGAAGGCCTGCTAGAGTCACCGTGATCATAGCCCAAGCAGAGACAGGGAAAGGAAGATGTGAGCGGAGTTTGGGGTCTCGAACAATGGAGGTTATTCGTGCAGCCCAGGAAAGGCTCCCCAAAGCCAGGATCAACCTCCCTTGCAGGCGGTCCCTCATGGAGGCATGGCCAGGCACCTTAGATTTGAGACCAGCTATGTTGCTGCTGAGCAGCTGTGTGACCCTGGGCTGGTTTCCTTCCATACAATGGGAGTGCCAATGGCTGCATGCATGCAAAGACCGTCTGAGGATAGGAGGAAGCAATCTGTTGAGCACCCGTGTACCTGAGTGTCATCACCTCCCAAGGGCATCCTTCGTTCCAGAGCTGGCACCTTGGAAGGCCCTTGGTCACTGAAGGCAGTGATGATGGTAACAGCAGTAAATCATCATTTATGGCTGATGAGGGAAGGCCAGGGGTAGGGCTCCTAGGTCCTGGATAAGAATGAGGGTCTGGGCACTCCTGGGGACAGCTGAGTGGTAGGACTCCTGGGTCCCCAGAGGGCAGGTCCATCTTCAGTGGCATTGGGCCTAGGCTGGGATGCTGAGTTATCCACTGGAGCATCAGCAGTACAGGCAGGCACAGAGGCAGTGGATCCATCGGAGGTGGCAGGTGTAGGATCGTCTGGTGAGCAAGTAGAGTCACCAAGTCTGGCTGACCACTACCCCCACTACCCCCACTATCCCCACAGACGATGCCCTGTCCCTTGCCTCATGCTCCGGCAGGGTACAGGCTCGCACCTGGGGCCTCATGGAGCATCTCTCTAAGACCTCTGTGTCCTGGTCATTGAATGGGCACTTGAGTCACCCAGGGCCATTGGAACAAAGAGGAAGAATCAGGCCCCACGATGTTTTGGGAGAGTGTTTAGCACAGGAAAATGCACAGAATACATGCACGACACGGGGGCACTGTCAGTGTGGGAGCAATGGTTTACAACCTCCAGCCCTAATCTGAGCACTCTCACCTGTGCAATCTGAAAGGAACAGGAGACTTGTAGGAAAGACAGTGCCTGGATTTCACTTAAAGGAACTAAAATGTTGGAATTTTTACTCTTGATATCCTTCCAAATCAACTCTCTCAATGTTCCCATCCTCAAAACTATCATATGGGGTAACTGAGGCAGTCAGAGGTTTACTGACTCAATGTCACTCAATTGATTCTGAGTTCACTGCTGATTACATCCGACCAAACTGCTTTTTCTGAAGTCTACTCTGTTTAATCATGCTGGTGATGATTTTGTGCAGCTCTGGGACAAACTCCACCTGGCTGAAGATAAAGCAAATCTGCGGTGACTTAGTCCTCCTGTCATTTCCCATCAGTTCCCCACTCTCCTCCTCTGCCCCTCCACAGTCTCCCATGCAGGCTGACACTATATGACGGCCGTAATGGAGTCCACCGGGTATTTCAGTTTCTCTCCTGGGCCACTTGAAAGTGGATGTACCCATGGGATTTGCTTTGACCCAGGAGATGTGAGTGGAAGTGAAGCGTGTCACCTCGAGGCAAAAGAGTTGGGAGCCATTGAGACTGGCCACCCTCTCCTTCATCTCTTAGGGCAGCTGACAGCTCCCATATGGAGGCTGCTCCTTTATTCTTGTGGCAGGATGAGGGCATGTGGGGCACAGGGCACAGGAGAGCCATGGAGGATGTGCAGCATGGGCAGGAAAAGAGCCTTCAGTGGTGTACATTTCCATCATTTGGGGCTGTTTGTTACCTACAGTGATACCTAGCCCATCCTAGCAGGCATGCACCATCTACCCCACACTCTGTGATGCAGACTAGCCTGCCGTCAGAACATGAACTGGTGGTCAGACACACGTAGGTTTCAGTTCCAGCTCTGCCTCTTATTGACTGTAACCTCAGGCTTAACTTTCAGTCTCTGAGCCTCAGTTTCAACTCTGTAAAATGAGGTGGCTATACCATCTCAGGTTGCAGAGGGAATTAAATGAAATATAAGTGCATGTAGAGCATTGAACCCAGGGCCTGGCACACACAGTGAGTACTCAATGTTAGCCATGTAGCTTCATAATGCATACTGATTGTCAATATTCAGACAATGCAGTAAAGTATTATCAAAAATAAAAGTAAACTTATTTGCATATGTATTCTTTCAATCTTTATTTTTAAACAGGGTAAAACTATGCATATTCTTTCATAGCCAGTGTTTTTCTCTTCATAGTATATTGTTAAAATAATTTTATCTTGGACCGGGTGCAGCGGCTCACACCTATAGTCCCAGCACTTTGGGAGGCCACGGTGGGCAGATTCCGAGGTCAGGAGTTGACACGAGCCTGGCCAATATGGTGAAACCCCATCTCTACTAAGAATACAAAAATTAGCTGGGCATGATGGTGCACACCTGTAGTCCCAGCTACTCAGAGGCTGAGGCAGAGGAATTGCTTGAACCCGGGAGACGGAGGTTGCAGTGAGCCAAGATTGTGCCATTGCACTCCAGCCTGGGCGACAGAGTGAAATTCTGTCTCTCTCTCTATATATATATATGTGTGTGTGTGTGTGTGTGTGTGTGTGTGTGTGTGTGTGTGTGTGTGTGTGTGTATCTATATAAATCTCAAAAATAAAAGATCATTTTTGAGATTATCATTTTAAAAGACAAGATAATGTTCAACTTAATGACTAATTTAATTATTACTATTGGACTTTTTGTAGACTGCACAGAGCATTCAAAACAAATGAAGGAGAATAAAAAATATGTATTACATGTTGTAAAATAAATGTGATGTGGTTAATTCTTTTATTCAAAATTATAGAACATATATATGTACTATAGAATGTATTTCTTATTATGAGTCATGTTAAAAAGTTGTTTAGAAGCTGTTGATTTGAATTTCCTTTTCAAATTTTGCAGGATAATTTTTTTTTTTTTTTGACAGAGTCTCGCTCTGTCGCACAGTCTGGAGTGCAATGGTGTGATTTCGGCCCACTAAAACCTCCACCTCCTGAATCTAAGCAATTCTCCTGTCTCAGCCTCCTGAGTAGCTGGGACTACAGGCTCACACCACCATGCCCGGCTAATTTTTGTATTTTTAGTAGGGATGAGGTTTTGCCATATTGGTCAGGCTGGTCTCAAAGTCCTGGCCTCAGGTGATCCACCAGCCTCAGCCTCCCAAAATGCTGGGATTACAGGCATGAGTCACCATGCCCAGCCTAAACTTGGCAAGATAATAAATAACCTTTTTAAGTGTCGTTGGGCACTTGTCTGGTTGTTTTTCTTTAGGTTACCATGCCAGCAATGATTCCTTTTGAGTTTCTTACAGAAGATAGTGGTTTTCATCCAAATAAGTCAACTACTCTACCCCATCCCTAAGCCACTTGTATGGAAAGAAAAAGAGGAAGAAGCCAGTACTGTGACTGTGTAAGCTTCCCCCAGCATCACCCGCTATGAGATGTGTGGCAGCTGAGACCCGGGAACTGCTCAAGGGCACCAGGCCCCATCTGTCTGCACTCACCTTCCTCAGGTACTCGCATGGGCATGTCACTGACTTTATGTGCTGCTGCAGCTCCTTGGTGAGCTGGCCCTGGTCATGGGACAGGAACTGTGGGGTCAGGACAATAGAGAGCTTCACCATTTGCAGAATGAGAACAGGAGCTCATGATGAGTGCCTATCTATTAGATAATTTAAAAAAAAGGTGTTGAATGAGTGGAAAAACAAGGTGATGTTTGAGTCTATAGTGGTCAAGGGCTTCAGAAAAGGACAGAACCAAGTTCAAATTCCTGTACTTTGAATTTCTACTTCATGCCATGCAAAATTACTTTACCCCTTTTAACCTCAGTTTTCTTCTGTGTGAAACAGGAACAATAGTTTCATTCGTCATTCAGTTTCTCTCAAGGTTTCATGAGATCATACCTATAAAACATCCAAGTCATTTAAATGTATCATCATTTCTGTCATAATTAGTGGGATCCATTTCACTATTATTGGATATACAGTTCTGTGCCTGAAACCTACAAAAAAAGAAAATGTAAAGTCTAAAAAGCATTAGTGATTTCTCATTTTTATGTTACTAATTATAACCCTATTTAATCACACAAGGCCTTGTCCGTGGCAGGTGCTCAATAAACACTTGTCGAATCAATGCATGTGGGCTCCGGAGCCACACTGTTTAGATTCTATTCTGCCTCCACCACTTATCAGCTGTGTGATCTGGGTAAGATAATTCACCTCTTTATGTCTGCGCTTCCCTCTCCATAAACTATATATAATGAGAATCCTTAGCTCATTCGGTTGTGGTGAGGGGTGAATGATTTGGCACTCAGGAGGGGCTTGTTAACATTAGCTGTGATGATCTCCTTCCAAATCTTCATTTTCAGAGCCACAGATGAGGCCACAGTGCAACCAGGTGACCTTAGAGTGTAAGTATACATGATCGCCAGCTATGCTCTATCTCCACCATAGGTCCAAGACTGGGTAGTTCTGGCCTGGAGGTTTCTGCTGCATCTGCCTTCTCAGTGTTCACCTAAGGACTTTTGTATTTTCCTCCTCACATCCCCACAGATGGGGTTCAGGCTGCCGGACACAGCTGGGTGATGCCAGGGCAGTGGTCACCTGTGCCAGCCCCGTGAGGTAGCTGGAGGATCATTGTTCCTTCCTTCTCGGGCTCTGGGCAGATGCCAGGGCTGGGGTGACCCATGCCCTCAAGTTTCTTGCTTTGGTGGGCCACATTTTCCCTTGGCAAAGAGGGTAAAGGTCACAGGATGCCGGAGAGCTGTGACTTCTCTGTGCCCTGGGCCCAAACTATGAAGACCTGACACACTATGCTAAAAGTCCAAGGCTGGGTGCTCCCCAGAGCTTCTTGCCTCACCGCTTCTGCTGAGGGAGGAATGAATACTATGTCCTCCCAGAGCTTTGGGAGCTTGTAGCAAGCAGCCTCCCCAGCGCAAAATCTCTTGGAAACCTCTAACTGTGTCTGAAACATTAGTGCAAATGTTGCATCCTATTTCTCATATGTCCGCATGTTTTAGGAAAAAACCCTCAATTTCCTAAATATGCAAGAAAAATCGGTATTGTAGGACAATGTGACTTTTTAAAAAATGTTATTTAAAAATCTTCCCTACCTCCTTTTCTGCCCTCCAAGACTGCCAAATACTTGTTGAACATATATTATTAAATGCCTACTACATGCCAGCCATGATTCATGGTCTTGGGGACACAGCAGGGAATGAACTGACAGGATTCCTCTCTTATGTAACTCACATTCTTATATGATAATGATAAGGGTTAACATTAATTAAGCTGTCACTACGTGTTAGTCACGGTGCAGTCATTCCCACACATTATTACACTTAAACCTGCTAGCAAGCTTGCAAGGTAGTTAGTTGTTTTTCCTTTAAAAACTGAGTCTCGGAATGATGAAGCACTCTGTCCAATGTCACACAGCTAGTAAGTGTGGAGACCTTGCATCCAATCAATGCCCGTCTCATTCTAAAGGCCATGTTATGTGTTCTCCAGCCCATGGAGAATAATTTTAACACAGTCAATGAAATTTCTACACAACAATGTTCTTGTCTCAAGTCCAAGAATGCCTCCTACACCTCCTATAATACTGGCTTTCTGGTGAGTAAAGATGCCATTCTCCTGTGTAATCAGGTGGCAAATGGAGATATGACCGAAGTAACCATCTGTCTACACTCATAACCCTGTACACACTCTTCCTGTGTCGATTCAATTCAAGTACCCCTTTTGATCACTTAGCAAATGTGACCTTTAAAAGGGTTGAGGTTTTTATATCCATGTAAGTTTTTGTATTGCTTTGGAAGTCTCTGGTTAAATTAATACTCTTTTAATAGGGACCTGTGATTCTGTTTTGATCAAGTGTTTTCAAACTTGACGTCTTTGATGGGTTTCTCCAGTGTCAAAATCCTAAATCAAGTCTTTTTGGCTTAAAACTAACTTTGGGATTTTTTCAGCTGCATCCCTTGGGGAGTCTAAAGAATGTATCTCTCATCTTGCAGAGGTATTAAGTGATTCGATTTATTTGGTAGATTAAATGGGCAGGCGTTGTCAAATGTGGCGATACTGCATGGGAGGGCACTGTCAAGTGAGGTGACATTAGATCTCATCTCAGTTATATTTATGGGTATGTTGTTGATACACGTGTTCCAAAAATTGCATAGATTTATACAAATTTAATATGATTTGTAATTTTGATAGTTATGCTAAATATTTGCTAAAGTTATATTTGTATAAACATGTCATGAATGGCTGGGCACCGTCACTCATGCCTGTAATCCCAGCACTTTGGGAGACAAAGGCAGGTGGATCACCTGAGGTCGGGAGTTCCAGACCAGCCTAATAGAGTGAAACCCTGTCTCCACTAAAAATACAAAAATTAGCCATGCCTGGTGGCACATGCCTGTAGTCTCAGCTACTCGGGAGGCTGAGACAGGAGAATTGCTTGAACCCAGGAGGCGGAGGTTGCAGTGAGCCGAGATCATGCCACTGCACTCCCACCTGCGTGACAGAGGTAGAATCTATCTAAAAAAAAAAAAAGTTATTAATTATTTCTGAAGATTGTATGAAATTTATAAAAGTCTGGTGGCCCTGATATGATGCTGTCAGTCATGATTCTGATTACTGTCTTAAAATGCTGCACATAAGTAATTAAATTTCCTTGTGAACTGGGAAGTTTCATCAGACTTTTATCATAACTATTGTTTCCATCATCCACAGTTACTGTTTTGAATTCTTCTCTAAAAATATTTGTAATTGGCAATAGTCCAAATTTTCTTTTGTTTTCTTTCCTATTTTTGAGACACAGTCTGGCTCTGTCGCCTAAGCTGGAGTGCAGTGGTGGGATCTCGGCTCACTGCAAACTCCACCTCCCGGGTTCACGCCATTCTCCTGCCTCAGCCTCCCAAGTAGCTGGGACTACAGGTGCCTGCCACCACGTCCAGCTAATTTTTTGTATTTTTAGTAGAGACAGGGTTTCACTGTGTTAGCCAGGATGGTCTCAATCTCCTGATCTCGTGATCTCCGCGCCTCGGCCTCCCAAAGTGCTGGGATTACAGGTGTGAGCCACTGTGCCCAGCCTAATTTTTGCATTTTTAGTAGAGAGGAGGTTTCACCATGTTGGCCAGGATGGTCTCGATCTCCTGACCTTGTAATCCGCCTGCCTCGGCCTCCCAAAGTGCTGGGATTACAAGCGTGAGCCACTGCAACTGACTTTTTTTCTTTTCCTTTTTTTTTTTTTTTTTTTTTTTTTTCTGAGACAGAGACTCACTCTGTCACCCAGGCTGGAGTCCAGTGGCATGATTTCGGCTCACTGCAACCTCCACCTCCTGAGTTCAAACAATTATCCTGCCTCATCCTTCGGAGTACCTGGGATTACAGGTGCGTGCCACCGTGCCCGGCTCATTTTTGTATTCTTAGTAGAGACGGCATTTCGCCATGTTGACCAGGCTGGTCTCAAACTCCTGGCCTCAACTGATCCACTCTCATTGGCCTTCCAAGGTGCTGGGATTATAGGCGTGAGCCACCACAACTGGCTCAGTAAATACATTTTTTATTATCAAAAAAGAGTAGTGTATGGTTGGCGTATTCTGTGTAGAATGTATTTTATTGATGTCTCCTATTTTTATAATTTCTGAGTTAAGTACTTTTTAATTAATGCTTTTTAGTTTTGGGCAGATTCAGTTGACTAAAGCACCTCATTTCCCAGATACATGAAATAAAATATTTGGCTTCTTTTCCAATTTCACACTGATGTTATTTTGTGAAAATCAGTGCTTTAAGATAAATCTTTATGCGTTAAGGTAAACATGAGAAACTTGATCTAATATTTAATATTTATTCAGTTCTACACTTTATTAACTTCTACACCAGCAGATTTAGACATTATGTAACTATCTCAAGAAGTTTCACTTGGATGTAATGCTTCACGCTTGTAATGCTTCCCAGCACTTTAGGAGGCTGAGGTGGGAGGACTGCTTAAGGCAAGGAGTCTGAGACCAGCCTGGGCACCACCCACCTCGGCCTCCCAAAAGTCAAAGTCAAAGTCAAAGTCACCAAAACTTTTAAGCCAGAGTCTGCTAACCAAATGTGACTGAGGTTGGGGAGAGCCCCAACTTGAGAACAATAATGAACAATTGTTGTATGAACAATTGTTAGAGACAGCTAACAGAGTCCAGGTCCCACAATGATTATTAGTCCTAGGATGCTGCCCAACAGTCCACACTGCAGGAAGACCTAGAGGGAAAAGACTACGAGCTCTTGCTGCGATTTGAAAACAGAGTCACTGACAGCCCACGTGTCATGGAAGTAGCAGACAGCTAATCACAAACAACCTGCGGGCACAATGACCTCATTCCACACATAGCACCCTCAGACAGCACCATCACACCTGAGGGGCCATGTGGCCACGCACGAGGAAAGACCCTGTGGGCAGGGAGGGAGGGGCTGGCGAGGGAAGGTGCTGTGCTATGGCAGGCTCCCCGGGCTTGCAAGGACTCTGGACACTACAGGAGGGGACCACGGGTGTCTACACCGCCCTGGGCTATGTGCAGGCTTTCCTGGGAGGACTGGCGCTGTCCCTGGGGCTTCTGGTCTATCGTTCTCTGCACTTTCCCTCCTGCCTCCCAACAGTGGCCTTCCTATCTGGCTTGGTGGGGCTGCTGGGCTCTGTGCCAGGCCTCTTTGTGCTGCAGACCCCCGTGTTGCCCAGTGACCTCCTGAGTTGGAGTTGTGTGGGGGCAGTGGGGATCCTCACCTTGGTCTCCTTCACATGTGTGGGCTATGCGGTCACCAAGGCCCACCCTGCCCTGGTGTGTGCTGTCCTGCATTCCGAGGTGGTGATGGCCCTTATACTGCAGTATTATATGCTCCATGAGACTGTGGCACCTTCTGACATCATGGGGGCAGGGGTTGTGCTGGGCAGCATTGCCATCATTACAGCCCGGAACCTCATCTGTGAGAGGACAGGGAAGGTGGAGGAGTGAGATAGAACTTGGGAGCCTGGGGGTTGGGAGGGACAGGGATAAATAAAGGCAAAGACTGAAGACAAAAAAAAAAAAAAAAAAAAATTAAGGACCTAACCATTCAGAGGAAAAAAATGACCTGTCATGAAAATAAAAATCAATCAACAGAAGCAGACATAGAAATGATGTATTAGTGACTAGAAAAGGAGATTAAAACAGTTAGTATAAATATGCACCACATGTTCAAAATAGTAAAGCATCCACAAAATTAGAAATATAAGAGATATAAAAATGACTCAACTCAAATTTCTAGAGATGAAAAAGACAATGTCTAAGATTAAAATACACTGGATAGCAAATAACAACTTGGATGAATCTCCAGGGAATTATGCTTGCGGGGAGAAACAGTCCCAAAACTTTACGGTATAATTCTATTGACAAAACATTTTGAAATGGCAAAATTTCAGGAATGGAGAACAGATCAGTGGTTGTCAGGACTTAGAGATGAAAGAGGTGGTAGAGGGGCAAGAGAGAGGTGGCTGCAATTATAAGAGGACAGTACAAAGGGGACTTGTAGTGTTAGAACTGTTCAGTATTACAACTATGGTGGTGAATACATGAACATGCACAGGTGATCAAATTGTATGCAACGTAATAGACACAGATAGAGACACCTATACAAAGAGTACAAGTAACACCAGGAATCTCTGGATAACATTGGTACATTGTATCAATGTCAGTATCCTGGTTGTGATATTACAGTCAACCCCCTGTAGCCTGAGGTTCTGCATCTACTGATTCAAACAACTACAGATGGAAAATATGTGAAGAATAAAGCAATAAAAAATAATATAATCAAAAACCAATACAGCATAACAGCTGCCATACATAGCCTTGACATTACATTAGGTATTAAAAGTAATCTAGAGATGATTTAAAGTATACAGGAGGATGTGGGTAGGTTATATGCAAATACTATGCCATTTTATATCAGGGACTTGAGCATCCATGGATTTTGGTATCTGCGAGGGTCCTGGAACTAATCCTGCTTGGATACTGAGGGATGTCCCTATAGTACAACTTAGCAAAATGTTACCATTGATGAAAACTGGGCAAAGCATACAAATGATCTGTATTATCTCTAACAATAACATATGAATCTAGGGCCGGGCGTGGTGGCTCACACCTGTAATCCCAGCACTTTGGGAGGCCGAGGCGGGCAGATCATGAGATCAGGAGATTGAGACCCCCATCCTTGCTGACATGGTGAAACCCTGTCTCTACTAAAAATACAAAAAATTAGCCGGGTGTGGTGGTGGGCGCCTGTAGTCCCAGCTACTCTGGAGGCTGAGGCAGGAGAATGGTGTGAACCCGGGAGGCGGAGCTTGCAGTGAGCAGAGATTGCGCCACTGCACTCCAGCCTGGGCGCCAGAGTGAGACCGTGTCTTAAAAAAAAAAAAAAAAAAGAACAAAGTACCAGTTAACTGTAGGTCTACATCAAGCCATCTAGTAAACATACCATTTAATTCACAAAAAAAAAGTGGAGCTCTCTGACGGGACGTAAAAAATACGTTAGCAAGTAATGGCCAAAAATTTTCTAAATTTCATGAAAACTATTAACCCAGAGATCTAAGAAGCTCAATGATGCCTCACACCCCTATAGATCTTTTCAATGAAAACACAATGCCATATTGGCATGAAGGTAAATCTATAGATCAATGAAATGTAAAAAAGACTCTGGAAATAGAAAATTGGAGGCAAAGTAATGTGGAAAAGAATAATCTTTCCAACCAATGCTGGATTGATAGAAAAGCCGTATGCAAAAATAAATAAATGAATAATTCTCAACCCTTACACTTCACACCATACACAAAAATTAACTTAGAATGGATAAAGGATCTAAAGGTAAAACTAAAAACTGTAGAACTTCTGGAAGAAAATAAATTCTTAGTAACCTGTAAATAGCATGGGTTTCCTAAACAGAGTATCAAAAGTTGGAACTACTACAGAAACAGAATTATAGACTTCATTACAGTTAAGATCTTTTCATCTGCAAAATACATTGTCTCTCCTCTCTGTCTCTATGGACATGCCTATCTGGATATTTCCTATAATAGGAATAACAGCATGTGACCTTTTATGACTGGCTTCTTTCATGTAACATAAAGTTTTCAAGTTCATCCATGTTGCAGCCTGCATCAGTGCTTCATTTCTTTTCATGGCCAAATAATATTCCACTGCATGCATACACTACATTTTATTTATTCATTCATCTTGATAGACATTTAGACTGTTTCCACTTTTTGGCTGTTGTGGATAATGCTTCCATGAATATTCATGTACAAGTGCCTGTGTGCACCTATGTTTTCAATTCTCTTGGATTTATGTCTAGAAGTGGAATTGCTGGGTGTGAACACCATTTCAAATATTGCTGAAATATTGTATTCACTGATTTATGTAATAGCTATTGCTTTGAAAAGATTAAAGCAAAAAGTGGAAGCTGGCTTTAAAAAAAAAAAAAGAAAGAAAATGAAAAGACCAGCCAATGCCTCTGCCCGGCCACCCCATCTGGGAGGTGAGGAGCGCCTCTGCCCGGCCGCCCATCATCTGGGAGGTGAGGAGTGCCTCTGCCTGGCCACCCCGTCTGGGATGTGAAGAGCGCCTCTGCCCGGCCGCCCATTGTCTGGGAGGTGAGGAGCGCCTCTGCCCAGCCGCCCACCCCGTCTGGGAGGTGAGGAGTGCCTCTGCCCGGCCGCCACCCCCTCTGGGAGGTGAGGAGTGCCTCTGCCCGGCCGCCCATCATCTGGTAGGTGAGGAGCGCCTCTGCCCGGCCGCCACCCCGTCTGGGAGGTGAGGAGCGCCTCTGCCCGGCCGCCACCCCGTCTGGGAGGTGAGGAGTGCCTCTGCCCAGCCGCCCATCATCTGGTAGGTGAGGAGCGCCTCTGCCCGGCCGCCACCCCGTCTGGGAGGTGAGGAGCGCCTCTGCCCTGCCGCCACCCTGTCTGGGAGGTGAGGAGCGCCTCTGCCCAGCCACCACCCCGTCTGGGAGGTGAGGCGCGCCTCTGCCCTGCCGCCACCCTGTCTGGGAGGTGAGGAGCGCCTCTGCCCAGCCACCACCCCATCTTGGAGGTGAGGAGCGCCTCTGCCTGGCCGCCCATCGTCTGGGAGATGAGAAGCGCCTCTGCCCGGCCGCCCCATCTGGGATGTGAGGAGCGCCTCGGCCCGGCCACCACCTCGTGTGGGAAGTGAGGAGCGCCTCGGCCTGGCTGCCCCGTCTGGGAGGTGAGGAGCACCTCTGCCCGGCCACCCCGTCTGGGAGGTGAGGAGCACCTCTGCCCGGCCACCCCGTCTGGGAGGTGAGGAGCGCCTCTGCCCGGCCACCCCGTCTGGGAGGTGTACCCAACAGCTCTGAAGAGACAGCGACCATCAAGAACGGGCCATGATGACGATGGCGGTTTTGTAGAAAAGAAAAGGAGGAAATGTGGAGAAAAGAAAGAGAGAACAGATTGTTACTGTGTCTGTGTAGAAAGAAGTAGACATAGGGGACTCCATTTTGTTCTGTACTAAGAAAAATTCTTCTGCCTTGGGATGCTGTTGATCTATAACCTTACCCCCAACCCCGTGCTCTCTGAAACATGTGCTGTGTCCACTCAGGGTTAAATGGATTAAGGGCAGTGCAAGATGTGCTTTGTTAAACAGATGCTTGAAGGCAAAAAAAAAAAAAAAAAAAAGGGAGCGGGCTATTGATTCGTGCAATAATGATGAATCTCGAAATGATGCTGAACGGAAGAGGCCAGACAAAAATAGAGTCCTGCTCCATGATTCCATTTATATAAGGTTCTGGATGATACAAAGTAATCTATTGTGAAAGAAAACAGGTTTGCCGTTGCCTGAGATGGATTGCAGACACATGGAGAATCTTCGGTGGTGATAATGTTCATCATTTCGATTGTGGTGATGGTATCATGGGTATACAATAAACATTAAAACTCATCAAATTATATACTTTAAGCAGGTACTGTTTATTTTTCATAATTACTCCCCATTCAAACTGGAGAAAATGAGCAAAAAAAAAAAATATTTGGGCTCCCCTCCTGGTACAAGTCATTGTAACTAGGTGTGTGGACATCATAAATTATTTTCTCAATCACGTGAGATCACATTCAAACAACATGTTTTTTCCTTCAGAAAAAAATGGGGTCCCTGTTCCAATGCCTACACATTTTCCATCCATCTTCAGAGGTGACAAAAACCAAAGAGAAAGAACATCCTACACACAGTCCTGAAGGATCGCTTCTATGTAAGATAGGAATATCTTCACTAGGTATGTATCTAGAGCAATTCTGATACAAGTATACCAGAATAAATGCACAGATGATTTCTCAGCAACATTATTTTAACAGTTCCAGGAAAAAAGGCTTTCCAGTTTGGGGTGTTTTTGTTTTTTGTGGGGTTTTTGTTTTGTTTTGTTTTTTGTTTTTTTTGGCTATGAAATGGCCATAGGAGAAAGTATAAAGAAAATAAGTTGTGGTCCCATGGTGGAATACTATACAGCAGTGAAAATGAACTGTAGCTACATCCCTCAGCATAAATAAGTCTCAAAACTATAATATTAAATGAAAAAAGAAAAATGTAAAAACACTCCAAACTGAGTATATCATTTAGAGATACAAACACAGGTGGTAAAACCAAGCATGATGGTCACCAACGCACACAGAGTAGCTGTGCTGGTTGTTTATGGCCTCATTCCATCTGATTGTCCAGTGCCCGTGGCATACTGGTTGTTAAATATTTTGAATATTGTCCCTCAAAAAAAAACTATAAAGAAGGCTGAGAAAATAGGACCACAAAATTCCATTTCTTCCCATATCAGGAAAGTAATGAGATGTAGGAAACAAAGACTTAAAAATTAAAGCTGTTGGTTATCTTCTATTTCTCATACTTGGTATTTTTTATTTTATTATTCTTTTACTCTATGTGCTCACATGTGCATGGCATGTGTATATCTGTGTGTGCTCTTCTGGTTTTTAGGGGTCTTTTGCTTTTGTTTTGTGTGAAACCATTTATGTATGACCATAAATTCGCTTGTTTATATATTTCATGTGGCAACCAGGCTCCAAGATCACTTCAGTGGTCTTGTTTTCTGACATTCATATCCTGTGTACTCTCCTCCCCCGACAGTAAGTGGGATAGGCTGTCACTGCAGAAATAAATGAGTGTGTGATGTCCACATCAAGGGCATAAAAAGCAAGTTCTCACTCATTCTGGAAGAAACCAGCTGCCATGCTGTGAGGAAACTCAAGCAGCCCTGTGGAGAGATCCGTGTGTCAAGGAAACAAGGCTTGCTTCCAGCAGCCAGCAACAACAGCCAGCCATGCGAGTGAGGCATCCTGAAATTGGGTTTGCTGATTCCAGATAAGTCTTCAAATGACTGTATTCCAGCTGACATTTTAACTGCCATTTAATAAGAGACCCTAAGGCAGGACCACCCAACTAAATAGTCATGCCTTAATTCCTGACCCACAGAACATGGGTGACATAATAAATGTTTTTTAGTGTTTTAAGCATCTAGGTTTTAGGGTAACTTGTTATGCAGCAGTAAATAACTAATATATTTTGGAAGGTGGAGGCGGGATGTTACTGTAACAAAAACCTAAAATGTGGGAGATGCTGTGGATTTGGCAGTGGGAGGAAGCTGGCAGGACTTTAAGGAATGTTAATGAAAGCCTAAAGGACTTTCAAGGGACTGTTAGCAAAAGCATGGTGACATTTGAGAAGGTTGTCTGTGAGGGCTTAAAGGAAACTGAGGCGACTCATTGGAAACAGGTGGTTATGCAGTGGCAAAACGTATAGCAACGCTGTCGTCTACAGAATGTGGAAAATAGAAAATGTATCCTGTGAACTGAGTTTTAAAGGTGCCCCTGATTTTTTTTCCTGCTATTTATACTAGCAGGAACTGTTGGACATTCCCAGCCTCTCCATCTTCAGATGGCAAAGATGCTAAAGGTAAGAACTGGCTTCTTATCAAAGATCATACATATCCAGGGCCCTCTCAAGAAAAGAAGATCGAAAGATGACATCCAGTGTGTGACTGCAAAATCCCAAAGAACTGTTCAGTCAAACAGCAGGACTTCTGCATATGTTAAAGGTGTTGCCATTTAGCAGTCTCAGTAGCAGCCTAAAGGTAAAGAGAAAGATTTATTTTAAAGAGATTTACGGGCGTGACTTCTGTCAAATGGAATGAGCCCATCAAGGAGGCTCCCAGCTACTGGAAAAGAATTGCTTTGGCAGAAACACCAGCTTGGACTGAAAGGGACAGAGGTACAAATGAAAAGTGGCTTTGAACCCTCAAACATTTGCAGGCAGGAAGACTGAAAGACTACTCAGTTTCAAACGTAGTCTACAAAGGAGGAATGACGGAAACATGGAAATAAGGCCGGCAGGGCAGAGCCAAGAAGCAGGGAGACTCATTCCCAGACAGGAGTAGGACTGAGTCCTATTCACGTAACTTTCAAACTGTGCCCAGATGGATTTCAGAATTGGTATGGACCAGTGATTCCTGTACGGCTCCCATTTCCCCTCTTTTTAGACAGGAACGTCTTAGCAGCTATCTTGTGCCTGTCACATCATCATATGTTGGATGTGTGACAGGCAAATAATTTGTCTCTTTCATTCATAGATCCTCAGATCAAGAGAAACTGGATCGGAGTAGCCTCAACCACACTTGGGCCTGATTCAGATCTTGAGATCCTGGATTTTTCAAGGTGATGCTTTTACAGGATGAGACTTTGGGGGGCATTGAGATGACTGTAGTTTGCATGCAGGAAGGACATGAGTCACTGGGGGTGAGAGGGCAGACTATGGTAGCCAGTTTCCAAGAGAAACCCAATGCCCCCGACCTCCTGGTATTCATACCCTCATGTATTCTCTTCCAAAATGAGCATGGCTTAAGGGTGTAACCAATAGGATATTGCAGAAATCATGGAGTATGACTTCGCAGGCTAGGTAACAAAAGATATTTTGGCCTACCCTTAAGTTCTCTGGGATCACTCATTAGTGGGGTAACCAATGACCATGCCATGAGGACACGTCAGCAGCCCTGTGGAGAGGCCCATGCAGCAAGGAGCTAAGGGCACCTGCCGACGCCAGCCCCATTCCAGCCTGCCAGTCATGTGAGTGGGACATCCTGAAATCATTGCTTTAAGCATCCAACTCGTGGGGTGATTTGTTAATGCAGTGATAGACAACTAGTAGATTTTGGAATGCAGAAGAAAGGTACCTCAGTAACAAAAACTTAACATTTGGGAGAAGCTGTGGATTTGGTGGTATGCAAAAGCTGGAGTGTCCACCCCCTGTACAAAGCTCTCAGCCACTGTGGTGCTGGTGGGGTCCTGGCTACAGCTTCATAAGAAGTTTCTAGTTAAGCCACTCCCAAATTCCTGGTCCACTGAATCAGTGCAAGGTAATAGATATTGCTGCTTAAGACCACTGAGTGTTAGGTAATTTTTTTATGCAGGAATAGATAATGTTTCCCAATACAAAAGTATAGGGAAGCAAAGGGAAATTGGAGAATATTGAGGAATGAAAGCAGAGGTAGCACATGGGATTTAAAACAACCCATTGTTTTACATAAATGGGATCATATTTTATTTACTATTCTATGACATATTTTATACTTAAATTTTATGTAATTTTTTTCAGTAAAAGGAAATGACATGGCATTTTCATGATTTTTAAGAAAGGAATAGTTATTAAAATTTTATTGTGTGTGGTTTTCCTTTTTTTTCTTTTTTTTTTTTTTTTTTTTTTTTTGACAGAGTCTTGCTCTGTCACCCAGGCTGGTATGCAGTGACGCAATGTCGGCTCACTGCAACCACCGCCCCCCAGGTTCGAGTGATTCTCCTGCCTCAGTCTCCCAAGTAGCTGGAATTACAGGTGCACACCACCACGTCCAGCTAACTTTTTGTATTTTTACTACAGTTGGGGTTTCAACATGTTGGCCAGGCTGGAGGGCCCCTTGAACTCCTGACCTCAGCTGATCCACCCGCCTCAGCCTCCCAAAGTGCACCTGGCCTATGTGTGCTTTTCCAAACAGAAACATTAGTTCCAGTGAAAGAAAAAAAAAGTGGGGTACACTGCACCACCAGGAAAGAAATTTAAAGTATACCACAATCAAAAAAATGAATTAACAACCTTATTTTATTCTTAATAAATAAGACGAGAGGATTTTTTAAAAATCCACCTACACTCCTACCACAGTGATAGTTGGTTTTATTTTCCTCACGTTTTTTCCAGGTTTTACTCAAAAGTATTTGATTTTACACGGTTAAAATCAAACACACAAGTTTTATTCTTTGCTCGCTTAATGGTACATCTTACAGATTTTTCATGTTATTCCACAGACTTTACGTGTATCATTATTACAGATGTATGACAGTCCCTTCAGTTTCTTCAAAAATTTATACATTTCTCACTTTCCAGCCAGATGTGCAAAGAAAATGTGGGTTCTTTATCCTTTATAAACACTTGGATATTCTCATGAGCCCACTCCACCGGGAGTAAGGAAGGACACATAAACTTTGAACTTGAAACTTTATGTTACCACAGTCCCTGCCCAATTTCACGAGCTCTTGGGTGACTTCTGAGGCGGGTAAATAACGTTTCCTGCTTCTTCCACTCTCTTGCTCTTCTCCAAGAGGATGTGGGCCTGGAGTGGTGCCCATGCCTTCGCAGCGCTGGAGGCCTGTGCTCCTTCCATGGGTCCCCACCTTGGATCCTGTCCTGGGTGCACATTGGCTGGTTCCACTTAAGTGAGAGTGAAATGGAATCCAGCTGAGAAATGTGACTTTCCCTTTAGTACGGGCATCCCTCCCAAAGAGCCTGGCTGTCTCCCACTGCTGGCGAACCCCACCTCAGCTCCTGCTGTGCGGTGGGGCCTCTTGGCGTCCACTTGTTACATTGCAATCCCACCTGCCCCCAGTCCAGGCAGCTCACCTGGCCGCTCTCATCTGCAGGGCCCCTCCAACCCCACCTTGGCAGACTTCTAGGGCAAGCTCCCCAGCAAGTAGCTCAGATCTACCCTGCATCCCTAGGACGTCGGGGTCCCTTCCCACGCCACACAGCAGCTGATGCTGCTCTGGCACTCAAGCTTGTGCTTCATTTCCATTTGTAATCTAGGGAAGGCCCTTGCCCCTGTGCTCTCTTCGCAGGAATTCTGAAATGAGCAAGGCCAAATGCCCTCTTCCACAGGCCTTCTAGCCAACCCGTCTAAAGCACCTCCCTGCTGTGCTTCTGCATCCCTGCACCTGCCTCTTCTGCTCCCGTGGTGGCAGGATGGGGAGCAAAACCGAAAAACATCTGGGAAAGAACGCAAAGGAAGACAAAAAGCAAGCAGGACCCTTACCACAGGAAATAAGCAGCTGAAATGAAGGGGGAAACCAGGAGCATTGATCGAGAGCATGGGGAATGGTCTAGTGCCCCAAACAAAAAGTGTTAGGTGCCCACTGGCTTCAGCAACATGCAGGTACTGGGGGACCTTGAAATGATGCCGTTTCGGTGGAGTGGAGATGAGGAAGTCAGCCAGCCTGCAGTGGCTTCGGGAACAAGTCGAGGCAAGAAAGGAAGACAGTGGATGTAGACACTGCTTTCAAGAAATTTGACTGTGAAGGGAAGGAAAGATATGAGATATGGAATGCAGGTGGCAAATGCAGCATCCAGTATTTTGGCTTTTTGGTTGGGGCAAAGGTAAATTCAACACTGATGAGAGCCAGCCAGTAGTGAGGGGAAGGCTAGCAATTCAGACAGCGTCTTTTCTGCAGGAGGGAGGTAGGGTTTTCTGCTAAGAGAGTAAGCAGCAGGGGCAGGAGGATCAAAGGACCCGGGTACCAAGAAGTTTGGAAAGAGCTTCCATGCTTAATGCAGGAAAAGCGGAATGAAGACATACAAGAATTACCAAGGAGTGCTGGATGCGCAGACGGCCTCAGCCAGCACGAATTGACTGGGGCAGTGACCTGGAAGGAGATGGGTGCACCTGTGTGCTTCCCAGCAAATCCCGACTTCAGGGTCCGGTCACAGAAGTGGTAAACCGTCCATGGTGTGGATGACTTCGACCACCTACCACATTTGTCAGTTCTCACCACACCGAGCACAGGAGCTCGAGTAAACACGCTAGCTGGAATGTAAGCTCCAGGAAGGCAGGACGGTGCTGCCCACCATGACACAGCTGAAGGGTCCTTAGAAATCACCTAGTCAAACCACTCCATTGACAAGGAAACCCCCAGTTTGGAGAAGGAGGCCGGAGTCAAAGGCAGACCTCCTGAGCTCCACTCCCAGACCTTTCGCCAGCACGGGGTGACCTCCAACTCCCTCAGAGAACACAGCCCTCCCCCTTTGGCTTCCAGCTGGAGCGTGAATTCCCGAAGGACAGCTTCACTAGATGCCCAGATTTAGGAAAACTGTAAAGCAGAAATATCATTCCATTTTTAAAGCAACACAACCTCCCCACGTGATAGCTATTAGTAAATAGCTCACAGCTGCGAGGAGGGGCTCCAAAGGACACAACACCCTGTGCCATGGGGTTTCCACGAAGATACATTCCTAGGTGTGGGCACGGTACTCCTCCCCTCCCTGCGGCAACGCGACGGGATGGCACCGGCGCGCTCTGGGGTTCGGAACGAGGCCAGCAGGGGGCGGTCTACACCACTGAGTGTTTTCCCAGCTCGGTTTGTTGTTTGGAAGGAAATTCACGTGTGATCAATCACACCTTAAATATCTTCTGTAGCTATAAATATCAAACATATGTTTTCTAAATGGTTTACACTCCTTATCTCCCCTTTTATAAGTTCAATAGTAGAGAGGTCGTGGTGAGGGACAGAGAAGGAACACCAGACCTGGGTCCGCTGAAGAAACAAGCCCAACAGGAAACTGCCAGGCGAGACCGCTCAGTTGCCTCCCAAACACAGATGGAAGACAGGATTTTCTGGAATCACAGCAAAAGAAAAAAAAAAGCCTCAGCTTTGAACATCTCGACAGCAAATTCAATGTCTAGTCTTTATTATTGAGCAAGTTCCCTAAAACTTCAAAGAGGTAAGCACATCAAAAAAGTACTAAGTATGAAACCCTGGGAATATAAACACATAAGAGACATCCTCCTGTCTTTGAGGAACTGATAACAAAGGGGAAAGAAGATACTATCTCAGGAGTGCTCTGAGCGTGGTTAAGGGCGTGATTCATCCCTATTTAATCAATATAGCTAGGGAAGAAGATTCCAACTAAGCATGAAAGAATAGATGGGACTCCAACCAGATTGTGGAGCACTGGAAACCAAGATAGTACATGTAGCCATTTTTAAGTTTGAATAGCAATTATCTTTCTAGTACGTAATCAGGGTGCAAAGCTTATACCCCTCATAAAAGAGTTTACTGAAGTTCAGCTACAACTTCCAGGTCAACACTTCTCCCCAACCAACCCACCTTTTACTTTGTCCCTCCCCCAAGGGGCTCAGGCCCACTACTGGGGGTAACTCAGCAGGACATAAGCCAAAATTAGGCCATCAGTATCGTGCTTTGGAACGGATTTCATTCTCGATTTTTGAATCCCTTGAATCTCTGTGGTATTGTTAGGAAGGATGGTGTCCTTTATATAGCTTTCCATAAAAAGTGTCTGATTTGTCTGGATGTCCAGCACATTTTAACAAACTCAAGCCTCTAGACCTGGGAGCTGGACCATTGCTTCTACAACAAAGGCAAGTCAGACACAGGGATGGAGCCAGTTCCTCTGGTCTCATGTGTGTGGGGGCCTTCCTGTGCCAATGAATCTACCTCTACCACTCACCCCACCCTAGCTGCATCCCAATCAACAGACAGAGCTTGGTGTGGTGGCACCACCTGTAGGCCCAACTACTCGGGAGGCTGAGGTGCGAGGATCACTTGAGTGCAGGAGTTGGAGGCTAAAATGAGCTATGATCATGCCCCCCCTGCACTCTAGCCTGGGCAACATGGAAAGACCCCATCTCTAAAAAATAGATACAATACAAAACAGACACCAAAAAAGAAGCACCAGAATTTACTTTGTTCTAAGGGATATAGGCTTTGTCACTTCAACAGTCAGGTCATGGGAGTTCTCAGAAAGTGTTTTGACATTTGCTCCCTAGCAGAGGAAAGTCATTTGTGAAACTATTTTTAAACAGCAAAACTAAAAAGGTGGGGTGCCATCTCAGATGCTCATTAGACATTGAGTCCAGAGCTGCTTTGGGGGGTAAGACAGAGACACTGTGCTCTAAATACCAGCACAAGCATGAAGGACAGCGACCACAATCTGTGCAGCCAGTCCACTTCTTTAGGAAATTCGATTGTAAATACTTTGGAGCTGATGAGCTCTCCTGTGTCATCTTCATATCATGAAACCTAATAAAGGTCTCCGAATGCCTGCTTCCCCAGCACCTCCACACAGTAACAATTTCTTGCAGTTTCCATTTCCCTCAAACCTCCCACTGTTGCTGCCACCCTATGGAAGATGATCTTATCTCAAATACTTCAGAGAAAATCTGAAGACGCCGGTGAGGAATTCTGACGCATCCTGACGCCATTTCACCAGAGCCTGTGCGCAGCAATGCCACTCACTGCATCTTTTTTTTTTTAAAACTAAAACGAGAGCCCTTTCTTCCTATCAAAAGGCAGCACTTCTCTAGATGCTTCCGAGTAGCCCTGGCCCACCCAGCCTCCTCAGGCACTCCACTCCCTTTTTCCCTCTTTCTCATAAAACCTCAGCCTTTTCTCACAAAATGCCTCTCCATTGGCATCCGTGCCTGCTCTCCTTTGCCCCTGGGAGCCCCCCCCCCAGGATTTGGTCCCCTCCAGCTCCTTGCTCTCTCTTCCCACCGGAGCTTTGTTTTGATTCATCTGGCCATCCGTCCGTCCACTCTTCCTCAGCCCCACTCCTCAGCACCCCCCAGTCGGACATCCAGCCACTAAAACACTCTCCTTTAGGCCAGCAGAGGCTTGCGTGATGATAAGCCTGCCATCTTGCTCAGTTTCTTCATGGCTCTTGGAAGCCTTGCACACCGCTAAGCTTCTTGAAACACCCACTCCCCGGCTTCCTGAGGAACCACTCTCTGTTTACCCTCTGACCCTCTGGCCACATTTTCTGAGTTTCCTTTCAGAGCTCCTGCTCCTTCTCCAAGCCTAGTTTGAACATTGGAATTTATCAAAATCCTGCTTTCAACTCACTTCAGTTCTCACTCTGTGATCTCTCTTCAAAGGTCTCACCCACTCCCATGGCTTCAAACATGTTCACAATGCCAAATTTCCGTCTCTCGACCCAATCTCTGCTCTGAATTCCAGCCCTCCAGATCAACTCCCAACTGCACATCCCCGTGTGAAGGTCTCACATTGCCTCAACCTCAGAAGGTCCCAAAACCAGTGCAGAGTCAGCCTCCCCCCAACACAAGCTCATCCCACTTCACAAAATGGTTCTTCCATGGGAAAGTCATTTGTGCTGAGGACAAACTCATCCTTGATCCCTTTGTCCCTCCGCACTTGCATCCAACATGGCATTGAGTCCTACCCATTCTGTGTCCTAAATATATTTCAACCTCATCCACTTTTCTCCGTCTCTACTCCCTGTAACCTAACCAAAGCAACTATCATTTCCATGGCCTGACACTCCCAAGAGCATCCTACAGGCTTTCTTTCCCCCATCCGTGCTCCAAACAGCAGCTAGTTGGGAGAACATTACTTCCACAAACTTTTAAGTCACTGAAACCGTGATCTTCAGCGTGGTGTCAGGCCCCATGCAGTCTCACCTCCAGCCAGTCCTCCTCTGGGACACATGCCCCAGACACAGGGCTGTATTTTTTATTCTTGGGTGCCAAGCTTTCTTTGACCTGGGAGGTTTCTTTCATGGGTTTGCTGTATCTCTAACCCTCTTCTTTCCTGCCCTCCTAATTCCCTTCTCCATCTCTCCTTCCCTCCTCCTCTATCCAATCCAACCAGACCAATTCTTTTCGTACCTTAGAGTCTTAACTTGAATGTTTCTCTCTTAGGGACATTTTTCTGATGGCCAACATCTTTAGAAAAGTTTGTATCCTCTTATGTATTCATAACATTTCTCCAACTGTGTGATTGCAACTACCCAATTGTAATTAAGTAATTACTTGTTTAAAGTGACATCTGCCTTTCTAAATGACCAGCTCCGTGATTTGTACATGGCTGGGCCTGTACATGGCTGGGCTCACCATTGCTTCCCTCCACCCTAGAGCAGGTCCTAACACTCTCAAGCCAGTAAATATTTGCCGAATGAGTTAATGAACCCTCAGCTCCAGCTATTGTGTGAGCAAGAGTTGCATCACACCTTCTCATGCACCTCTTCAGAGCCTCAAGGCCTCATGAATCCTTAGTCCAGCTCTTCATGGGCTCAGGAGGATGGTTGCAAGTCCCAGTCTGCCCAGGAAGCACTCCCAGTCACCCTTGTTGCCCTGGCATAATTATTGCGACGCCCCCCCACCCCGGTTCACTCTCAAAGTGCCCTGGTTTGAACTATAAAAAATAGGCTCAACGCATGCTCTGATGGGCCTGATGCAGGCACAGTGTGAAAGAGGCCACATGCCTCTTGCCCCCAATGCTGGAGAGGTCACTGGTTGACACCACAGGTGATCTCACCCCTGGGGTGCATGAGTCCAAGGGTAGGGGAGTTAGCATCCCAACTGGAGAGGAGAGCCAGTCCAGGAATCCCCCTTTTTCCATGGCAGAGGAGGCATCCCCGGAACGAGGTTGGTGTGGCTTCTCAGAGCCACAGTCCCAAGCTCCCTGATATGAGCTCTCTCCCTATCTCTCTTCTTTATCCCCACCCCTCCTTCCTTCTGCATCAGGCTTTGATTTCTGGAGAACCCAGATTAAAATGAGGATTTACTTCCATGTGGCCCTAAAGGAAAGAATTAGAACTGAAGAGTAGGAGAGCAGGAACACGAGAAGATACATTTTGGTTCAATATGCAGCCAACCTGACAGAAGCACACATATGGAATTATCTTCCTGGGGGAAGAGTTCTCTGTCATTCATAGGTGTTCAGACAGAAGCTAGACAGTCACAGACAGGACTATTGCAAGGAAGAGCTCAGTATCCGATGGGGCTGGGTTAGCTTTTCATTGCCTTCCTATTGAGGATTCCAAGATGCAATATTTAATGAAAAGTTATTTCATATGTCTACCTTGCTTAGAGAAAGTAATTGAAATGTGGAGAGAGATTTAATTGGCAAACCTTATCCAAAGTATTGTTTCCCATGAATAGTCTGGCTCACCATGTGCTCAGAGAAGGGCAAAATGGCCAGAAGATCCTGACTTAACATTGAAAAAAGGTACAATTATCCCCAAACATTTCCAGCTGACATAAATATGCACACCCCATCTAAAAAGTACAGCAAACCTGAAAGCCCCATTGGCTGATACTAGTAACCCATTTCTCTGGAATCAGATGATTTATTTTCCTTTGAATGTATCATTTCTGAAGTAATAGGTTAATATTATTTTTAAGTTAATTTTTTTAAAGGTCTGTCTGAATGTTCAAAGATAAAGTTCGCATCACCCTCCCATACTGGCAAGATAGAGTTTGGTATTGTTTTCAAATACGAAGTCACTTTCCTTCTCAAGGAACTGGCCTGGGAGTGTCTCGGAGAAGTTAAATGCAGTGTGGGCTCAGCCACAAAACCGAATAATGCCACTGCAACAACTTGATTCTCAGGAGGGAAAGAAGACTGGCTCGGAGTACATCGGTGGCTACGGAAACCAGCCCTGTGGACACTGGAGAGAAGATGTTTCCATCTAAGTCTATTAAAAAAACCCCAAGACTCCAGCAAATTCAGGCCTGTAAATGTTAGAAGCGGTTTGGTACGGTGATTAGGTTAAGGCATCAAGGACACAGCTCCAGGACACTGTGTGGGTGGCGGCGCCACGGGTCCAGAAACCAGGAGGGAGGGAAGGGGGGTGTATTCCTCCTGCCCAGCAGGCAAAGCAGTCCACCAGGTGGGTAGTGTCTCCAGCACACAAGCTGGGTTTTCAGGGCAGTGTTCCAGCACCAGCAAGGGTCTGGGGTGCTAGACAGGGAAACTGAGGCAGAGACCCACCCACACAAACTGGAACAACTTGGCAGAGGAAAAGAAGACACAGGCAGATGCACACCTCAGTGCCTTCAGCGGGCACACAGGCACTCCAGCGCACCGGGGAGAATGATGACAAGAACCAGGTCAGACCTCACCAGATAAGATTAGCCCAAGAACGAAGGGAAGAAAAATACCCAGGCGGGAACCCACAGAAATGTCAATGGAAGCAGCTAAGCAGGACACCCCTTGACACTTCTTGAGGCATGACTGGCATGTGCCTGGACCTTGTTTTTATTCGAGTGCCCATTTGCCATTCCCAGGGCCTATGTCCTAAGTCCACCTAGAAGCCCCGGCTCCCAAGCCTCTCTGAAGTGCATCATTTTTCCCACTGCATGCACTTTTTGGCATCTGCTGGAGCTCATGAAAGCATCCCTGTAAACTTTACAAAATTAATCAAGGAATAAAGGAAGGCGAGAAATGAAAATAAACCCAGCTGGCGGCACACTCAGCATTCATCATTAGGTCAGCAGCTCTCTGATCCACTTTCTCATAGCTGTTTGGTGCCAGTTGCCTCAGAATCCCGTGGACCCTGTTACAAGATTATAGTTCCCCTTGACTGCCCTATCGATAACAACTTCAACATTACAAAACGTCAAATTTCCCTTTGAGATATTCTTTCAGGTCCTGCATATCAGTGAAACTGCTGACTCAGCTGGTCTGAAGGAACCTAGGAGAAGCTGACTCACCAAGGATGGCAGTTTCCACATCCTAATGAGTTCCTCCCCTTTTCCCCAACCAATCAATGACTCTAATTTTCCAGTCCCTCATCTTCCACGATCCCCTTAAGGGTCCCAGCCCAGAACTTCTCTGGGAGATGGATTTGAGGGTCTCCTCCCATCTCTTTGCTCAACACCCTGTGATCACGAAACTCCCATCTCTGCTGCAAACCCTGCTGTCTCCATGTCATTGATCTGTGACTGCACAGCAAGCATGTGAACCTGTTGGTCCTGTAACACTCTCATTGGAACCATTTCATGGAACTACTTTTCCTTCAGGTTGAGCTTGTAACAGGGACCAGAGTCACTGCAGAATTCAACAGTTGTCCTCCTCATTGCCCTCTTCTCTTCGATCAACCAGGTTTCATTTTCAGCCCAGTTCTCCAAAATGAGTAATGTGCCGCATTTTGAGCATTCATGTGAGAACAAGCAGTGAACGAGAATTCTGTGAACATCGGTTCTCCAGCTCCAGAGCCCTCGGGTCTCTCCTACATCCATCTCTTAAGTTCTCACTGAAGGCACTACTTCCCTCACCTTTATACCTTTCCTCCCTCGTGGAAACAATGATGCTTCTTATAGCATCATACTGGGATTACGCTACCAGTATCCACGTACATCTATTCAAAAAACCAGATGGAAGCAGCCTGATAACGGTGATGGTCTGGCCTAAAATGATCTAGGTCTAGAATTTATAAGTGGAAGAGAGCCCTGAAAGTCCTTAGTTTAATTCCTGTATTCATAAATGTGAGGATTAAGAATTAAAGGGACTAAGTGACTTGCTCCTTTGGATTTGCCCAAGGACCCACAGCTAGCTGCCAGCTAGTGGCAGCAATGGAACTAGAATCCAAATGAAAGTTTTCCCCATCTCACATACTCCCAATTTTTACAGAACAGATAAGGGAAAACTCATGGCACCACTTGGAAACTGGTTACTCCAGATATCTTCCTCTCCAGCTCATGTCCACCAAATGACAGCCAATCACATTTGACAATGTAAAAATCAATGTTCACCCAGCACTTTCTATGCACTTTTCCCCAAAGTCCCTACTTTGGGGAAAACAGGAGAGTAAGATGAAGCCATTCCATTCCATGGCTCAAGAGCTCATGATCTAGTTGGAGAAGTGAGACATTCATCCAATAGTTCTGGCAAGTGACCACACGCCAGGCACTGCTGGAGATACTGACAAGGCATGAGCTAAGCAGACTTGGTGCGGGACACGGACAACGTGAAAGCGAGGCAAATAAACAGACAAGAAGAGTTCAGATGGAGCCCATCAGGGGCAGTGTGAGGGAGAATGTCTGACCACTTACAAAGATGGGGAGGCTGGAGGCCAGCTCTTCTCAGAGGTGTGATATTTGAGCCGGTATGCTTGGAGAAGAAATAGACAGTCTGCAAAAACCTGGGAGAAGAGATTTCCTGGGACAAGGGACAAGGAGGCACAGGCCAGAGGAGCAGGTAACCAAGGAGGAGGAGGGTGCGAGTTGACCCTCAGAGAGTCAGGCACAAAACCAGGACAGGCAGGGTTCATTTAGCCCAGGTGAGGAGTTTGGATTTTTTTCTAAGGGGCCAGAGGGCTTTATGCACAGGACAGACATCATCTGACCATCATCCCAAAGCTAAAACAGAAGTCCACATGTAGACTGTGACAAATGAGTGTGCTGCCACCACAGAGGGACAGCTGAGAGGTAGCTGGGAGGCTGGCTGAGGGTGGCAGACATGAGAAGGGGGACAAGGTCACCACAGAAGCATCACAAGGAAGGCATCTGTTTGGCTGTTTCGGTGTCTGAGCACACATTTGCTTATTTCCGGTCTTGGAGGGAATGGCAGCTTTTTTGTGATCCCAGTTACCTCTGTGTTTCCCTCTCCAGTGCTGAAATATACAGGCCGAATAATTTCCTTAACATTCCTGTTGGTTGTGGGAGCATATGGAAGATGTTACTAATTTGGGAAGAAGAGGAAAAGCTTTCCAAGAAGGAGGAAAACCTTTCCAAGAAGTAGGAAAAGCATGCAGAGACACCTGGACAAGAGGCTTCATGCAAAGCTGGGGGGATGAACCCCAAGAGGCAAAATGCATGACCTGAAGTTTCCCACCAGGCACAGAGCAGAGTGGGTGGCTGGGGAGGCCACCAGGGGTGGACTCCTGGCCCTCAGCAGTCCAGCTCAGGGTGCCGCTTTATCCTGAGAGTATAGTGGGTTTCCACAGAAATCAATGCCTAAGAGTGAGGGACCGGGTGTGCCTGTTAAGTGTCATTCAGGCTGTGGTATGGGGACGAGGCTGAATATGAGACAGAATGGAATGGGTGAGGCTGTCTGGGGGATGGAACAGTGATTCAGGTGAGAATCAAGGAGCCCCCAGCTAGGATGGACGAGAGGTCATTCACCAAACCTCAGAGTGGCATCCAGAATGTCACACTGCTCTCTTCACGTGGGCCAGATAAGAAACTGTTAAAAGTAAAATAGCCAGATGCTCAGGGCCTTACTTTGTGGATGATGATTTAACACGTAACACGGAGCACTTCCAACATAACCAGATGCTAGACACTTTCCACCTATTGTCTTTATTTGAGGCTCACAGCAGTCCTGACAGTAGATAGAGACTATGTCAGGAAGGAGACCCAGGAAGCACAGCCGTGGCTGTCAGAGCCTGGCTGAGGTGGCTGGGTGGTCCCCACTGTGCTCAGAGCGTGGGCACATTGGGACCCCTTCAACAAAGAAGAAGGCAAGCGGCATCTCAGTGGACTCCTAGCCCTGTTAACAGGGGAGTTGGGGGAAGCAGCCTTTAAAAGAATGCTGGGGTTGCCACCGGGTTTCAGACATCAGACATCCATGGCCAGGTCCTGGCACCCTCAGCCTGAGCCTTCCCTGGCTCCCCTTAACTCCCTTCCTGTCCAAATTCCTCACTGACAACCTCCTCAACTTTCTTATTTTCCAACCCTGAAGAGCAAGAGCAAGAGAGAGAGGTATTAACAAAAAGTGCCTTTTTCTGCCTGCAGAGCCCTCCCTAGGCTCTGAAACCCCGATCGCAAGGAAGGCTCTTGAACCTCACCACCCTGCCCCTCGCTTTCTGCCAGGCTGTGGGAAACCGATGCCTCCTCAACATTGTTGCACACTCTTGAGGACACTTCATGGCTGCTCTCCATGCATCCTATTTTTTTAACATACCCTCATGCCCCTTGAGTCATGAAGTTTAACATTCTCTTCAAGTTTTCCCAAAAGAACCAACTTACACAAAAGCACTGGTGAGCAACGTGGACTTTTCAAATCGGTGTGTCTACTCCGATCCTAGCGGGAAACCTCAATGTCCACATTGGACACGCCCTTTCTTCTATGTCCCTTCTCATCTGCTTGACTCTTGGGTGAGGGGGCAGCATGGCCTCTGTCTCCTCTCATCCCCTGCCACCCTCTGCACAGCATCCATCCTGGCAGGCTCCATCCCAAACGCAAAGCGATTCAGCCTTCCCATTCCTCACCTGGCATCACCTCCCCAAACCTGGCAGTCCTTCAAGAAAGGAACACTCCATCTCAGCCCTATGCAGAAGACAGGGGTAGCCATACCTTATAAACAAGGATCTTTACATTTTATTACTCATTTTTCTTCTGGTTCAACACATCAGTCCGGCGTTGGGCTTCATTTTTGCTCAAAGATAAGTGTCTTCTACGAGGGTCCATGTTGCAGGAGATGTGTGAAGACCACCAGCCAGCCATGGCTTCCAAAGCGGGTTAATCCTGACTGGCTCTCACTCTGAGGAATTATGCCCTTCCCAGCTCCAAACCCAAGGGGTCTTACTTCAGAGGACAGGTCATCAGGGTTTGATCAAAACTTCTAATAGTTTTCCCCCTGACAAGAATGCAAGCTGAGGATATTTTGAGGAGTGAGATGGAAAGTAAAGAGAATGGGCTCGAAGGACATTCCCAGAAAGCATCTGGGGAATAAAGAGATGTGATGGGGATTTGAGAAAGAGCAAGAAACGCTGGGCGACAGGATCGCCTTCATGGGTCTTGGTGTGGCCATATCACTCCTCACTTCAGAGCTCAGTGTGTGTGTGTTTGTCAGAAGCAAAGGTGCACCTGCCCCAAGGGTGGGTGACAGACAGAGCCTCCAGGCCACTGAGGAAGCCAGCTGGGCTTCTCCAGTGGCACTGTCCCTGAGTGAGGGACTCTGCTGGCACCTGACTGCGATGTTTGCCTATAGGTTGTGGTCAGTTGCAATTAACTGGCTTAGGCAGTAAATCATAACCTAAGAGCACACACTAAATGTCCCTCCAGGGCCAGCCTACTTGTCACCCATGAAATGAATTCAAGCTTCTTCCTGAACAGAGAGGTTACATTCTAAATAGGTAAGAAGTCAGTCTCCAAATCATACTGTGGATCCCTTTCCTTCTATAAGGGTTTTATAAGCTTTAGCTCCCCCTGCCATTAAAAAACAAAACAAAACAGAAAAGTTCTCCCAGGATTTAGAAAAAAGAAAAATTATTGTCTCTTGTCTTCTGAGTCTTCATGTCCATCTCAGGGTTTTCTTATTTTTAGTCCTTTCTCAGAGCTCACACTTCAGCCAACCAAATTTTCTCTCTGACAAACATGAATAAAGCTAAACTGTCCAAAAACAACCAAAGAAGATCCTTGTCTTCCAGGCAGAAAGACCAGGGAGGTCCTGCGTGGAGCCCCAGCTCAGCCCTGAATCCCTCCTGCGCCTGGACAGCTCCAGAATGGAGAGCACTCACTGACCCTCCCCCAGCCCTCTCCGTCTTTCCTTAACCTCAGCACACCTGAAAAAGCTGACATGTTTCAAGGACTTTAATCATCTGATTAAACACCGAAAAGTGACAAAGAAAAGTCAGTTTTATAAAGTCTAGGTTTTGAGCCCCTTGTAGCTCATCCAGCATGTGGCTTCCCAGCTACCAAGGGTGTTGTCTGGGCTCTCCACCGAGAAAGTTCAACTTTTAAAATCTGCAATAACCTCGTTGCATCCACCCTTCTCTTGGGGAGGATCTCAGCAGCAAGGGTCACAAATTCAAATAACGACAGGGACCAGGCAGGAGACATAAAATGGCCCAAGCTGTCACCGTCAGCCTCTCTAAGGAAAAGAGGACACGGCCTCAGGGCACTCTGGGGCCCGTTCCTCAGAACCAGCCTCTTCTCACCACAGGGACACACACGCCCAAGGCCTTCTAGTCTTTTCCAGAGAAGCCAGAAACAATTTTTTTGTATGAAAGTTTCCCATTTTAAAATGCCTCTAACCAATTCAAACTGTCTTAAAATGCTGTGGGAAACAAATCCCACATCTGTGCTGCCTGGGGTCTGCCTGCGAGGGGCTGGCATATTTTGTGGCTTAGCACAAGGGCCCCTCATGCGTCCCCACCCAAAGGGGAGGCACAGCTTTCCTGGAGTGAAAATAGTGCCAGCACCTATCCACCAAAGCAGTCACAGCACCACCGTGCCTTGCCTCTGCCTCTCTTTTGAGAAATGCTGAAGGCTTTTTCTGAAATTGGCTATTGATCTGATTGT
The DNA here is from genome assembly GCF_000001405.40 of Homo sapiens. Taxonomy (NCBI): domain Eukaryota; kingdom Metazoa; phylum Chordata; class Mammalia; order Primates; family Hominidae; genus Homo; species Homo sapiens. The sequence goes on from NC_000018.10 coordinate 11,667,180, forward strand.
CATTCAGACTCACGTTTGCATTAATGCTCTCTTTAGTAAGTTAAGAATTTTCCTTTTGCTTTTTTCCAGAAGGATGGAAAGAAAGGTGGACAGAAGGGCAGATACGCTTTATTTCTGAATTACAGCTCAAGATTCAGGTGCTTCATAGCCAGAAAACTCCCTAAAGTAGCTTAGATGGAAGTACAAAAGATACGATTTTTAAATCTGTCCTTTTCAGTTCAGTACAAGGAATATTAATTCTGCCTTTAACAGCACAGACCTAACTCTGTGTCCCAGGACTATCCAGCTCTCCCACCCCTAGGTCGGACCCCAGTCAGGTGGAGCATTTTGCTTTGGGAAATTTTATCTCAGGGATTCTTTTGTTTCTGGAGGACAGCTTTTAAAAATAGCCACATAAAATGAGGAAAATGACTGAAGTCACTGGCATTATGTCTGTCTTTTAGAAATAGTGTCATCATCACCTCAGTGCCACCCAGCACGTGAGGGGCTCACAGGCCAGAGATGCGTCACTTCTTGACCTGTACAGGTTTTATGTCTTGTTGGGGGCCTACAACCAAGCCTGACTTTATGCACCAGATCCCTCAGGTGGGACCCCCAGAAGTGCTCCTGATCTTTACTGGGGGCTTCGTGTCCCATCTGGGCCAGCCTGGGCCTTGCTTGGAAGTGTGATGTTGTAACATACCCTGGCAGAAAAAAAATAGGCAGTTATATCACGACTGACATAAAGGTGAGCTTTATTAAGTGCGCAAAAGAAAACACTTAGATTTGTTCACTCAGGCAAACGTCTGAGGACATACCATTTACACACTACTTTAAATTATAAAAGACTGGACCTGTCTTAGTGTTAACTATTTGCCTTTTACAAAAGTACTGTCCCAGACATTATCTCATTTGATCCCTGCAAAACCCTCCAAGAGAGAAGACAGTGCTGGGCTCCCCCTGCTCCTGTTTTGCCAGTCAAGATAGTGAGGTGGCCTGTCTAAGCCACTGTCATCAAAGCTGTGCAAACAGAGAGCTAAATACCAGCTCAGGGCCTGTGGCTCAGGAACCGTGGCTCTTTCACCTTCCCTTGATGGTCTTTGGGTGCGAGGGCCAGCACCAAACCTAAACATTTATAAGAAAATGCAACAATTCCTGTTGCAAAGAATATTTTGTTGAATGGGTTACTGCATCTCAGCAAACACACTTTGGGGAGTGACAGAACAAAATCAGAAACCAATGTGGAGCACAACATCAGGGTCCATGAGATATTAGACATCCATGCCTGAACCAGGGAGCACCTGTGCCTTCGGTAGACATCAGTTGTCGACAAAAGACATGTGATTCAGTAAAAATAAAGTTCAGTGGCGAAATGAATCCTGAAAATAATTTAGAGAAAGAGAAACTAGAGTGCTGTGTTTGGTAGCAACAAGTTTGTCAGCGGGGTCTGAGAGAGAGAGAGAGAGAGAGAGAGCTGTCAGTATGGAAAAGATTAGGCTAAAGAGCCAGAAATGCCAGGAGCCCCCAAAATCTGACTGGCCACTGTAGTTTCAGCATATAAAAGTCAAAGTCGCCAAAACTTTTAAGCCAGAGTCTGCTAACCAAATGTGACTGAGGCAGGAGTCTCAATCGATAGAGGTTTATTTAACCAGAGTTTGGGGATATGCCCAGGAAAAACATGAGTTAGAGGAGTATCTGTAATCCGAGCTTTCCAAAGAAGGTTGTGGAGACTCAGTATTTAAAGGGGAAAAAAAAACAGCAGGAAGGAAGGGAGGGAGGGAGTGGAGGCACTAAGACAAATGGCTACACTTCCTTGTGAGCAATTCGTGACAGAGGCCATGTGAGAACCTGGCTGATGGATGAGGCTATGACACAGGGTCGTGAAGTTGTAGCTGTCTGTCTGGGAACAAAAGAAAGGTGGTATTGTGTGACTCACTTCACAAGCTTAACTTTCCCTTTGGCATACTGAGTTTCGGGGTCCCAAGATTTTATTTTCTTCTACAAGACTAATTTGCACCTTCTGCAACACATGTACGCTAAGTGTGGATGAAAAACACAGAGCCTCTAACAGATTGTGAACAGACAAAGGCTCATACTTTATGATAAGGACTAGAAATAAATTAAGAGGATACAGAGCCAGAGCGTGGCAGGGAGGCACTGTGAGATAGGAAAATGAGAGGTCTTTTTGCTGAGCCCTAGACGACATCTGCAGGAGGCAGGAACTGACTGTGGGTTCTGAGGCAGGTGACCAGCCAGCAGGGCTGTGGAGCCTAAGGCAGGTGACCAGCCATGGCTGTGGGGTCTGGGGCGGGTGGCTGGCCACAGGCAGCACAGCAGGGCTGGCGGCAGACATGGCTTTCGTCTGTTTTCTAATTCTAACTGCTTTGTGGAGAGTAGATTGGAGTCAGGCAAGCAACCAAGAAAAACGGCCAGTGCGGCCCACTTGAGAGATGCCTTGGTCCAGCAGGGCTGTGAGAATGGGAGTGTGGGTGGTGGACCTGAGCCCCGGGGCCCCTTGGCCCTTTCCTCATTTCAGATGGGCTACTCAAGAGACAGAAGCCAAACACATTTGACAGACGCTGCCGCTCAGGCCCGGGATCTCCCTAGAGACACCGTCTTCTCCTTTTCTCCGCCAGCCGGCCAGGCTGGTCAGCAAGACCAGACTTGCTTCTGCTGGCTGAGGCTTGGCCACACCCTAAATGTGCAGAGTGCCAGCCTGATGTGGGAGAGGAGGGTGAACAGGGTGGACTGGGCCTCCAATGCCATGCCCTGCACTCTATCTCTGCCTGCTCCCTGCCTTTCAGGGCAACTGGAACCCACCCTGCAGGCTGGCCCCTCCGGCCCTCCTCATTTACACCAAACACGTGGCTGGGGAACCGTGAAGCATGAAGAGGAAGGAGTTCGACAGTTTGCCGCTCTCTGTACCTTCCCTCTCCCCCAGCCCCAGCCTGTGGCGTGCAGCCCTGCTGGCGCTAACCTTCCCTGGTTACTGTCCTCCCCTCCAACTGCTGCGGAACCAGCCTCTAACTGCCTGCACTTCCAACTGCCACTGACTCAGAACCTTCTCAGGGTTCTTGCTGCGATCCAAGCTGAGCTCAGCCCCTCCACCCGTCTTTTTCTTCTTACTCTCCTTGAGCTCTCTGGTCTCTGCCCAGACCTCGCTGGTTCTCTCAAGGTTTCTAACTGGGGCTGAGGGCTGGCAGTCATCTTCACGTGCGGATCTTGAGCTTTCTCAACACCCAAGCCTTTTGAATACCCACCGAAATACGCTGTCAAAAACAGCTCAGGACCACACGACAATCTCTTAAAAAGAATATTTTGCTACGGAAGCAGAAAATCAAATTCTCACATCAAATATCACACATTGTCACGTAAAGGTGCTCTGAAGCCAGCTCTGCCCTGGATGGCTGCCCTCTCCCTGCCGAGCTCACTGGGCTTCCTGCTGGCCTGGGTCCTATATCATTTCATCCTCCCCCCAGATACCACACTCTCTCCTCTTCATAGCCAAATTTCTTGAAAAGTTTGCTAATTGTTAGGCGCTATTAATATATTTTATCACTTTGGGACGTAGCTCTGAGCAGCTCATTCTAAGACTCTGTTGGCGCTCTTTGTATTGTCAAGCTCTGTAATACACAATGGTGCTACAAAGACAAATTTAGACACAACACCTTTAAGGAATTCCGAGGGACCTAGGCAAAGTGCTCTGTGAAAACACAGAAGGAAGCAACCAGCAGCCTAGAAAGGTCTGGAGGGTCGTCTAAAGAAAAGGGGCTTGAGTTAAATTGGGAAGCATGAAGAGGAAGTCCCCAAGAAAGAAACTGGGAAAGACAACAATGATGGCTCTCACTGTGAAGACAGTGGAGTGTCTATCAGACAGCAAGGCCGAGATCACGGCTGGCTTCAGAAGGGCCTGCAGCCGCCACCTGGAAACCCCCAGCACTGTCCAGGTCTTGCCTCTGCTCCTCTTTGAGCATGCATTTCCTTCTTTTCTCTCCATGACCGGGGCGTCCCCTGATGCCCCTGGGCTGCCCCACAGCTCCTGAGTCTGCACATCACGTGCCAAAACAGAGGAGGAATGGCTTTCTTGATACTAATTCTTGTACCAAGAATGATTCATCTACAGTCAAGGTTCCACCCTGACCCGATTAAGTATGGCTAAGGGGATGGAGTCAGCATGAACACGCCAGCCGGGCCCACACTGGTAGAGGGGTATTGTGGCCTCCAAGTGAGGCAGGCAGTGGGCTGAGCCCACCCATCAGAGATGGATAATAGACTGGAGCTACCACAGAGCAGGTTTTGATTTTAAGTCTTTGCTCCTATAATAAGCTATCTCTGAACCGGGAGAAACAAACTCCCTCTTGCGCTTGGGTCTTTGCCACTAGGCTCTCTGGGAACCACTAAAGTAAGAATGAGCTGTGTATCTGTACAGATCCGGAGGCTCGGCCCTCCCTGCCTGCCTCCTGGGTGTCTGGTTTGATGCCTGGGTCCAGATGTGGGGGGCAAGGGACAGCTTTGGCCTTAGCCCCTGAAGGTTCTCTGAAAAATAACGGACATGAGGCAGATTGATTAACAGGAGAAAATGCATACAAATGTACTTAACGCGTACCCACAGGAGCCTTCAGAATGAAGTCCCAACCCCCCAGTAAGGTATAGAAGTTTCTAGACCATCTTGAGGTTATAGAAAGAACACAGGCTCAGCGCATGACCAAAACCAGGTTTTAGAGGCAGGACAGGTTATGGCCAGCAAAGGCGGTCTAGATGAAGCCCCTCATAATACAGCCCCAGAGGAAATAGATGGTAAATGTTCCCTTTCAGACCTTTGGAAGTGTCAGAGTCTCAGTCTCTCTTAGATTGAGGAAAGGCCTAGAAAGGGAAGGCCTGGCTGCAACAATGGAGATTCTCTACAGACGCAAATTTCTCCCACAAGACAGCTTTGCAGGGCCATTTCAGTCTGCTGGTCCTACGGCAGCCATTTCAAAAGAAGTCAAAGAAATATATTTTGGGGCAAAATATTTTGACTTTCTTCAATGGTCAGTCACTCATTTGGTGGTGCTGTTGTTCCTAGGACTGGGAGCCCTCCCAAACTCTTCCTAACACCACCTCCATAGAGGGAGCTGCTGCCATGAACAGAGGCGCCCATGCTGACCAAAGCAGTGCCGGGCTTCCGCAGACAGCACTGCCGGGAATCTCCCTCAACCATTTCCAACACTGGATGGGTGCTGTGAACTGGACAGCTGCCAGGATGTTGCCAAAGCCTGCCACGCCCAGTGGACCCACTGTGTTTCTGATGCAGACGACCCTGTCTCTGTCCTGGAGTCACGCGGGACCAAGCTGTGCAGCTGCTTTTCCAATACTTTTAGGGAGTGGGCTCCACCTTGCTCCTTTCCCCATGCATGGCAGGGTGCATTCCTAAAACTGAAGCCTATCTGAATTCCCACAACACCCCTGACACGTAGGTACTCCAGGTAAAACTGTAGGCTTTACTCATGCCACATGTAATGGGTACTGACCCCCAACACATTAGAGTGGGTGCCCAAGGGATAAATGGTAGTAGGGGCTGGGGATAAAGCAAGAAAGATGAGAAATGAGGTGTAGGGGTCTTGCACAGACCAGGGATGATAATGGGCCAAGAACCAAAGAGTATGAATAATTCAGCCTCATCTTCCTGGGGCTACCCCAGCAGAGTTGTTGTCTCTGCTCTGACCATATCCTACATAGGTCTGTCCCCAGCTTCTGCAACCTTCTGAGACTATGCTAAGAAGCCCCTTCAGCTAAGGAGCCCTTTGTGCTGAGAGCTGGCAGTACCTGGGAGCGTTTGGCCCCATAAGCAGCCCGCAGCCAGTGGTGATGACCAAGGTGTGCAGGTGTGCAGGTGTGCAAAAGCCCCGCACCAGGACTGCAGAGGAACTTGGGCCCCAGGGCTCCCTGCGGACCCGCGGCAGCTGACACTGCACTTGTATCAACCTCCTGACTTGGCTCCTTCCCAGCTGGTGTCACCTACTCTCCGATTTCTCCTGGGGGAACTTCCTTAACATATCATTTGCACCTAAGACTCTGTCTCTGGTGTGCTTCTGAGGAAAGCCACCTAAAACTATTTCCAGGATGAAAAAAAACTAAAATTGCTATCACCAACCTCATGCATGCAAAGAATAAAATGTACTTTCCTATAACTCCACCAAATTTAGGTTTAGAGACCTCATCTCCCCCACACTGAATGAACTGTTCAGCCAATTACAGGTCTGTTCCCAACGGTATGCTGGCAAGCCAGGATCTCCAGGGAGGAAAAGAGGAGAAAAGAAAAAACCCTTATTTCTAATATTTCCTAATTTCCATGATGTAAATACTCCCACCTGTGGCCAATCCCAAGCTACAAATATGATGTCCCTGCACTGGGGCAGGGTGGCATAGAAAAAGTTGCAAATGCCAGGCCCTTGCAAGCCCGGGGAGCCTGCCATAGCACAGCACCTTCCCTCGCCAGCCCCTCCCTGGGGATTTGTCTAAGCTGCTGTGAGCCATGATGCTGGCTGTGATGACCGTCCATTTCGAGTCCCCTGCCCACAGGGTCTTTCCTCATGCGTGGCCACATGGCCCCTCAGGTCTGATGGTGCTGTCTGCTACTTCCATGACACGTGGGCTGTCAGTGACTCTGTTTTCAAATCGCAGCAAGAGCTCGTAGTCTTTTCCCTCTAGGTCTTCCTGCAGTGCTGGTGTTGCACCCAGGAAGCAGGGCACGTCACCTTCTTCCTCTCCTTCCCCACACTTGAAGAATCTGCTCTGGGGATGGGTGGCCAGATAGGGTGGGGGATGCCCCACTCTCCTTGTGAATGCTTCTCAGCTCTCTTCTCAGCACTTTGCCCAGTCACTTCTTCCTTTGGGAGACCATAATTAAAATAACTTTCATTCATTCACTGCTAGACACTCAGGTTTACAGTGAATTAGAAAAAAAGCTTCCTACTTCCAAGGAGCTTGGGTTTAGTTCCTGTTCCCTGTTCAAGAGTTTCAGCCATGCTAAAAGCCACTTACTGCTTGGGAAAGCTTTCCAGGCAGAGAAAATGGCAATTGCAAAGGCACAGAGGCAGAAACCGACCTGGTATTTAAGGAAAAGAAAGAAAGTCTGAGAGAGTGATGGAGACATTTTGCAAGGGGAGTGGCAGAGTGGCATGAATCAGAGACGGGCAGAACCAGAGCTTCAGGGTGCGCAGTCTGGGGAGAGGAGGCAGGGTTGTCATTCCAACTGCAAAAGGAAACAAAGGTTTAGAAGATGTAGAGTGACATCATTGTATTTATATTTTTAAAAGATTACTGAAGCCACTTTGTACTGGAAGCAGGGAAATCATTTGGATTAAGTTCCTACAGAAAATCAAGTGCAACGAGGTAGCCATTTGAACGAGGGTTGAGGGAATGGTGACAGCACTGGGAGTATCTGAAATGCAGACTGAAGGTGGAAGTGACAGGACTTGATCACTGAGTTGATGTGGAGCAAGAGAAAGAGAAAGGAAGCCTCCCAGTTGTTTGGCTGGAGCCCTGGATGGGCCGTGGCGTCCTTCTCTGAGTTAGGGAAGAGAGGAAATGGAATCGAGTTGCTGGGGGCAGTATGAATCCACTTTGCACAGGTTAAAACAAGACGCCCATTAAACACCCAAAAGGAGATGTCAATTAATGAAGTATAGGAGCGTGGAACCCAGGGGAAGACATGAGGACTACAGATGGAAACATGGGGTCACCAATGTGTGGGCAGAGTGTCTTTTACAAAGCAGAAGGAGTAAAGCAAGAAAGAGAAATCCACAGCAGCAGAATATACGGGATCCTCTCTAACACAGGAATGACACCACACTCAGCAATGGCTCTTCTTGGTATTTACCAAAATGAGTTGGAAAGCCATGTCTACACAAAAGCTCTCACACAGTGTTTACAGCAACTTTATTCATAATCGCCAAAATATGGAAGCAATCAAGATGCCCTTCCATACGTGAATGGCAAACTGTGGTACATCCAAATAATGGAATATTACTCAGCTCTAAAAGAAATGAGGTATCAAACCAAGAAAAGACATGGAAGAACTTTAAATGCATATTGCTGAGTGAAAGAAGTCACTCTGAAAAGGCCACACACTGTATGAAACCAATTCTACGACCTTCTGGAAAAGGCAAACCTGTGGAGACAGTAAAGGATCAGTAGTTGCCAGGGGTTGGGGGAGGAGGTGATAGGCAAGGCAAGGAGGACTTTTAGGGCAGTGAAACTATTCTGTATGATACTTTAATGATGGATGTGTGTCATTATAAATTTGTTCAAGCCCAGGACCAAGTGTGGCTCATGCTATAATCCCAGCATTTTGGGAGGCCCAGGCAGGTGGATTACCTGAGGTCAGGAGTTCGAAACCAGCCTGGCCAACATGGTGAAACCCCATCTCTACTAAAAATACAAAAATTAGCTGAGCGTGATGTCAGGCGCCTGCAATCCCAGTTACTAGGGAGGCTGAGGCAGGAGAATCACTTGAACCTGGGAGGTGGAGGTTGCAGTGAGCTGAGATCATATCACTGCACTCCAACCTGGGCGACTGACCGAGACTCAGTCTGAAAAAAAAAAAAATTTTTTGTTCAAGCCCATAGAATGTACAATGCCAAGAGTGAACCCTAATATAAACCATGGAATCTAGGTGACAATGGTGTATCAATGTAGGCTCATCAGTGGTAAGAAATGAACCACTTAGCTGGGGATGTTGGCAGGGAGGGAGGCTGTGTATGTGTGGGGTGGGGTGTGTGCGAACTCTCTGTACCTTCTGCTCAGTTTCACTATGGACCTAAAACTGCCCTAAAAAACAAAGTCTGTTTTTTTAAATTAATTCATTTAAGCCAATAATACTGCTTCTAGCAACATTTGCTAAGGAAAACATCAGAATGAATAACAAAAATAACGTATGTCTAATGATGAAGTGTTATGTAATAATTAATTTTTGTGTTTTCAACCATGTAATAAAATAGGAAAAAAAGATGGAAAAGGAGTGAAAATATCTAGGCTGAGGCCATTTCCTTGTGAAGAGAGAGCCCCAACAATTTTCATTAACAGACGGAGGGCACCACCCATCCAGGTGGGAGCAGATGGAAACCGAGAGCCACTTCTGAAAGAAGACAAAATTGATCATGCAAATGGATTTGAATGTGATCAGAGGAGATACTTACGCTGGTGGAGGGAGCGGGGCAGAATGTGGAGTGGAATTAGTAATAAGAACATAGAAAACCAGTATAGACAAAAGGGATTACTTACTCAGAGGAAACGTAACAGTATGTAGAAGTGGAAAAGCGATTCTGTTTTACTAACTGGCTGACCGGTAAATGTGATTTACCTAGTCATAATAAATACCAAATGGTGATGTAAGTTTCAGTGACACTCTCTTGGGATTTCTGAGAGGGCATGACAAGGGAGTGTGACGTGAAGGGTCGGGTTTGGCGTGGAGGGTGAGCAAGAGGTGATAACGGGAGCTGAATTCCCATCTTCCCTAATGGGAGGCCCAAAGATTATGCCTGAAACGGAATAATCGAGATGTAGGAATGTCAACATGGAAATCGGAAGAATAAAATAATTTTTTTAAAAAGAAGAGCTAAGAAAGTTGAAATTGGTTGCTTCCTGAGAGTAAGAAATGGGTGGGAAGACTGGCAGAGGAAAGCTAGTTTCTCATACACATTAGAGAATAATTTGCCTCTAAATGATATGTATATAACTTTAAGAAAAATAAAACTGAACAAAAAGAGAAGTTTCTGAGAGATGATGTGTCATACACAGCACTATAGCTGACAAGCACTGGTATCTACTGACAAGCACTGGTATCTACTGAGTGCCTAGTGTGTGCTGGGCAATGTTCCAGGCACTAGAAATACACCAGTGAGTGGTCAGACACACACACACACCCTTCCAAACACGTACATGCCCATAGGTTATCCAGCAGCCCACCACGTGTAGCGTGAGTCATGACATTGGGTGCTCACAGCAGGAGGCTGGTGTGTGATGCGAAGTGACCAGAATGGGAGCCAAGAGATCTGAAAATTGTGAGACGCGTCAGGCTTCATCAGCTTGTCCAAATGCTGCTGCTCTGTTTCAGTTGTTAAATAATTATTTTCATCACAACCATGATATTTAAAAATATATTCACAGTTCACTGTTTACACAGTTAAACTTTATGCCCAGTAATTCATTTAATACCTCATTTTCTGAGTACTGTGCTAAAGTATCTCCCTGAGCAATTCACCATGATGATCTTGGATTAGATAAATGAAATTACCAGAAAATGTCTCGTGTAAATTTCATTTTTTGCAATATTTTATCAATCGTTAAAGGAGCACATAGTTATTAAGCTCTCCCTTTACTTCCTGAGTTCCTTCTTACTGGAGGTGTAGCATTTGGGTGGTTGTTTTTAGTTTTCTTATTGGTGTTTTTCTGGCAGAGTCCGAGTAGAAAAAAAAAATCCAGAATCTAAGTCCACGTCCACAAGCGAACTATGTGGGGTACTACACTAGAACATAAAGCTATTTTGCGCAAGAAATATTAGCGGCTTTACAATTAGAATTAAATAGATTACATTCCATTTTTTAAATTTTTAACTGGCACGAATTTATGTATGTATAGGGTACAATGTGATGTTTTGATTTTTGTTTACATTGTAGAATGATTAAGTCAAGCTAATTAACATATACATCACCTCCTATACTTACTAGTTTTTTTTGTGGTGAAAACATTTGAGAATCTACTTTCATGCCACATAAGGAAGGCTTAGCCACAGCTGCTCTTATGCTGATGTAGGATGCCCTGTGACTCTCCTGGAGTGTTATGAGGAGTTGCTCTCAGGCCATTTCTCACCTACCTTCTATCTCACAGAAACTATCTCTGAGACAGTTTGCATCTCTTCCTCCTGAGTCCTGATGCAGTCTGACGATTTTGGGCTTGCCTTCTCCCGCACGGTCTAGCCGTAGACTATGACACTGTTAGTGACAGCATGAAATTAACTCCTTGGCCACGGGCGCTGCACCACTCGTGTTACATTGTCACCTGCCCCTGATGTTCTGGTATTGTCTCTTGTTCTGGTGTTGGGACAAGGGATGTCGTGAGTCATCACCTTTGCTATTCTTGATGTTGTGGTCCATGTAAGTCATAAAAGAAAAAAGAATCTACTCTTAGCAATTTTTAAATATAAAATACAGTATGGAGTTTCCTCAAAAAACTAAAAATAGAATTGCCATATGTTCCAGCAATCCCTCTACTGGGCATGTACGCAAAGGAATTGCAATCAGTATGTTGAAGAGCTGTCTACACTCCCATGTTCACTGCAGCACTACTCACAGTAGCCAGGTTATGGAAACCAGTGTCCATCAACGGATGAGTGGATAGAGAAAATGTGGTGTGTATACACAATGTAGTACTATGTGTATATTCAAATTTTTAAGGGTGCATAAAAACTGCCTTCAAGATGGAAAGCTCCTCCATGTCCACGTGCACCTGGGTCAGGTTGGGGACAGCCCTCATGACAGCAATCTGGCCATGGCTGTGAGAAGCATTCTGGGTCAGGTCAGTCAGTCTCTGTCCATTGACCCACAATGGGAACCAGATGCATTCTCAACTCACCAAAGACTCCCTGCAGGGGTCCAGCAGGGCCTCACTCACTTCCCAGATGGAAATGCCCTCTCAAAGTGCCTTCCCAGGGAACTCTTCAAGCACAGCTCAGCTCAACTATTCTCCAAATCAGTGTCCTCAGATTGTTCTGTTCGCTCAATCAGAGAGAAAATATTTCAGTCCCAAAACTTCATGTGTGTATCTTTCCTTATCAACTGTACTAATTAACATATCATTATCATTATGAAACATACACACAGGACGTAGGAAATGAATCTAGATAAAATATGTACTTTTTAGAGAGAGATGTACTTGTTTTTTTGTCTGAAATCTCAGGAAACCACGGTGCACACTCCCTGAGAGTATTTACTCACGCCTCAGAATCCCTCAGCTACCTGAACCATGGGAAGAAGTAAATATATCCCTCCTGGGTCTTGGGTTCACCTCAGTGCCTTCCTCTGCACTGATGGAGACATGGAATAAGCCAATGCCTACACTGTCTGTGGCTTGAACGAGATATCTCTGTATGCAAGAATTACCTATAATCCCACTGCTAAGACACAACTCTGCTTATACTTTAGAATGCAGTTTTTCAGTGACTTTCTACACATCAATATGTTTCTTTTCAAAATGTTCTGTTTTAAAGTTCCTTTTGGAGAGCTGGGCATGATGGCTTATGCCTGTAATCCCAGTGCTTTGGGAGGCCGAGGGGGAAGGATAGCTTGAGGCCAGGAGTTCAAGGCTGCAGTGAGCTACGATTGAGCCACTACATTCCAGCCTGGACAGCAGAGCAAAACCCTATCTCTAAAAACAAAACAAAACAATGGCTGGGCGTGGTGGCTCATGCCTGTAATCCCAGCACTTTGGGAGGCTGAGGTGGGTGGATCACCTGAGGTCGGGAGTTCGAGACCAGCCTGACCAATATGGAGACACCTCGTCATCTCTACCAAAAATACAAAATTAGCCAGGCGTGGTGGCAGGCGCCTGTAATCCTAGCTATTTGGGAGGCTGAGGCAGGAGAATCGCTTGAACCTGGGAGGCAGAGGTTGCAGTGTGCAGAGACTGCACCACTGCCCTCCAGCCTGGGCAACAAGAGCAAAACTCCGTCTCAAAATAATTAATTAATTAATAAAATTCCTTTTTTCATTTATCACAAATATTTTCCATGCCACTAAATTTTCAACATTCTTTGTTACCATAATGTTGCATAATTTACTTAATTTTTTATACTTTATGGTTTTTAAATGTTCTATTGTGGACATTTTCAAACATAAATAGGATAGTTTAATGAACCCAAATGCATTCATCACTCACCTTCAACAATTTTAAATGTTCTGCTATATTTATCCCTAACTCTACCCACTTCCCACACCCCACTAAAGTTTAGTTGTTTTAGGTAAAATTTACATATACTGCAATGCACACATCTTAGTTGTACAGTTTGGGAAAATAGATAAATCAGAGTAACCCACATCTGTATCAAATAGTGAACATTTTTCACCTCCCCTAAAGTTCATTCATAGCACTTTTCATTCAGTACCATGCACCAGAGGTAACCATTGTTATAATTTCTTTTCAACTTGAATTAATTCTGTTCCAGAACTACATATAAGTGGAGTATGCACTCTTTTGTGTTGGTTATTTTACTCAGTATAACATTCGTTATACTGAGTATATAACATCTGAGATTTATTTACATTGTGAAATGTATTAGTCGTTTCTTCTTATTCACTTGCATTTTGCTGATGACTAAAGATGTTGATCACATCATTTGCTCATTGGTCAATCATATACCTTCCTTTGTGGAGTGTCTGTCCAAATTCCTTATTCGTGTTTGAGTTCTCTTATTTTCATTGGTTTATAGGAGTTCATTGTGGGTATAGGTATTGCAAATACTTTCTATCTATTCATATTAGTAGCATATTTTAACATGCCATTTTGAATTTTATGAAGTCAACTTTATCAGCTTTCCTTGAATGGTTAATTTTTCTGTCCCATCAAAGAAATCTTTGCCTCTCTTAATGTCACAAAAAATATTCACCTATGTTTTCTTCTAAAAAAAGCTTCATAGTTTTAGATTTTATCGTTAGGTCTGTATTCAATTATTATTTGTGTGTGATATGAGGTGGGAGACAAGGTTTGCTTTTTTCTAATGTGTATATCCAGTTGTTCCATCATTGTTTGTTGAGAAAACTTCCATTAAGTTATTTTGGCACCTTTGTTGACATCCAACAGACCATGCTAGTGTGGGTCTATTTCTGCATTCAGTTGTGTTTCATTGATCTGTTTGCCAATTCTTATATATCACACTATCTTGATTACTGTGGCATTATAGTGAACTTTAAAGGAAGGTAATGGAAGTCCTCCAGCTTTGGTCTTCATCAAAATTCCTTTGGATATTTTAGGTCGTTTGCATTTCCACATAAATTTTAAAATCCACTTTTCAATTACTATGAAAAAGCCTTCTGGGATAACAATTGAGATTGCATTGAACCCATAGGTTAAATGAGAAAGTAAGCACCCTAACACATTGAGCCTTCAATCCATCACAGCTCATACCCCTCCATTTGTTTAGGTCTTTAATTTCTCTCAGCAATGTTTTGTAGTTTTCAATATAGAGGTTTTGCACATCTTTCATCAAATTTATTCCCAAGTATTTCACGGTTTGGGATTCTATTGTGATGAAGATTTTAAAATTTCATGTTCCAATTGTGTTGTTGTTGTCTTTTAGTATATAGCAATATAATTTATTTTTGTGTACCTTGTATCCTGAGACCTAGCTAGACTCACATATTAGCTCTAGAATGCCTTTGAGATTATTCCTTAGTATTTCCTATATAAACAATATGTCTTTTGGGAATACAGACAATTTTACTTTTTCATTTCCAATCTTTACACTTACAAATTCATTCTCTTGCCTTATTGAAACAACTAAGACCTCAAGTGTAATGTTAAATTAAAAGGTTGAGGGGCCAGGTGTGGTGGCTCACATCTGTATCCCAGTGCTTTGGGAGGCCGAGGCAGGAGGATCGCTTGAGGCCAGGAGTTTGAGACCAGCCTGGGCAACATAGTGAGATCCTGTCTCTACAAAAAAAGAAAAAAGAAATTTGTTTGAATTAGCCAGCATGGTGGCGTGCGCCCGTAGTCCTAGCTACCCAGGAGGCTGAGGCAAGAGGGTCACTTGAGCCTTGACATTAGAGGTTATAGTGGGCTATGCTCATACCACTGCACTCCAGCCCGAGTGACACAGAAGAGAGACCTTGTCTCTAAAAAAAAGAAAAGTGATGAGAACAAACATCCTTGCTACCAATGTTAGGAAGTTTTCAGCATTTCACTATTAATTAATGAAGTTAGCTGCAGGATTTTAGTGACTGTCCCAATATCAGAAGTTTATTTCTGTTTATAGTTTTTTCTAAGAGTTGGAGTTTTTTCACAACTTGATATGGACTTTTTTCAAATGCCTTTTCCACATCTATTGAAGTAACTATGTCATTTCTTGTTAGCATAGTAATGTGGCGAATTGCACTGATTAACTATTAAATATGAAATCAACCTGGCATTATGGGGATAAATCCCACTTGGTTATAACATATTATTTTTCTACATTGTTGGATTGAATCATATTTTAAAGATTTTTTTTTGCATCTATGTTAATGAACCATCTTGGCCTAAAATTTTCTGATTTTGTATTTTATGTCAAGTTTTTGTGTTAATATTGTGTTGGCCTTAAGTCACAGAGTATTTTTTTTTCTTCCTGTGTATTCTGAAAGAGTTTGCATAAGATAGGTAATATTTCTTCCTTAACTGTTGTATAGAATTCATCAGTGAAATAATCTATACCTGGAGTTTTCTTTGTGAGGGCACTTTTAAAGCAACTCTAATTTCTTTACTATATATACCACTATTCAGGTTTTCTGTTTTTTTCTTGTACTAGTTTTGGTAAGCTGTATTTTTTCATTTGTTCATTCCATCTAAGTTGTCAAATGTGTTGACATAAAGTTGTTTATAATCTTCCCAGGTTATGATTTTGATACAGAGAGACTCTATAACACTATACCCTCTTTTAAACCTAATACTGGTAATTCGTGTTTCTTTCTTGTTAGAGATTTATTCATTTTGTTAAACTTTTCAAAGAATAATATTTTGCTTTCCTCATTTCCTCCTGGTTTGTTTTCAATTTCTTTGATTTTTGCTCTTCATTATTTCCTTTCTTCTTATTTTGGGTTTAATTTCTTGTCTTTTTCTAGACTCTTAGGGTGGAAATGAAAATCAATTATTTTAAGGCTTTCTTCCTTTTGAATGTAAGCAATTAAAGCTATGAATGCTACATCTAAGAACTGCTTTAGCTACATCTCACAAATTTTGATATGTGTTATTTTCGCTGTCATTAAGTTTGAAATACTTCTCATTTCCTTGTTATTTCTTCCTAGAATCACAGTTTATTTAGAAGTTTATTGTTTAATTTCCAAATATCTGGGGACTTTCTACATACTTTGCTGTTATTCTCATTTAATCCCATTGTGGCCAGAAAGCATGCTCGAAGATGCTCAGTATTTTATAATTTGTTGAGACTTACTTTTGGCCCGAGGTCTGCTCTATCTTGGTGAAAATTCCACATCAACTTGGGAAGAGCATTTTGTCCTTGTTAGGTGTAGGTTTCTATAGATATCAGTTCATTAGAGGTGGCTTATACTTCAGACCTTCTGGTTTTTTAAGCATGTTAAAAGATCCAGCTAGGACTGTGGATTTGTTTGCTTCTCCCTTTTGTTCTTTCAGATATTATATTTTGAATTGCTGTATACACATTTATATTTGTTATGTCTTCCTGATGTTCTGACCCTTTTCGACATGATGAACTAGTCCTCTCTGTTCTCAATAAACCTCTTATCTTGCAGCCTATTTTGCTTGATGTTAATATAGACACTCTAGGTTTCTAACGGTTGATGGTTCCATGTGTAGTGGGTTAAATAGTGCTCCTCCATAATTCACTTCCACCTGGAACCTCAGAATGTGACCTTATTTGTAAATCATATTTGTAGATTGTAATTAAAGTAAGGATCAAAATGAGATCACATTGGATTAGGATGAGCTCCACATCCAATAAGACTGAACTTATAAGGACACACAGGGACAGAAGAAAGAAGGCCATGAAAAGACAAAGCAGAGATTGGAGTGATGCTGCCACAAGCCAAGAAGGGCTAGGAGCCACCAGAGGCTGAAAGAGGCCAAGAAGTATCCTCCTCTAGAGGTTTCAGAGGGATGTGGCCTTGCCAACACCTTGACTTTGCCTTCTGGTGTCTAGAACTGTGAGATAATGAATTTCTGTTGTTTTAACCTTCTCAGCTTTTAATTTCTGACCACAGCCCTAGGAAATTAATACAGCATATACCTTAGTAAGTTTATGCTACAACATAATATCACGGACTGAGTGACTTAACAATTTATTTTACCTCAGTTCTAGAAGCTGCCAGTCCAAGATCAGAATGCCAGGTGGCTGTCCTCTGGTGGGGTCCTCTTCCTGGTGAGTAGATGGCCACCTCACTGTGCCCTCACATGGCAGGAACAGTGTAAGCAAGCTCTCTGGTGTCTCTTCTTATAAGGGCACTTATCCTATCACAGGGCCCCACCCGCAGGACTTCACCTAAACCTAATTACCTCCCAAAGGCTCCATCTCCACAAACCATCACACTGGGGGCTAGGACTTCAACATATGAATTTGAAAGAGACACATTCAGTCCATAATACCATGGTATATATTTTCATTCTTTTTACTACTAACCTACTTGTGTCTGTATTTAAGGTGTGTTCCTTATAAACAGCACTGAGTTGGGTCTTTTCTTTTTAATGCACTCTGACATTCTCTGGTCCTTTATTTTGGGGGCGGCAGCAGTTAGTCCACTTATATTTAATTATAGTTGAATTTAAATCTGCCACTTTGATATTTGTTTCCTATTGAGTTCATTTGTTTGTTTCCCTCTGCTCCTCCTTTCTTTGGGTGTAATTGAAGCTTTTTGGTATTTCAGTTTTATTTCCCCATTGGCTTTTAAGACACACTACTTTGCATTATTTTTTAGTGGTTGCTGTAAGGCTGCATTTTACCAAATGATAGCTACTAACTAATGTGGCTATTTAAATTTAAAATTTAAGCTAATTAAAATTATACAAAATTAAAATTTAGTTCCTTAGTCACAAAACCCACATTGCAAGTGTTCAATGAATATGTGTGACTAGCGGCTATCTTATATATGACAAAGCAGTTATAGACTATTTCTAACACTGCAAAAAGTTGTATTGGTGATTTATCACAATCTACTTACAGTTAATATACTATTTAACACAAAATATTGGGATTTTGTGAGCATATAATTCCTTTACCCCCATCTTTTGCAATGCTTTCATATATTTCGCATATATTTCATCTATATACATCATAAGCCCACAATACTAATATTTTTTCTTGAAGAGAAATATGATTTTTTAAGTTTAAAAGGAAAGAATATGGCTAGGTGCGGTGGCTCAGGCCTGTAATCCCAGCACTTTGGGAGGCCGAGGCGGGTGGATCACAAGCTCAGGAGATCGAGACCATCCTGGCTAACATGGTGAAACCCGTCTCTACTAAAAAATACAAAAAATTAGCCGGGCGTGGTGGCGGGCGCCTGTAGTCCCAGCTACTCGGTAGGCTGAGGCAGGAGAATGGCGTGAACCCGGGAGGCGGAGCTTGCAGTGAGCCAAGATCTCACCACTGCACTCCAGCCTGGATGACAGAGCGAGATTCCGTCTCAAAAAAAAAAAAAAAAAAAAAGGAAAGAATACATATAGTTTTTATATTTACCCACATATTTACCATTTCTGCTGATCTTTATTTTTCCCCTAATCTGATACCATCTTTTGACATATATCCCCTAAAGAGCTCCATTTATCATTTTTCATAGTGTGGGTCAACTGAAGACAAATTCTCTCAGATTTTTATCTTATTTTTTACCTTTATTATTGAAATATAACTTTGCAGCATGTAAAATTCTAGGTTAATCGTTGTTTTTCAGCAGTTCAACTGTGTCGTTCTAGTGCCTTTTGGCCTTTATTGTTTCCAGTAAAAAGCTAACATTATTCATATGTTGTTTATCACACATAATGTCTCTTTTTTCTTCAGCTGCTTTTATAATTTTCTCTTCATATTTGGAGTTCAGCAATGTTACTATATGTACATAGGTCTGATTTTCTATGTATTGGTCCTGCCTGTGGTTCATTGGGTTTCTTGGATTTATAAATTGTCTTTTACCAAGTATCAGAAATTTGAAGCCACTATTTCTTCCAAAATTTTCTTTTTCCTCACTTCCTAAGACTCTGCACTTATATTAGACGAGATTATATTGACCAACAGGTCTCTGAAGATCTGTATGTTTTTCTTCCACTGCTTTTCTTCCATCTTTTTTCAGATAGGATCATTTCTATTGATCTATTTTGTAGTTCCTCAATTTATTCTGTCTTCAGTCTGCTGTTAGGCACCTCCAGTGAATTTTTCCTTCAGTTATAGTAATTTTCAATTTCAGTATTTCCATTTATTTCTTGTTATGCTTCAATTTCTTGCTGAGATTCTCCATTTGCTCATTTATTATGTGTATCTCTTCTTTTAAATATGTGAACATATTTATAATAGCTGCTTTAAAATCCTTGTCTGCTGATTGTTACGGTTGAGTCATCTAGGCATCAATTTACATCAAATTTTGTGGGTCATATTTTCCTGTTTCTGTGCATGTCTAGTGTGCTTTTTGTTTGACACTGGACATTATGAATGATATGTTGTAGAGACTTGGAGTTCTGTTTTATTTCTCTAATGAATGATTTTTGTTTTCTTATTATAAAAAGTTCACTTGGCTTGACTCAGACTCCAAACTCTGTCTCCCCTAAAGTGAGAAGCACCTGAAATCTTTGTTCTTTTAGCTTTTCTAGTATTTTGTCAGGCCACTGAGGTCTCCCCCATCCATTGTTGTTCAGTGATCTGCCAAAGATTTGAGTAGATTTGATATACAAATGTGAGGGGGTCACACCTCTGAAGTTTCTTTCCTTCTAGGATTTCACTGCTAATGGTCTGGTTTTTCTCCCAGCTCCAAATTGTATTCTGTGACATTTCAAGTCAGAAAGTACAGCCAGCTTCATGGGCCTGTGACCTGCAAATTCATACAAGGGCCACACACATGGTTTAATGTTCTGCTATCACTGTCTTGAAATTATTATTCAATGAGGGGCCACATTTTAACTGACGTACTTAAGTATAAAAATCCACTCTAGGCCTGGTGTGGTGGCTCACGCCTATAATCCCAACACTTTGGGAGGCCAAGGTGGGAGGATCCCTTGAGCCTAGGCGTTTCAGATCAGCCTAGACAACATAGTGAAAACTCGTCTTTACTCAAAATAAAAATTAAAAAAATTAGCCAGGCCTGATGGTGCACACCTGTAATCCTGGCTATTCTGGAAGCTGAGGCAGGAGGATTACTTGAGCCCAGGAGTTCTATATTGCAGTGAGCTATGATCATGCCACTGCATTCCAGCCTGGGTGACAGAGAGAGATCCTGTCTTAAAAAAAAAAATCCATAAAATATTTGTTTTCATTTTCAGCTGACTTTAGTATACAAAATATTATCCTTCTTGTATGATATTGATAAAGTTTAGCTAATAAGTTATAATAGAAAAGCAATTGCTGTAAGTCTCTTGGGTCTCAGTTTCTTCAAAAGCCTTTCCTGCCTCACACACTACTCTTCCCCATCTCGATTTAAACAGGACCTTCCTTTATACTCTGAGAATCCTGTTTTTTCCCTTCATGGCATTAGCGTAATTTACAATTAATATATTTACCTGTGTTTTTATGATTGAGTATATTTCTACCTCATTAGTCTATAAATTCCATGAGGACCCCTGTCTTTGCCTCACCCAGCACCAACAAGAATGCCTAGGGTACTGTAGGCACTTAATTAAATGGATGAATGGATAAATGGATAGATGGATGAGTGAATGAATAGCGAAAATGACAGTGATATTTAGTAACTTTTTCTATTTTCCCAAGTTAGATTTTCTATAGTCCTCCTTTCTTTTGCTCAAATATCTAAAAGTATGCCATAATTTTAGCAAAATTTGGGGAACAATGTTAGGTCAAAAGTAGTACATGTATGCACATTTGTTATCAGTAGGACCCCCAAAAGAAATGTGAATGCCGGATCTCCAACTTCTTGATTTAAAAATGTAATCCAGGCCCGGCGCGCTGGCTCACGCCTGTAATCCCAGCACTTTGGGAGGCAAGGTGGGTGGATCCCTCGAGGTCAGGAGTTCGAGACCAGCAGCCTGGCCAACATGGTGAAACCGTCTCTACTAAAAATTCAAAAAAAAAAAGAAAAAAAGAAAAATTAGCTGGGAGTGGTGGTGGGTGCCTGCAGTCCCAGCTACTCGGGAGGCTGAGGCAGTAGAACCACTGGAACCGGGGAGGCGGAGGTTGCAGTGAGCCGTGATTGCACCACTGCACTCTAGCCTGGGCAACAGAGCCAGACTGTTTCAAAAAGAAAAAATGTAATCCAATGTAGTATTTACATCTAGTGCCAACGGGTACAGTGCACACTGTGCTGCATGCTGTGTTTCATTAAGCAGCCTAATCTGGTGTGTTAATGAGAGATGTATTTAACTATCAGCTATAATATTCCATGTCATTTTCCAAGGAACACATCTTACAGCAGGTTTTTCACAAGCTATATTGAAATGTTCACCTGTTGCAGAAGCTCTATAAGATGCTATGCATTCAGCGGGAAATAACCGAAGACATAGCACCTCTGGCAGGCTTGTTTCTCAGCGTCATGGAGAGAGCGCACCCAGTCTGAAGGCGCATCTGCTCCTCTCTGCCCTATATTGTGGATTAAGAAAATACAGTGTATAATCTCATATTCTCATTTCAGCAAATATAAATAGTACATGGCAATTATATGTGCTCGGTTTTCATTTTTAAGGGTGGAGATTGTTGAAAATGGTGTCGTGGACCAGACTCCAGAATTGGAGATTTTGTAGAGATCAAAGGTATAGTACTATTAAAGTAGGGATAAAGAGTGTGCAGACGTGGGTGTAAGATAATGAACAGAAAAGGGAGTGGCAAGGTGCAGAGATCTCTGCAAGAAATGGATTGGGGAAATTGAAGGCTTTAAAGCCACGGTCTCTATTCCTACACCCAGCTTTCCGTCCTCGGTTACTATCGCCCAAGATCAAAGCCACCCTGGTTTTCTGATTGCCGCAACTGCGGCTCCAGGTGCTGAGTGCACAGCCACTGCGGCACTGTCCGCAGCTGCGCGCCGGGCTCAGACGGCATTATTTACGGTACAGAATACTCGCCCGCGCGACGGTATTTACGGTAACGGGGACCAGCCTGGGCGGCAGTATTTACGGTAACGAAAGCCAGCTGTATTTACGGTAGCGAGGGCTGGACCGGCGGCGGCATTTACGGTAACGGGGGCCGGGCTCGCGGAGGCCCGTCGGTTCGGTCCGCTCTGGGCGTTAGCAAGTGATCTCCAGCCAAGGCGGCCGCCACCCCTTGCACACAGCAGAAAATGCAAAATGACCCTCTGGGGCAGTGAGGGGCTGTGGCCCTCGGCCCCGGCCTGCCGCACCCCCTTCCCGCAGCTGGCGGCCGGCAGCGCCGAACAGGGTCCGGGTGCAGCCCCCTCCCGCCCCTCCGCTGAGGCGCCGGCCTGAACTGGGCGCGGGAACCAGGCCGCCCTCGGCGCCCAGCCTGCCCTAGTCCCGCGCGCCGCCCCCGCTGTGCCGCGCCCACATGGGTCTGTGCTACAGTCTGCGGCCGCTGCTTTTCGGGGGCCCAGGGGACGACCCCTGCGCGGCCTCGGAGCCGCCGGTGGAGGACGCGCAGCCCGCCCCGGCCCCGGCCCTGGCCCCAGTCCGGGCGGCCGCAAGGGACACGGCCCGGACCCTGCTCCCTCGGGGCGGCGAAGGGAGCCCGGCATGCGCTCGGCCCAAAGCAGACAAGCCGAAGGAGAAGCGGCAGCGCACCGAGCAGCTGAGTGCCGAGGAGCGCGAGGCGGCCAAGGAGCGCGAGGCGGTCAAGGAGGCGAGGAAAGTGAGCCGGGGCATCGACCGCATGCTGCGCGACCAGAAGCGCGACCTGCAGCAGACGCACCGGCTCCTGCTGCTCGGTAGGTCCCGGCCGCGAGGTCGGCTGACGCCCCGGGGACAGCGCGCCGGGCCCGCGGGGGCGGCGGGCACCGGGGAGCGGTGGCGGGCACCGGGGAGCGGCGGCGGGAGGGGCTCCTGAATCCCGGGACTGGACCCGGACGGGCGGCGGGCGCGGACGGGCTACAGAGCGTTTAAACTGTGGGTGGAATGGTTCCCCTGACCTAGCCGGGAGGACACTACGGGCTGATTCTGCCCCTCCCAGTGCCTTGAGCTTACTGCCGCTCGCTCTCTCTAATTAATGAGCCTCTCTGGGAAGTCTCCCCCTCGATTGATCACCTTCCACAGGGTCGAATCCCCGGGGATGTCTACCCTAGCCTCTCACTTCCTGCTACACGAGGAGGCTGGCAGTTTGTTTTAAGAACACAGATGAAAGGAGATTTATAAGGCCTTTTAGCTTGACCGCAAAGCTTTTATTCCAATCACAGTGTTGTGGGTGGGTGTGGCCTGCTGCCTTTTGAGAAAGAACTTGAGCTGCACTTGCATTTTTTTTTTATTATACTTTAAGTTTTAGGGTACATGTGCACAATGTGCAGGTTAGTTACATATGTATACATGTGCCATGCTGGTGTGCTGCACCCATTAACTCGTCATTTAGCATTAGGTATATCTCCTAAAGCTATCCCTCCCCCCTCCCCCCACCCCACAACAGTCCCCAGAGTGTGATGTTCCCCTTCCTGTGTCCATGTGTTCTCATTGTTCAATTCCCACCTATGAGTGAGAATATGCGGTGTTTGGTTTTTTGTTCTTCCGATAGTTTACTGAGAATGATGATTTCCAATTTCATCCATGTCCCTACAAAGGACATGAACTCATGATTTTTTATGGCTGCATAGTATTCCATGGTGTATATGTGCCACATTTTCTTAATCCAGTCTATCATTGTTGGACATTTGGGTTGGTTCCAAGTCTTTGCTAATGTGAATAGTGCTGCAATAAACGTACGTGTGCATGTGTCTTTATAGCAGCATGATTTATAGTCCTTTGGGTATATACCCAGTAATGGGATGGCTGGGTCAAATGGTATTTCTAGTTCTAGATCCCTGAGGAATCGCCACACTGACTTCCACAATGATTGAACTAGTTTACAGTCCCACCAACAGTGTAAAAGTGTTCCTATTTCTCCACATCCTCTCCAGCACCTGTTGTTTTCTGACTTTTTAATGATTGCCATTCTAACTGGTGTGAGATGGTATCTCATTGTGGTTTTGATTTGCATTTCTCTGATGGCCAGTGATGGTGAGCATTTTTTCATGTGTGTTTTGGCTGCATAAATGTCTTCTTTTGAGAAGTGTCTGTTCATGTCCTTTGCCCACTTTTTGATGGGGTTGTTTGTTTTTTTCTTGTAAATTTGTTTGAGTTCATTGTACATTCTGGATATTAGCCCTTTGTCAGATGAGTAGGTTGCGAAAATTTTCTCCCATTTTGTAGGTTGCCTGTTTACTCTGATGGTAGTTTCTTTTGCTGTGCAGAAGCTCTTTAGTTTAATTAGATCCCATTTGTCAATTTTGGCTTTTGTTGCCATTGCTTTTGGTGTTTTGGACATGAAGTCCTTGCCCATGCCTATGTCCTGAATGGTAATGCCTAGGTTTTCTTCTAGGGTTTTTATGGTTTTAGGTCTAACGTTTAAGTCTTTAATCCATCTTGAATTAATTTTTGTATAAGGTGTAAGGAAGGGATCCAGTTTCAGCTTTCTACATATGGCTAGCCAGTTTTCCCAGCATCATTTATTAAATAGGGAATCCTTTCCCCATTGCTTGTTTTTCTCAGGTTTCTCAAAGCACTTGCATTTTACTTTGGAAGCTCAACCCCAGCTCTGGGAGATTTGCTCCGCTTGAGAACCAGCTGCACGAAAGGGTGGCGGGCCGCAGTGTGCTCGCTGTGTAACTGCGTGCAGGAGGGTGGGTGCAGAATCCCAGCGTTTTCAAGGAACCAAATGCTTGCTCTCCTAGTAGTATTTTTCAGAGCTTAGCTATAGCAAATACGTGTGCTCCTACAACAATTAGAAAACATGGTTCTATGCACTCTACCGTAGAATGAAAAAAAAATCACGATTTCCTGATACTACTTGTTGCCTTTTAAATTTTAAGACAAAATAATAATAATTGGGCTTTTGATCGCAATTTTGTGAGGTGTAAGGAAGAATAGTTGTTCAGGTCTGTGCTCTCTGCTATGCATGGGAGAAGGAGCTATTCCATGACTTTAGCAAGATGCCCGCTTATAAATGAATGCAACTTTCATTTAAGATCTAGAATACAATAAATATTGAGTTTGAGAGGACTTGTCCACTGCAAGAATGAATAATTTAAAACAACATAAACCTAGCTGTTGTATCCTGTTGAAATATCTAATTTCTAAAGCAAAGGGAAATATTTTTGAAGAAACAACAACAACAACAAAAAACAGTAAACACTCAGGTTATCTCAACAGGGACGCGGGCTGAGCGGTAGCAGAGCTCTCCCCTCCAGTGCTCACCTCCAGAATATCGCAGAGCACACGTTTCCAGAGGTCTGAGGATACAGAAGTGTAACTTTAGAATTTCATACCTCGTTAAACCATTGTTGGTGTGTGAGGGTAAAATAAATCTTCGGATATGCAAGTACTCAAAGTATACCCTCATCCACATATTTTTCTGGAAGGAAACTTAAAAAAAAAATAGAGACACAGCGGTGGCTCACGCCTGTAATCCCAGCACTTTGAGAAGCTGGGGCTGGTGGATCACTTGATCTCAGGAGTTCAAGACCAGCCTGGGTAGCATAGTAAAACCCCATCTCTACAAAAAAATACGAAAATTAGCTGGGTGGTGCGCTGGAGACCCTGTCTCAAAAATGAATAAATAAACAAATAAAAGAATAGAGACAAGTCTCACTACGCTGGCCAGGCTGATCTCAAACTCCTGGCCTCAACTGACCCACCCACGTCAGCATCCTAAAGTGCTGGGATTACAGGCATGAGCCACCATGCTCTACCTGGAAAGACATTAATTGGAAATTACTTCAGCCAAAATTTTTAAAATGCATCAAATTAAAATAATTCAAAAAGGGGAGAATTTTTTTAAAGGGGGGAGAGTTGTCATCTCAAGAAACTGACAAAAAAAAATAAGACAAATAGGATCAGGAGTTGTGACAATATAGTGTTGTTTTGATGTGATTATACAGTTGAACATAATTTTAAAATAAAGGATATGAGAAGCAGAAAATGCTTTATATATAATAAAAGTTATTAGACTATGAATCTGTGAAAAACAAATGTGATGAGATATGGTCTGAAGAATAGAATGGTGAGCTCTAAAGAGTCAGCTTCTTGTAACACATTTGAAAGTACTCTTTGAAGACATCATCTCATAGCCTCATAGAGTTTATATATCAGCATCATATCTAAAATGACGTAAAATCAAATGACTCACTTTTCAGGGGGAGTGTATTGTATGTATCCTCCACCCAGTGATATCTACACTAAAACGCATACTGTTACATGAGGTTGACATTGTTTATCAATTTTATATAGATTTGAGTTAAACACACAAAGGTTCTTGATTTTATTAGGCTTTAAAATGGATTTAGCTGGAAATTTTTGAGTCAGAAATATGACTTATTGACCATTAATATCCTCAGATAATTACTTATGCTGCCATTGTGTTTAACAGCCATTTATTCTTGCTCACTGACCACATTCATTTGTTTATTCTGGAAATGTGCACCGAAAGCTGGGCATTGGGTTCAGAGACCTCAGACCCAGGGAAGGTGCACTTGCTCCAGCAGTGTCTTTTTTTTTTTTTTTTTTTAATCCCAACACTTTAGGATGCTGAGGTGGGCAGATCACTTGAGGCCAGAAGTTGAAGACCAGCCTGGGCAACATAGTAAGACTATGTCGCTATTTTTTTTTTTTTTTTTTTAGACAGGATCTCACTTTGTCACTCAGTCAGGAGTGCAGTGGTGTGATCATGGCTCACTGCAGCCTGGACCTCCCCAGCTCAAGCAATCTTCCTGCCTCAGCCCCACAAGTAGCTGGGACTACAGGTACATGCTACCATGGCTGACTAACTTTTGTATTTTATATAGAGATGGGGTTTCACCATGTTACCCCGGCTGGTCTTGGACTTCTGAGATCAAGTGATCCACCTGTCTTGGCCCACAGTGCTGGGATTACAGGTGTGAGCCATTGTGTCCAGTCAAGTGCCCTTTATCACTCCATGCCTGCTAGTGTGAGGTTAGTCCCGTCTCCCATCATGATGAGTCCTCAAGAAGACCTTCCCATAGTCCTCTAGTGGAAATAAAGGTTTAACTCCCTGTGTCCTGTGAATTCTTTGTGCTCCTCTCATGGAGCACTGGGGTACATTGCTCCATAGGTGTCTTGGTGCTCTTTCTCCCCCATGGGGTCGATCCTGATGACTCAGCTTTCTTTCCTGCACAGGACGTAGCACCCCACACAATCCTCTGGCAACAACACAAGAATCTGGGAGCCACTGTGACTATGAGGAGATATGCTCCCGTTTTAATTTTTAGATGGAGCATGGTTGAAGCATGCCGTGGCTGGATTTTAAGCAGGTGCAGAGGTGGGATGGAACTTTCCAGTTAGAAGGCAGTGGTCAAGACAAGGAATCATGGGGTCCAAACTAGGGCAGTGTGGTATAGTAGGAGTGGGGAGCTCACGGGCTTGGGGAGCAGGTCAGATGACTGGGTGCGGAGGGTAGGTAATGAGAGGAATTCTCAGATAACTCCCATGGTCTTGAGCATGAGGTATGTGTTAGTCAGCTTGCTTACCTACCAAAACACAACAGGCTGAATGACCAAAAACAGACGTTTATTTTCTCACAATTCTGGAGGTTGGAAGTCTAAGATCAAGGTGCCAGCAGGGTTGGTTTCTGGTGAGGGCTCCCTTCCTGGCTTGCAAACGGCCACGTTCTCACAGTATCCTCACATGGCCTTTCCTCTGTGTGCACACAAAAAGAGGGAGAGATCTCCGGTGTCTCTTCCTCTTCTTACGAGGACACTGCGGGATTAGGGCCCCACCTTACGGCCTCATCTTACCTTAATTACCTACTTAAGGGCCCTATGTCCAAATACAGTCATGTGGGGGGTTAGGGCTTCAACATATGAATTCAGGGGGATGGGAAGCACAATTCAGTCCATAACAAGGGCTAAGGCGGGGAGTGCGTGCCCTGTCTAAAAGGGACAGCTGCATCCTAGCTTCATCCCACTGTTGCTTTGTGAGAACACAGGCCCAAAGTTGCCAGGTCTTCGGAATTTCTGAAACCTACCTATTTTTAAGCATTTGCTCAAATTAATAAAATGTAATCTACATGGCTAATACAATCACGGGCTGCTGGCTCTTACCGCTGATCTAACCTGGGTCACACAGACTTTTCTGCAGGCTGTGCACTAGGCTTTCGGGGCTCACGCACATGAGAGACCATTGGCAGAGGCCCTGGGTCTACACCAATTAAAAGCATACTTGATGTGAATTGGTGTGAATCAAAATATTTAATCTGCCAAATGAACACATATAGCAAACAAAGCTGTGTTCACCATTCTTCAGGTGAATTTTTCTGCTATTGAGTCCATGGAGTTGTAACAGAGTCAATGCCATTGATTTTTCTTCATCTTTCATTGACTGTGTTCACTACCTTCCTGCTGGGGAAGGGTTATCATGTTCCACTCAACTACTCTTTTAATATGATTCTTTTCCTGGATTGTTATTCGAATTTTAAATCCTCAGCTGTAGATAGGATTTGTCTTTTTTCCTTTTTTCAATTATTTCTTGTTATAGTTTATGTATTTGCTATTTCTCTGTCTGGAATACATCTTTCAAGAAGGAAGCAATCTCTTTGGGACATTTGCTGGCTTTCTTTTGTATCAAAATGCTGGCATGATTTTAATCTGTGTCTTTAGTTACTGTCAGAGGAAGTGCCTGGTGCACACATGCTCAGACATGCATGCACGCATGCACACACACACACACACACACACACACACAAAGGAAAAAAAACAGAAGGAATGTTCTCCACTCTGGGATTTTGATGACTTTTTTCCCAAGTAAATGTCTTTCTTAATGAAGGCAGAAGTGACCAAGGAAAGACAATAGTTTTGGAGTTGTGCAGTGGCCTTGGGCATATCCTTATTAACTTGCTGTCTTCGTTTTTTGCCACAGCCTCCTGTGGCACCGTGGCTTTCAAAGTCAGAAGAAATCCCAGTACTCTGGCTATTCCTTATGTTTCTGAACTCACAAAAGCATAACACATCCTGGCCGAGCGCGGTGGCTCACCTCTGTAATCCCAGCACTTTGGGAGGCCGAGGCGGGTGGATCATGAGGTCAGGAGCTCGAGACCATCCTGGCTAACATGGTGAAACCCCGTCTCTACTAAAAATACAAAAAAAAATTAGCCAGGCATGGTGGCGGGCACCTGTAGTCCCAGCTACTCGGGAGGCTGAGGCAGGAGAATGGCGTGAACCCGGAAGGCAGAGCTTGCAGTGAGCCGAGATCATGCCACTGCACTTAAGCTTGGGCGACTGAGCAAGACTCCGCCTCAAAAAAAAAAAAAAGCACGCATAACACATCCTTACAGCCTTAAAGAGAATGCAGTGATGTTGCATTTAAGTCAAAACTTTTATGTGGTATAACTTGTTATAGACCGTTACAGCAATGATACTAAAATTTTATAGGCTGGAAACTGCCGTTGTTTACATGAAGCCTAATTTCATCCCAGGGATTTATCTTGTTCTTTCACTTGGCAAAAGACCAGAAGTTCAGAACACTCTGTCAAAAATGCTCTCTTGGACTTGTCAACCCTCTCGTGTTTATTCACATGATTAATACTGGCCCTGAAAACAGGTAGTTTTGTCACTGGAATATATGACCATTTTATGAACACTTCCTTCAAAATTTGGGGGTATCCTGTGACCCACTAAAAGATGCAGAGGGGCGTATGTGATGGTTAGAGCACAGCACTGGAGTCAGACCTTGTCCGAGGCCCTTAGCACCGCCATCCTCCAGTTGCACAAACTTAAGTACACCCCCCAGTGCTTCAGTTTCCATCTCAATGATAATCCTAATCCCACTGGCTTATTGACAGGAGTAAATGAAATTAATTGAAATAATGTATGTAAATTCACATAATGAGATCGCACATCCTAGCAAAGGGCAGCCAGCCCCAGGTGAACACAGCCCTCTGTGACTGAGCCAGGATCAAGCCCAGGCAGGCTGGCTTCGCCAAACATTAGCCAGTGACTGTGAGGCCAGCTGGAGGCAGCTGCAACAGCCCAGTCAAGAGATGTGAGGAGGCCGGGCACGGTGGTGCACGCCTGTAATCCCAGCGCTTTGGGAGGCTGAGGTGGGCAGGTCACCTGAGGTCAGGAGTTCGAGACCAGCCTGGCCAACATGGTGAAACCCCATCTCTACTAAAAATACAAAAATTAGCTGGTTACCAGCTAACTTTTAATTAGCTGGTGGTGGGTGCCTGTAATCCCAGCTTCTCAGGAGGCTAAGGTGGGAGTATCACTTGAACCTGGGAGGCGGAGTTTGTAGTGGGTTGAGATCGTGCCATTGCACTCCAGCATGGGGGAGAGAGCAAGACTCAGTCTCAGAAAAAAAAAAGAGAGAGAGAGATGTGAGGAGGCGACCTCATTCAGATGCGGTGACAATGACAGGAAGGGGCAGACGTGTCTGTGGGTGTGGGCAAAACGGAATCCCGGGAACCTGGTGACTGATGAGATGGAGGGAAAGAAGAGCATCTGGGTGAAGAAATGTCACTGAACCCTTCAGTAAAATGGCAAGGACATTCTCCGAGTAAGGAATTTAAGAAGAAGAGGCAGTTGGAGGGAGAAGAGAACAGTGAGCTCCGGTCTAGATGTGTTGAGACTGAAGGGCCTTGGATGTCCAGCGGGCAGTGGCTGGAGAGCAGCTGGGCATTTGCCTTGGGTCTCAGAGAGGCTGCAGAGCCAGAGATGGATGTGTCACCCAGAGTCATTAGTGCACTGGCCAGGTTGGACATGCCACCTGGGGACCACATGCCACCCGGAGAGGACATGCCACCTAGGGAGGACGTGCAGAGTGAGAAAGGAAGGGAGGAGGGCCCAGGATAGGAGGCCGTGGGACTCCAGCCTTTCAAAAAGGGCTGGAGGAAGAAGAGCGTGAAGAATGACAGAGGGCTGGGAGCAGCCAAGAAAGGAAGAGGTTTCTGGAGGAAGGCAGTGGCCAGCAGTGTCACTTGGGAGCTCAGGGATAAAGAGGGCTGAGGCTGGGCGCGGTGGCTCATGCCTGTAATTCCAGCACTTTGGGAGGCCGAGGCGGGTGGATCATGAGGTCAAGAGATCAAGATCATCCTGGCCAACACGGTAAAACCTCGCCTCTACTAAAAATGCAAAAATTAACTGGGCGTGGTGGTGCACGCCTGTGATCCCAGCTACTTGGGAGGCTGAGGCAGGAGAATCGCTTGAACCCAGGAGGCAGAGGTTGCAGTGAGCCAAGATTGCACCACTACACTCCATCCTGGGAGACAGAACAAGACTCTGTCTCAAAAAAAAAAAAAAAAAATAGAGGGCTGAGAAGGAACCCACTGGGTGTGCAGGTTCATGGCCTGGTGGGTGCAGGAGGCTTCAGATTGGAAGGGACAGGAAGACACTGAAGCAGTGACGGTGGCTGCTCTTGGGAGGACTTTGCTGCTGGAGGACAGAACAGGTGTGCCCACTCCTGCACCTTGTGCCATCCAGGAAACAGCTGGGGTGATGACGGATGAGACTGGAATGGTGGGTGCTCCTGGGGATGAAGAGAAGAGGGCAGGAGAGGAATTGTCAATCTTTGTTTGACCCTTGCTGTGCATCCGCTTTCTAAACATTCAGGTGCCTGGACTCAACCTCAGCTCCTCCAGCACAAGTGACTTTCCCTGTTGACAGTGTCAGACTAATGTGTCATTTAGAGGGAAATTCTTTAATGGCAAGCAGGTTTTTCAGTTGAGTTGAGACCAAGAGACCTAGCTAATTTTCGGGTATCTAGCTAATTTAATTTGTCTATGAAAAGTTTCCAAAGATTAACATTTTCAAAGGTAAGACCTAACTCCAAGGGCCCAAAATCACTTCATGATATTGAAAGTGATAATCAGAAGATCTCCAAAACCTCACTGCATAAATCCGAATAAGGAGCCCTAGATGATTATTTCTCACCTGACAGCACCCAGGATAATTTACTTTGAGTCTACATTTATCTATTTATTTTTAATTTTATTTATTTATTTATTTACTTAGAGACAGAGTCTCTCTCTGTTGCCTAGGCTGGAGCAGTAGTACCATCTTGGCTCACTGCAACTTCCACCTCCTAGGTTCAAGCGATTCTCTTGCCTCAGCCTCCCAAGTAGCTAGGACCACAGGCACCCACCACCACACCTGGCTAATTTTTGGGGTTTTTTTTTTATTTTTGTATTTTTAGTAGAGACAGGGTTTTACCATGTTGGACAGGCTGGTCTCAAAGTCCTGACCTCTGGGGATCCACCTGCCTCAGCCTCCTAAAGTTCTGGGATTACAGGCGTGAGCCACCGTGCCCAGCTGGGTCTAAATTTATTAATACTTAGTTGTTGGGTTTTTTTTTTGAGGGGGGGGGTTGGCTTTAAGCTGAAACCAACCCTTTTACTGAAAAACAGAAAATTACCTTCTATCAGCTAAAGCAGTGACTCTTAAGTGTGTTTCGGGGTCAAGTGAAAACTGTTCCCTGTTGTTTCAGAATTCCCTCGCTAGGGATGGACAGACAGCGCACAGAGGACTTTTAGGGCAGGGAAACCGCTCCCTATGATACCATATGAGTGGACAATGTCACCACATACTTGTCCAACCCACAGAATATACAACGCCAAGAGGGAACCCTAGTGTAGCCCTTCCAGCGCTGTGGACTCTGGGTGACAGTCATGCGTCAGGGTAGCTTCATGGATTGCCGTACTCTATGAGGGATGTTGCTGGTGGGGAGGCTGTGCCTGTCGGGGCAGGGAGTACATGGCAGCTGTATTCTGTACCATCCTCTCAATTTTGCTGTGAACCTAAAACTGCTCTAAATAATAGGCTTCTTGTTTTAGTCACTTACTAAGAAAAGAAGTCAGTGAAAGATTTTGTCCTTGAATTAGGATCCCAAGAGGAGGAGCTGGTGGAGAAGAAGAGGACAGACACCACAGTGGCCATAGCAGAAGGGTCGAGGGTTCTTCTAATGAGCCCGTTTAGGGGCCATAAGCTGATGGCCCTACTCTTAAAAAGCCCAGGTCAGTTAACCGCAGCAGGAAAGATAGCGGCCCATTATTGAAAGCTGTGGTTTATGAATAAAAAAGCATCATTTAAAGACTTTTCCAACTGCAGTTCTGGGGTTAAATTATTCTCAGCAAATAAAGCCCTCTAGACATGCATTGAAGTGTTAGCACCTGACGGGAGGGGCACACACACACTGCTCCTGCAGGCCGTTTGGCTTGGCTTGGCCAGGCCATGTGTCCCATCCTGTAAGGCTGCCCTAGCTCTGCCTCATCAGGAGGAATCACAGGATTGTTGCCCAGCTGTTATTAGGTGTTACACCAAATGCCACTGAAGGCACGAGTTAGGGAAGCCACCCATCAAAATCTTCAAGGGTTAGACAGCTCTCTTCAACCCTTCCTGCTGTTATTTCATTTGCCGATCTGGGAAAATGTTATTTAGTGAGAGGCAGGTCAACCTGCCGACTGATGGAGGATCGAGGAAGACAGCAAACACACTGTGGCATCTGCTTTCTCTAATCCTAGCAGAAGAGCCTTGGAGAAGATGTAGGTTGCATCACTGTGCTTTGGATTAATGCTCACTTGGTGTGTTCTTCTGTAGTTGAAAAGTGAATTTTCTTTCTGAATAAGTGAACTTCTCCCAGAAAAAGCATAAGAAGACAATATTTTGACATAAACAGAAAAATAAGGCGCAATGATACCCATTCTTTGAGTCACAAGGGAAAAGGCCATTTTATTCATTGAATCCCTTATATTACTCACCAACTGCAAACATTTGCATCTCTCAGGAGCCCGCTCTGTGCCAGGTGCTTCTCT
The DNA here is from genome assembly GCF_000001405.40 of Homo sapiens. Classification (NCBI taxonomy): domain Eukaryota; kingdom Metazoa; phylum Chordata; class Mammalia; order Primates; family Hominidae; genus Homo; species Homo sapiens. The sequence continues at coordinate 11,701,012 of NC_000018.10, forward strand.
GGGTGATGTGGAGATTCCACAAGGCAGAGAGCACAGCCTCAGCCCTGGAAAAGTTCACTGTGTTGTTGAAGAGAAAGGACAAGAACCTAAGAGAAAAATACCAGTCCGAGCCTGCACGTGCTCGGAGATAAATGGCAACAGTGTGGGTCAAGAACATGATTCCAGGGATTCACGTGGAACCTCTCAGTAACATGATGGGCATCCCCCTTCCTTAGGATATTTTATGAGTGGGGAGGTACAGGGGAGGTAGGAACTTGATTGTTTAATGTCAATGTTTGTACACAAATGCATAATGCTGGCCAGGCGCGGTGGCTCACACCTGTAATCCTAACACTTTGAGAGGCCGAGGCGGGTGGATTGCTTGAGGTCATGAGTTCGAGACCAGCCTGGCCAACATGGTGAAACCCCATCTCTACTAAAAATACAAAAATTAGCCAGACGTTGTGGCGGGTACCTATAATCCCAGCTACTCGGGAGGCTGAGGCAGGAAGTTGCAATGAGCCAAGAGTGCGTCGTTCCACTCCAGCCTGGGTGACAGAGCAAGAATCTCAAAAAAAAAAAAAAAAAAAAGCATAATGCTGTTATTGATCCTGGGTGCAAACTATGAGCAGAAGCAGCTGTGAAATCTGCTCCAAGTTTGCACCTGGCAGCTGGTTTCCTGTTCATCAAGGAGCTGCTGAAAGAACCCAGAAGCACCCACAGCTCCCAGAATGTAGCAGCAACCTGGAGTGTTTACCTAATAGAACTGATGCTTCAAGAAGATGAAGAAAGTTTGAGCAACAGTGTGCAGTGTTATCAAACGGGAAGGAGACTGCTCCTTTTATCTCCAGCCATCAAAGTGCTCCACAAGTCAATATTAGGAGCTGCATTTTGTAGATTGCACCATGATGGGAAGGTGGAGATTGTCTGTAAATCGGCATAAAGAAAAAAAAAATGAAACGTTTATCCTTTTTTTACCCAAGAAATCCACTCATTAGAGAATCACTGAAAGGAAGGTGGATAAAAAGCCACAAAAGGGAACCTTTGACTTGGCTGCAGAGCAGCATTTGTGTTTTACAGGTACTTCGGGAGCATCTAGAGGGCGTGATTTGGAGTCTGCTAGCCAGGAGGCCACAGGAGAAACACAGGTCAGCCCCAGAATCATGGAGCACACATTTGCCTCGACCCCAGCTGTATTTTCTTTTCTGGGAAAATATCAGCCCCTGGAATTAGGCCAGACACAGGAATCTGTAGATACAAAGCTCGCTAGCAGAGCAAGACTCAGAACGCAAGAGTGGCACCAGGGAGGAATCAGGACCGAGCAAGAGGCGAGTGCTGATCCCAGAGCCGGCCTCCTTCTTCCCTGTCACCCTCAGAGGGTGGTGTAAATGAACCACAAGCCCACAGCTGTCCTGGTGAGGAAGCGCAGAACAAGGCCCAAGCCAGCATACCCCAGAGAGTTAGACTGAGCCACAGATCAATCAGCTGTTTGATTTGTAGAGCAGCTTGTCTATTGAGAAGGACGTCAGTGCTGTGTTACAGGCTACTATTTGTTTATTCAGTAGCAATTACTGACATTCAGTAGCACGTCTACCACGTCCCAGGTTCTGTCAGGCTTCAGTCTACAAACTGGAGCTGTCTCAGGAGCTGTTCTGTGTGCTCAGGAGCTTATGACCCTGTGCGGGAGACAAAGGTATCAACCAGCCATTGCAGCACAGCATAAAATACATCCATGCAGGTACAGAAGACAGTGGGAGCAGCTCTTGCCCCAGTGAGAAGGGAGGCAGGACTGAGGAGGAGGGCAGCAGCTTCCAAGAACCTTCCCACTTAAAAAAAAAAAAAAATAGCCCGGTGCGATGGCTCACTCCTGCAATCCCAACACTTTGGGAGGCTGAGGCGGGTAGATCACATGAGGTCAGGAGTTCCAGACCAGCCTGGTCAGCATGGCAAAACCCCATCTCTGCTAAAATTACAAAAATTAGATGGGCATGGTGGCACGAGCCTGTAATCCCAGCTAGTCGGGAAGCTGAGGCAGGAGAATGACTTGAACCTGGGAGCCAGAGGTTGCAGTGAGCAGAGATTGCGCCACTGCACTCCAGCCTGGGCGACAGAGCAAGACTCCGTCTCAAAAACAAAACAAACAAACAAAAAAACCATATTTGTAGAGTATATTTCTGTTCTTAAAATCGACAAGTTTGAGAAACCCCTCGTTTTGAGAGGCTCATTGGAAAGCAGCAGATGCCACGCAGAGCAAATGAAAAACAGAACGCTCCGCACGTTGTGCATAGTTTTATCGAAACTCCTGCATCTGCTTTAAGTCTGTTTAGTTGAAAATCCATTTAGAATATGCTCTAATTGATATATGTGACCTATAAGGAAGTGTCCCTCTTTTTTAAGAAAATATAGAAACGTGTTATTTGTTATAGGTTTTCATTGTACAAAGAAATTCAATGTGCTGAAAAGAACCAATAAAATACGGATAAAGTAGTGCCAATTAAGAAACAGTTATGTGACTCTTTATCTCTGAAATTGTTTTAACTGGTACTTTGTTTTAGAATTGCTTTTTAATGTAACAGCCTTCTGAACATCAGCTATTTGATAAGCGCTGCGTGGAACTAAAAAGCATGCCGAGCTGTGGTTGATCCAGTGGACTTCGCTGTGCCTCATGGAGGACGATACTTAACTTTCAGATCCATTTCCGTTTTTTGCTCTAATGACATTTTCTCAGAAGTAATGCTCTCCACCCTTGGGCTTGGGTACAATAATGAGCTTGGAACAGGGGATAGGAGGCCCAGTGTTGATGGGCACACACACACACACACACACACACACACACACACACACAGTGAAGTGCAGGAAGCTCTGTGGCCATGTCAACCCTTGCTGACTGGGGACAGATGGAGGCAGGCTGCACCCTAGTCTGTGGCCTCAGAAGAAAAGCATCTTAGTTCTGCTGGTGGTGTTCAGCCTCAGCCTTTCCCTTCACCTAAATTCCTACAGGTTATCCTAACTTCAAATAGGATAAATTAATTTTAATTATGTATACAGAATGTTCGTTTAGGAACACAGAGGATGGATTTCTAGAGTAATCTCAAAATCCTGTTATTCAACCCACAATACAAAGGAAGCAGCATTGGTGTTCTTCCGTGGAGCCTGAACATCATGGGTCCCACAGTGAGTCACAGCCTTCTGCACTCCCTGATCACACAGTGGGTCACACCCTAGACCCGTGGGTCATACCACGGAACACATCGTGGATCCCACATATGGATTATACCCTAGGACACAGCCTGGATCACACAGTGTATTTGGAATTAGAGATTGGAATGCCAGAAACAGCCACACAGTCACCCTGGCCTCCAGAGCAGGCCTTCCACTGAACCCTTTGCTGTGGCTTCACTATGCCCTGAGCAGTCCAAGGCACAACTAATGGCCCAGGGTCTTCCGGCTGAAAGTGGGAATAGTGAGGAATGGGCCTAGGGTGATCAGTGAGCAGTAATGATAAGTACCCCCATCTGTAATATGTGCCTCAACTCCTGCTAACCCACAGGTACAGAGGGAGAGGAGCTCAGCTATCTGGCCCACTTCTGGGCTCCCTCCCCAGTTTCCAGACCCAGCCACGCAGCCTACTCTGGGGTCTTTGGACTCCGTCTCTTACATTTTTGTCTCCTTTCTTCCTTAATATCAGTATTTTCTTTTAGTTTCTCCTTATCAAAGCTTGCTCATACCCAGAACATTTTACTCGTTCCTGTGAAATTATTAATGGAGGTGAAAGTTAAGTCCATTATCAATTTTTTTTTAATTTAACAGCTTTTTTTGAGATATAGTTGAAATGCATACAGAAAACAGCACATATTTAAAGTGTGCAGTTTGGTTAGTTTTGACATGTGTATACACCTGAGAGCATATCCATCACCTCTGAAAGTTTCCTCCTGCATCTTTGAGTTGATTTCCTTATTTTATCATGGTAAGAACACTTCACACGAGATCTACCCTATTAAAAAGTTTTTAAGTGTACAATACCGTACTCTTCTATATGGGGACAACGTTGTACAGCAGAGCTCTACAACTTAATCATCTTGCATGTCTGAAATGTTTTACTCCTTGAATAGCAACTCTCCACTTCCCTCTCCCCCAAACCCTAGAAACAACCGTGCTACTCTTTGCTTCTGTGAGTTTGACTATTACAAGTCCTCATATAAATGGAATCATGCAGTATTTCTCCTTCTGTGACTGGCTTAACTCAGCATTCCCTCCAGGTTCATCCATGTTGTTGCATCTGGCTGCATTCCCTTCTTTTCTTTTTTAAGGTTGAATAATATTCCATTGTATGTATGTTCCACATTTTCTTTCTTCATTCATCTTCCAGTGGACATTTAGGCTGCTTCAGTATCTTGGCTATTGCAAAAATTGCTGCAGCAAACGTAAGAGTGCAGCTATCTCCTGGAGATTCTGATTTCAGTTCTTTTGAATATATACCCAGAAGTGGGATGGCTGGATTTTATGGTAATTCTATATTTTGATTTTTTAAAGGAATTTCCTACTGTTTTCCATAGCAGCTGTACCATTTTAATTCCCACCAGCAGCGTACAAGGGTTTCAGTTTCTCTGCATCTTTGCCGACACTTGCTAACTTTTGTCTTTTTGATAATGGCCATCCTAACAGGTGTGAGGTGATATGTCATTATGGTTTTGATTTGCCATTTTCCTCATGATTAATAACATTGAGCTTTTCATATACCTGCTGGACATTTCTATGTCTTTTTTTTTTTTTTTTTTTTTCTGAGACAGAGCCTCGCTCTGTCACCCAGGCTGGATTGCAGTGGCACGATTTCGGCTCACTGCAACCTTCGCCTCCCAGGTCCAGGCGATTCCCCTGCCTTAGCCTCCTGAGTGGCTGGGATTACAGGCTCCTGCCAGCATGCCTGGGAAAATTTTGTATTTTAGTAGAAGCAGGGTTTCACTATGTTGGCCAGGCTGGTCTTGAACTCCTGACTTCAAGTGATCTGCCCACCTCGGCCTTTCAAAGTGCTGGGATTACAGTGTATGTCTTCTTTAAGAAGACATGTCATTAGCCCATTTTTTAATCCGGATATTTGCTATTTTTTGTTTTGTTTTGTTTTTTTGCTGTTGAGTTGTAGGAGCTCTTTATATATTTCAGAGATTAACCCCTTATCAGATATAAGCATATCTCAGAGATATTGCAGGTTCAGTTCCAAACCACCCCAATAAAGTTAATATAGAAAGAAAGTCACATGAATTTTTTTCTCGGTGCATATAAAAGTTGTGTTTATACTATACTATATCTATTAAATGTGCAATCACATCATGTCTTAAAAAAAAGCACACCTTAATTTAAAAATATTGATAAAAAGTGCTAACGATCATCTGAGCCTTCAGTGAGTCCGGATCTCTTTGCTGGTGGAAGGTCTTGCCTCGATATCTGTGGCTGCTGACTGATCAGGGCGGTTGTTGCTGAAGACAGTTTCTTAGAGTAAGACAGCAATGAAGTTGATCACATCGGTTAACTCTTTCTTTCATGAAAGATTTATCTGCAGCATGTGATGCTTTTGATAGCATTCTACTCATCGTAGAACTTTCAAAATTGGGGTCAGTCCTCTCAAACATGCTGCTTTATCAGCTACATTTATGGAATATTCTAAATCCTTTGTAATAGTTTCAACAATGTTCACAGCATCTTCACCAGGAGAACATTGCATCTAAAGAAACCTCTTTCTTTGCTCATTCATAAGAAGCAACTCCTCACCCATTAACATTGTATCCTGAGATTGCAGCCATTTAGTCACATCTTCGGGCTCCACTTTTAATTCTAGTTCTCTTGCTATTTCTACCACATCTCCAGTTACTTCCTTTACTAAAGTCTTGAATCCCTCAAAGCAATCCATGAGGGTTGCAATCAACTTCTTCCAAATTCCTGTTCATGTTGCTATTTTGACCTCCTCCAATGAATCATGGGTGCTCATAATGGCATCTAGAATTGTGAATTGTTGCCAGGTTTGTTGACATTGTTGTTTTGAGACAGGGTCTCACTCTGTCACCCAGGCTGGAGTGTGGTGGCATGATCATGACTCACTGCAGCCTCAACCTCCCAGGCTCAAGTGATTATCCTGCCTCAGCCTCCCAAGTAACTGAGACTACAGGCATGTGCCACCATGCTTGGCTAATCCAGAAGGCTTCTAATTTACTTTGCTTAGGTCCATTAGAGCAATCGCTGTCTATGGCACTTATAGCGCTATGAAACATATTTCTGAAATAATAAGACTGCAAAGTAAAAATTACTGCTTGATCCATGGGCTGAAGAATGGATGTTATGTTAACAGGCATGAAAACAATATTAATCTCCTTGTACATCTCCATCAGAGCTCTTGGGTTACCGGGTGCACAGTAAATGAGCAGTAATAATTTGAAAGCAATCTTTTTTTCCGAGCAATACGTCCCAACAGATGGCTTAAAATATTCAGTAAACCATGATGTAAACAGATGTACTGTCATCCAGGCTCTGTTTTTCCACTGATAGAGCACAAGCAAAGCAAATTTAGCCTAATTCTGGAGGGCCCTAGGATTTTCAGAATGGTAAATGAGCATTGATTTCAACTTAAAGTTACCAGTTGCATTAGCACCTAACAAGAAGTCAGCCTGTCCTTTGAAGCTGTGGAGCCAGGGATTGACTTTTCCTCTTTACTTATGAAAGTCCTAGGTGGCATTTTCTTCCCACAGAAGGCTGTTCCACCTCCATTGAAGGCTGTTGTTTAGTGTAGCCACTTCTCATCAGTGATCTTAGCTAGATCTTCTGGTTAACTTTCTATATTAGCATTTGCTGCCTTACCTTGTACTTGTATGTTATGGAGACAACTGTTTTCCTTAGACCTCATGAATCAACCTCTGCTAGCTTCCAGCTTTTCTTCTGCAGCTTCCTCGCCTCTCTCAACCTTCCTAGAATTGAAAAGTTAGGGCCTTGTTCCAACTTAGGCTTTGGCTTCGGGGAATGCTGTGGCTGTTTTAATCTTCTATCCAGACCACTCAAACTTTTTTCATTTCAGCAATGTGGCTATTTCACTTTCTCGTTAGTGTGTTCACTGGAGTAGCACTTTTAATTTCCTTCAAGAAGTCTCTCTTGGCATTCACAACTTGGCTGTTTGGCACAAGAGACCCAACTTTTGGCCTGTCTTGGCTTTTGACATGCCTTCCTCAGTAAGCTTAATCATTTCTAGCTTTGGATTTAAAGTGAGACAGTCTTCATTTGAACACTTAGAGGCTATTGTAGGATTATTAAATGGCCCTAATTTCAATACTGTTATGTCTCAGGGCATAGGGAGGGCCCAGGAAAGGGAGAGAGATGGGGGAATGGCTGGTCAGTACAGCAGTCAGAACACACACACCATTTATCGATTGAGTTTGCCATCTTATATGGGTGCTATACGTGACACCTCAAAACAACTACAATAGTAACATCCAAGATCCCTTATCACAGGTCATTTTAACAGATATAATAATAATGCAAATATTTGGAATATTGCAAAGATTACCAAAACGTAATACAGAGACACAAAGTGAGCACATGCTGTTGGAAAAATGGTGCCAATAGACTTGCTCAACACAAGGTTACCACAGACCTGAAATTTATTAAAAATTTGTAAATTTGTATAAATGCAATATCTGCAAAACACAGTAAGGTGAAACACAATAAAACAAGGTACACCTTTATGTGGTTTACACATATTTTCTCCCTTTCAGTAGGTTGCCTCTTCATTCTGTTGATTGTTTCCTTTGCTGTGCAGAAGCCCCTCAGTTTGATGTCATCTCACTTGCCAATTTTGTCATTGTTGCCTGTGCTGTTGGTGTCATATCCAAGAAATCATTGCCAAGACCAATTAATGTCAGGAAACTTTTTTCCTATATTTTCGTTCAGTAGTTTTACAGTTTCAGGTCTTACAATTACGTCTTTAATCCATTTCGATTTACTTTTTGTGTGTAGTGTAAGATAAAGTTCCAATTTCATTCTTTTGCATCTGCATATACAATTTTCCCAACACCATTTGTTGCAGAAACTATCCTTTCCCCATTTTATATTCTTGGCACTCTTGTCAAAGATCAATTGACTATATTTGTGGATTTATTTCTGGACTCTCTATTCTCTTCCATTGGTTTATGTATCTATATGCCAGTACCATACTGTTTTAATTACTGTAACTGTGTAGTATGTTTTGAAATTAGGAAATGTGATGCTTCTAGCTTTGTTCTTCTTTCTCAAGATTACTTTGTCTACTTGGGGTCCTTTGTGGTTCCTTCTGAGTTTTAGGACTGTTTTCTCTATTTTTGTAAAAAAAAAAAAAAAAAAGTCATTAGGATTTCCCTGGGGATTGCATTGACTCAGTAGGTAGCTTTGGGTAGTACAGACATTTTAACAATATAAATCTTCCAATTTGTGAACATGGGATTTTTTTCCATTTATTTGTATCTTCTTTCATTTCTTATATCACTGTTTTGTAGTTTTCAGTATAAAGGTCTTTCTCCTCCTTGGTTAATTCCTAAGTGTTTTGTTATTTTTGATGTTGTTGTAAATGAGATTGTTTTTTAATTTCATTTTCAGATAGTTCATTGTTTGTATGTAAAACTGCAACTGATTTTATACATCAATTTTGTATCCTGCAACTTTGCTGAATTCATTTATTAGTTCTAATAGTTTTTTGGTGAAATTTTTATATTTTTGTATGTATAAGATCATGCCATCTGCAAGCAGATAATTTTACTTCTTCCTTTTGAATTTTGATGCTTTTTATTTCTTTTTCTTGCCTATATGCTTTGGCTGGGACTTCCTGTGGTGTGCTGAATAGAAGTGATGAGAGTGGGCATCTTTGCCTTCTTCCTAATCCTAGAGGAAAAAGCTTTTGCTTTTTCACCATTAAGTATAATATTAGCTGTGGGCTTTTCACATACAGCTTTAATTATAGTCAGTTAAATTTCTTCTATACCTAGTTTATTGAGAGTGTTTAATCATGAAATGGTGTTGAATTTTGTTAAATGCTTTTTTTGTATCTATTGAGATCACTATGTTATTTTTGTCCTTCACACTGTTAATGTGGTATATCACATTAATTGATTTACACGTGTTGAATCATCCTTGCGTTTCAGGGATAAATCCCACTTGGTCATAGTGCTGTTGAGTTCAGTTTCCTAATACTTTATTAAGGATTTTTGCTTCTGTGGACCTCAGGAATATTAGCCTATAGTTTCTTTTCTTGTAGTGCCTTCATCTGACTTTGGTATCGGCATACACTGGCTTCATAAAATGAGTTTGGAAGTGTTCCCTTTATGTTATTGATGACGCAGTTTACATCTTTTTATGTTGTGTATCCATTAACACATTTTTATATAGTTAGTGTTAATACTTTGTCTTTTAACTTTTAAGTTAGAATTAAAATTATTTACATATCAACATTACAGTATTCTATGTTTGTCTACATATTTACCTTTACGAATGAACTTTATACTTTCATATGCTTTCTTGTTGCTGTTTAGTATGCTTTCATTTCAACTTGAAAAACTCTCCTTAGCATTTCTTGTATGTCATATATGGTGGTGATGAATACCCTCAACTTTTGTTTGGGAAATTTTTTCTCTCTCCTTTTTTTTTTTGGAGGATAGTTTTGCCAGGTATAGTGTTCTTTGGTTGGCACTTTTTTCTTTTAGAACGTTGAATATATCATCCCACTCCTTTCTGACCTGAAAGATTTTTGCTAAGAAATCTGCCAATAGTCTTATGAGGGCTTCCTTTTATGTGACAAGTTCCTTTTCTCTTGCTGCTCAAAAAATTGTCTTTGACTTTTGACAATTTGATTACAATGTCTCAGTATGAACTGTTTTGTTTTGTTTTGTTTTGTTTGAGATGGAGTCTCGCTCTGTTATCCAGGCTGGAGTGCAGTGGTGTGATCTCGGCTCACTGCAAGCCCCACCTCCCGGGTTCACACCATTCTCCTGCCTCAGCCTCCCGAGTAGCTGTGTCTACAGGCGCCTGCCACCGCGCCCGGCTAATTTTTTGTATTTTTAGTAGAGACGAGGTTTCACCGTGTTAGCCAGGATGGTCTCGATCTCCTGACCTCGTGATCCACCCACCTCAGCCTCCCAAAGTGCTGGGATTACAGGCGTGAGCCACCATGCCTGGTCCTCAGTTTGAACTACTTTGGCTTTATCCTGTTCGTGATTCATTGAGCTTCATGAATCCGGATATCCATTTCCCTCTCCAGATTTGGGATGTTTTGACCATTATTTCTTTTAATAAGCTTTCTTCCTCAGTTTCTTTCTTCACCTTCTAGGATTCTCAAAATGTATACATTGATTAGCTTAATGGTGTCCTATAACTTCCTTAGGCTATCTTCAATTTTTCATTCTTTTTTTTTTCCTTTTTACTCTTCTGACTAGATAATTTCAAATGACCTGTCTTTGAGTTTGTTGATTCTTTCCTCTACTAACTCAGGTCTGCTCTTGAGCCCTGTAGTGATTATTTTCAGTTCAGTTAATATTCTTCAGCTTTACAATTTGTGTTTTGTTCTCTGTTTTATAGTTTCTATTTCTTTGTTGATATTCTAATTTTATGCATACATAGTTTTCTGATTTCCCTCAGTTGCCTGTGTTCTCTGGTAACTCTCTGAGCTTCATAAGATGATTATTTTTAATTCTTTGTCTGATCTCTGTCTATAGATCTCCATTTCTTTAGGGTAGGTTACTGGTGATTTGTTTTGTTCATTTAGTTGTGTCCCATTTCCCTCTTTCTTCATGTTCCTTATAGCTTTATGTTGGTATCTGTCCATTTGAAGAAACAGCCACCTCTCCCAGTCCTTATGGCTTTAGCAGGGAAAGATCTTCACCAATCAGCCTAGCTATAGATTCTGGGAAGCTCTCAAACTTTTTCTGTGGATGTGTCTTCCCTGGACTTGTGCATTTTAATTATAGGGATTTACTGGTTTCTTTTTTCAGGAGCCCATAATCTCTTGCTCCTTCTGGTGTCTCACTACTATACCATAGGCCAGGGTGCCCCACTCTTCTCCCTCCCTCCGTGGGGAGAAGTCATGAGTTTTGCACCTTTTCCCAATCAGCCAGAGCTGTGCTGGCCACAGCAAACCAACTGCCCCTTTTCTTTGTTCTTAGCTTTCCTCAGGCATTTAAACTATTCTTTGTCCCTCAGCACGCTGGGTGAAGCAAGATATAAATTGGTCCCTTGGGCAACACATAAAAAATTCAGAGTTGGATATTAATTCCACTCTCTCGGGGAGAGTGAGGCCAGGGTGGTCTTTCTGGGCACTGTGCTGTGCCAGCTTGGGGGCAGGCCCGACGTGCATAAAATTGAATTGCCCTTTTTACCTCTTTTAATGCAACTGCTTTGGCTTTTTACTTATCTGGAGTACTGTGACTTCTTAACTGGATTCTAGAGCTCTCATAAAGGTGTTTTGGCCCATATATTTTGTTACATCAATTTTTCAGCAGGGCAATAAATTTTTCAGCGGGGCTGGGACTTTCTATTTTGCCATCTTGCTGACATCACTCTCAAAAATAAAATTGTATTATTACATAATTTAAACTCAAATAGAGACCAAAGGATGGTGTGTGAACATTTATAATTTTTTTCTATAGAGTTACCAGTCCAGTTGAAAATCTCTGATTTCTCTCCCTGTCCCATTTACTCCTTAATCCTCCCTAGCAAGCACGGATTCTTAGTTATTCAGTTCTCCCTCTACAGGAGCAGAGGACGTGATTAGACCTGGTCAGGTCTCTCAGAAAAACATATCTACAAGGTGAACAGATTTTTTCCTTGCTCGTAGTAGCTGCCTTTCACAGACTACATTCCCTGTGTCATTCACTAGCCTATGTTTCCTTCATCCTACCTGAAACTCCCTCGTGGGCAAGGGATGAGAGAGGTGAGAAAAAGAAGGAGAGAGAAGGACCCCCTCCCAAGTCAACTGGGAATGACCAGTCTCTGATGTCCCCAGCCCATGAACACCATATGGGGCAACTGCGCTGTTTGCAGAACACTGTGAAATGCTGATATGTTTAATTCCTTCATGCTAAGAACAATTTTATCAATGAAAACTGTGTCCACAAGACATGTGTGTACAACACGAAGTGACTTCTGTGAGCACAGGGAGAAAACAAATGAAGGCCACCCAAATGAGAACAAGCAGAGGCTATTTATTTAGAACTTGCTATAGCAAAAGAGTCAGTGACCATCACTTGTGTTCGGCAGACTCAAAGACAGGCAGATGAGTGGGAAAGCTTTTTAGTGGAAAAAGGAAAGGCTTCAGATATTCCCTGATTGGAGGCTGTTGGCGTGGGGAAGCTGTAGGCTGGCTAAGTGCAAAGGGGACATCCCATGCAATTGGTTAGCAGAGCATCTTTGGGTTTCTCCAGTTGGTCCTAAGTAGGAGCAAAAATTAAGCAAGTTGATAATTATTAGTCAAGTTGTGGCCATTTGGAGCCAACTGTTACAAAGGTTATTGTTTGGCTTCCTGGAGTGGTTGCTGTTGTACTGGATACTGTCAATAATAGGTTGCCATCCTAGGCCAGTTGCTGCAGGTTGTGGGTCAGACTATATATATTTTTATATATAGCCTGGCCATTGCCTGTTTATATATTCAGTCCCTCAACACATATCTAGAGCGAAAACAATCATTTAAAAATAAGCAGAAAACCTCTGCTATACAAGGAAAGAACAGGCTGTAGAGCCAGGACCTGACTTGATTTCTGGCTCTGCTACCTCTGGCCGGTCACTGAGCACCTCCGAGCTCCCTTTCCTGGAGCATAAAATGAAGATGGGAATGTCGTCCAGAAAAATTGTTATGAAAATCTGCAAGGTGAGACCCATGCACAAAGCATGGTCTGGTGATTGGGGTCTCCTGCCCTTTTCCTGTCACTGCCAAGTTCACACTGAGGTCTAAAGGGCGAGGCCTAACACCTTCTCTGTCCTTGACACATTTGCATTTTATCAGGGATAAGGCCCAGGTTTGAAAAAAGGGAACAGCTTCAGAGTCGTGGGATTCTCAAGGGGCATCTCCGATGCCAGCAACTAAACTGCATCACAAAAGTCAGGGAAGCTTGGATTGTAGTCTCTCCCACCCTTCCTATAAATACTTCTCTTCCTGGGGCCTGCCCACTAGGTACCCCTGCCATATTCCATCAGTGAAACGCATGAACCAAAAAGTATTTGAGACAGATCTCAGTCGGTTTAGTTTCATTTTGCCAAGGTTGAGGACAGCCCAAGGAAAAAAGACACAAGTCACAGTAGGATTTGTGGACTGTGCTTTTTCCAAAAGAGGATTTTAAGAACTTTAAAAAGGAAAGAGCAGACAGGAGGGGAAGGAGGGAAGAAAAAAAGGGACAGTAGGTGCTGAGGTGAGTGGTCACAGTCTTGTGAGGCTTTGCTGAGCGCTCGCTGAATCCACATGTGAAAGGAGGGGTAGAGGTATGTTAATTATGCGTTTGTCTCACGCTCAGTAAATCTGCATTTTATATGAGATAAAGTAAATGTAGAGTAGAGGAAGAGGTCAAATACACATTTCTCTCAGAGGGATGATTTCTAGTCTTGTCTTTGTCCTGTACCTGTGAAGATACACTGTTAATTTATATTGTCAGGGTGAAACAAAACAAAACTCCGTTTTAGGGCTCACAAAGAATTTCCTTGTGAGCAGTTAGTGAGGGAGGCCACCTGGGGAGATAGGTGACCTATCTTCTGTCTTTGTAGCCATCTGTTTAGGAACAAAAGGAAGGCAGTTTTTGTATGATTCAGTTCCCAAGTGTAACTTTCCCTTTGGCATAGTGAGTTTAGGGTCCCGAGATTTTATTTTCCTTTCACATTAAGGATAGCTAATGCTGGGTGTGGCGGTTCACACCAGCACTTTGGGAGGCCAAAGCAGGTGGATCACTTGAACTCAGAGTTCAAGGCCAGCCTGGGCAACATGGTGAAACCCTGTGTCTACAGAAAAATACCAAAAAAAATAACCAGGCATGGTGGTGCACACCTGTAGTCCCAACTACTCAGGAGGCTGAGGTGGGAGGATTGCTTGAGCCCAGCAGGTCAAGGCTGCAGTGAGCCATGATGGTGCCACTGCACTCTGGCCTGAGCAACAGAGTGAGATCCTGTCTCAAAAAAAAAAAGAAAGAAAAGAAAAGATAACAAGGCCGGGCGCGGTGGCTCACGCCTGTAATCCCAGCACTTTGGGAGGCCGAGGTGGGCGGATCACAAGGTCAGGAGATCGAGACCATCCTGGCTAACACGGTGAAACCCTGTCTCTACTAAAAAAATACAAAAAATTAGCCAGGCGTGGTGGTGGGCACCTGTAGTCCCAGCTACTCGGGAGGCTGAGGCAGGAGAATGGCATGAACCCGGGAGGCAGAGCTTGCAGTGAGCCGAGATCGCGCCACTGCACTCCAGCCTGGGTGACAGAGCAAGACTCCATCTCAAAAAAAAAAAAAAAAAAGAAAAGAAAACAAATGAGCACAGGGATTGCTAAGCGGGTTGCAAGTTTAAATAAAGTGGTCAGGAAGGCTTTGTTGAGAAAGTGGACATTTTAGCCAGGGTGTGGAGGAAACAAAAGAGGGGACCAGGTCATTCTCTGGAGAAGAGCATTGGGATATGGAGAGCCAGGTGCAGATGCCCTGAGGTTTGCATGAACTGATGTGTTCAAGGAATAAGCCACAGGCCCATGGTCAACCAAGTAGGAACATATAAGGCAGTAAAAGGACCTTGGGTTTTACTTTGGCTATTTATAATAATCCAAGCAGCCAGTAGAAGCTGGGAGCAGGGTGGTAGTAATGGACTGATGAGAAGTGGTCAAGTTCTAGATAGATTTTGAAGGCAAATTAACAATTTGCTAATGAACATATGAAAAAAAAAAAGCTCAACATCACTGATCATTAGAGAAGTGCAAATCAAAACTACCATGAGATACCATCTCACACCAATCAGAATGGCTATTATTAAAAAGACTACTATTAAAAAACAGATGCTGGTAAGGTTGTGGAGAAAAAGGAACGCTTATACACTGTTGGTGGGAGTGTAAATTAGTTTAACCATTGTAGAAAACAGTGTGGTGATTCCTCAAAGACCTAAAAACAGAACTACCATTCGACGCAGCAATCTCATTACTGGGTATATACCCAAAAGAATATTGATAATCCTACTGTGTCCGGAATTGGTGGGTTCTTGGTCTCACTGACTTCAAGAATGAAGCCGCGGACCCTCGCGGTGAGTGTTACAGTTCTTAAAGGCGGCATGTCCAGAGTTTGTTCCTTCTGACGTTCGGATGTGTTCAGAGTTTCTTCCTTCTGGTGGGTTCGTGGTCTCACTGGCTTCAGGAGTGAAGCTGCAGACCTTCGCGGTGAGTGTTACAGCTAATAAAGGCAGTGTGGACCCAAAGAGTGAGCAGCAGCAAGATTTATTGCAAAGAGTGAAGGAACACAGCTTCCATGGTGTGGAAGGGGACGGGAGCAGGTTGCCACGGCTGGCTCTGGCAGCCTGCTTTTATTCTCTTATCTGGCCCCACCCACATCCTGCTGATTGGTAGAGCTGAGTGGTCTGTTTTGACTGGGTGCTGATTGGTGCATTTACAATCCCTGAGCTAGACACAAAGGTTCTCCACCTCCCCACCAGATTAGCTAGATATAGAGTGTCCACACGAAGGTTCTCCAAGTACCCACCAGAGTAGCTAGATACAGAGTGTCGATTGGTGCATTCACAAACCCTGAGCTAGACACAGGATGCTGATTGGTGTATTTACAAACTTTGAGCTAGATACAGAGTGCCGATTGGTGTATTTACAATCCCTGAGCTAGACATGAAAGTTCTCCACGTCCCCACCAGACTCAGGAGCCCAGCTGGCTTCACCCAGTGGATCCCGCACGGGGGCTGCAGGTGGAGCTGCCTGCCAGTCCCGCACGGTTGTGCCCACACTCCTCAGCCCTTAGGTGGTCGATGGGACTGGGTGCCTGGAGCAGGGGGCGGCGCTGGTCAGGGAGGCTCAGCTTTGCAGGAGCCCATGGAGGGTGGGGGAGGCTCACGCATGGCGGGCTGCAGGTCCCCAGCCCTGCCACGCGGGAAGGCAGCTAAGGCCCAGGGAGAAATTGAGCACAGCAGCTGCTGGCCCAGGTGCTAAGCCCCTCACTGTCTGGGGCCGGTGGGGCCAGTGGAGCCAGCCGGCCGCTCCCAGTGCGGGGTCCGCGGAGCCCACGCCCACCCGGAAGTCACACTGGCCCTGTTCCCCCGGCACCTCTCCCTCCCCGCCTCTCCCTCCACACCTCCCCGCAAGCTGAGGGAGCCGGCTCTGGCCTTGGCCAGCCCAGAAGGGGGCTCCCACAGTGCAGTGGCGGGTTGAAGGGCTCCTCAAGTGCCGCCAAAGTGGGAGCCCAGGCAGAGGAGGCCCCGAGAGCGAGTGAGGGCTGTGAGGGCTGCCAGCACGCTGTCACCTCTCACTACCATAAAGACATATGCACACGAATGTTCATTGCAGCACTGTTCAAAATAGCAAAGACATGGAATCAAACTAAATGTCTGTTGTGGTAGACTGGATAAGAAAAATATGGTACATATACACCATGGAATATTATGCAGCCATAAAAAAAAGAACGAGGTCATGTCCTTTGCAGGAACATGGGTGGAGCTGGAATCCATTATCCTTAGCAAACTAACGTAGGAACAGAAAACCAAATACTGCATGTTCTCACTTATAAGTGGGAGATAAATGATGAGAACACATGGACCCATAGAGGGGAACAATACACACTGGAACCTTTCAGAGGGTGGAGGTTGGGAGGAGGATCAGGAAAAACAACTAATGGGTACTAGGCTTAATACCTGGGTAATGAAATAATCTGTACAATAAAACCTCAAGACACAAGTTTGCCTATATAATAAACCTGCACATGTACCTCTGAACCTAAAATGTTAAGAAAAAAAAGAAATCAGTCTTAAGCAAACATGCTAAACAAGTCTACTAGAAATAGGCATATGGATTGCTTGTATCTTCATATTACATGACAGTGTTAGAAGATAATCTAATTTACTACTAAGAAATACAATCAATTATTAAATAAATAATGTTCCAGACAAAATACCTAGCAGTTTAAAAAAAAAGTTGCATTCTTTATCAGATTACCAAGGTAATACATGTTCACAGGGGAAAATTTGAAAAGTAAGGATAAAGAAGAAAAATGAAAAGAATCTTATGTGACATAATCATTTATTCTTACATTTTCTTAAATTTTTAGTGCAAATTGTCATTCATTTTTCAAGAATCTGAAAAATGACCGGCATTTATCGTTATCTTTAAGGTTAGATATTGACATTTGATTTAAGTCATTCAGAGACAATCAGCCATAATGCAAGTGTGCTATATAATCAATACGGCAGAGTCAATAGGGTCAGGGATTTTACATTCTGTCTTTGTTTCAAAGTTTTGGTAATATAATGCACCGTTTATTTTTCTAAATATGACTATAAGTTATTTAAATGGAATAATGTTTATGAAAGACCTCTCAACATCCTTTATAAAATCATTCACAGATTGATCTCTTATAGCCAAAAAATCAAAGCTGTACATGAAAATGGATTTTCCCCTGCTCTATCTACTTTGAAATAATGATTAGATCACAAGCATCTTCTAGCTAAGGTTTCAATCACTTTACCTCCAGTGGATATTTGTTCTCAGTGTTTCTCTGAGCAGCATTAACAATTGCCCTAATAAACCAGTTCTAAATGAGAGAACTGCACTGTACTAAGATGATGATCTGTGACTTGTTTTATTCCTCCTAGTAACTATATGTAGTGAAGAATGGTTAATGTGTTCTTTTCTGGCTTTTTTTCATTATAGTTTGTCTTAATGGTCTCAAAATGTCATGATGAATATTTTGTCAAGTTGTTTCCATTTTTAAAGCCCTGACTTTATAAAGCAAATTTAATATGAATTTTGTGTACCATGAATTAAATGGTACACAAACTAACAAAAAGAAAATAAAAAATTTGCTGATGAATTGGATGTAAATAGGAGAGAAGGTGAGGAGTCAAGGCTGATTGTCATTTGGTGGGGACGGATAGAGCTAAAATGTATTGAGGACCTCATATGTGTACTATATATTCTCCAAACATCACAACTATTTAAAAACATTATAACTACATAAATAGTTGAAACTGTTGTGTCTGAATTCTATCATTAAAAAAAAATGTATCCTCACAATTTAAATGAAGACACCAGTCACGTGATGGTTGAGGATTGAAGGAGTGGAGGTGTTTGATGTGGATTTTTTTTTTAATTTATCTTCTTTACAAATGACAGGAAGACTGACAGCAGCAAAGATGTATTGCAAAACAGTCAGGGTTACCAGAGAGTCATGTTATTATAAAAGGTACCTAGTATTGCTGTATTTCAGCCTGAGTTTAGGTGGATAAAATCCAAGGCCTCGGTTTCTTCCTTTGATGACACTGGCATTTTATTCAAACAGAGGGAAACTGAGACCATCAGGCAGCTGACAGCTGAGCCTGCCTTAAATACAAGTGGAAGAAGAAATCCACGAAAATCTGGGTTCCTCTTATCTAAGTCATGCAATCTGTTGATACTAAATTGCTTGCGCCCTGGATGTGTAGTTGGGTTGTAGCTTTTGGAGACAAATCCAGCACACCTACTATTCCTTGAAGCATTTGAGTGGCTGATGCCTCACCCTGGAAGAACGGAAGCAGGCTGTCATGGACAGTGCAGAGCTGCACTCACACCATGCTGCAGCAGCCATGGACAGTGCAGAGCTGCGCTCACACCATGCTGCAGCGGCCGTGGACGGTGCAGAGCTGCGCTCGCACCATGCTGCAGTGGCAACATCAAGACATTTATAGCAGCATGTGTGTGTGCCAGCAATAGAGTGCAAGAGACAGATGTCCCTGGGAGGTTGGTGGACCACACAGCATACCTACTTGCTGTTTTGGCTTATGTTCCACAGCAGGGCTCCTCAACCTTTAATGAACATTTGAATCCCCAGGGATTTTGATAAAATGCAGATTCTGATTTAGTAGGTCTCAGGTGGGGCCCACAATTCTGTTTTCCTAGCAAGCACCACATGATGCTTATCAGGCTAGACTGTGAACTGTATTTTGAATAGCAAGGTGAGTCTAGACCAAGAGTTAGCAGACTGTTTCTGTAGGATGAATAGTTTAGGTTTTATAGACTAAATGGTAAAATCAAGGATTATTATGTAGATACTTACATAAGAGGAGAGAAAACAAATTTCCACCAAATTTTTATTAATGAAATCTAAAACATAAAACAAAAATAATTGTGTACAATTTTTTGTAAGATAGGTCTACTAATAAAAAGAATGCAACTGTTTTGGGGGAGGGATAACATTTCACTAAATTAATGTTCAAAGTAAGTGCTCCCATTATCAAAATCAATAGCAGATGTCATCTGTCAATGCTGACTTGTAGTGCGACGTTATGTGTTTCATCTTTGCAAATGTCTTTTCACTCAGACAGATACTGCCAAATATGGATGTCAGTCCACAAGCTTGTGATTTTTAATTGAGCATATTCATCATTTGGAAGACATCTATAAATTGTGTTTGATTCTTCTCTTGATATCTGCCTTCTGGCATTGCATAACATTGCAAACTAACCACTTCCAATTGAAGTTGAAGTGGAAGCTTCTCAATTGCACAGTTAAATGGATGTCGAAATTTGGAAATTTCCTTCGTACTTTTGTCAAGTTGTGAAAAGGCTCCTGGAATTGTCATTTGAGCTTGGAAAATATTTCTGCTGCAAATTTGTGTGGAAATGGAGAGCTCACTTCCTGTTTTACCTTTTGACAGCACAGGAAGTATGCAAAGCACCTTGACATTGTTTATGATTCAAGCAACATTAATGTCCCTAAATAACTTTATTGCAATATAAGATTTGCATACAGATGCAATTTTACCTTATAATTTTAGGTTGAATTACTTAAGAAACAGGTCTTCAGCAAAAGCCAATTTTCAAAGCAATTCAGTGTTCAATAATGGAGATTGTCAAAGGTTCTTCTCTTCCAGAAAAGTGTTCATCTCAGCTCTAAGTTCAAAAATTCACAATAAAACTTTACCACTGCTAAGCCACCGTACTGCTGTAAGCTAAGTCAGGATACTCAGCTTCTGTTTTTAACAAACATTAATGAAACTGACGATGTTCACAGAAGTAAATTTCACTCCTGATGCTAAGGGTTCAAAAACTCATGACAGATTCAAACATTGTCCGCAGAGCACTTGCTAGCGATTAGTAAGATAAATAACAATGGGATTTTAAAACCTTACATTTAACAAGCTTTGTAAATTTGTCCAACTAAACCTTTTTCTGCTCCACAGATATTTTTACCACCATCAGTGGTCACTCATCTTAGTGGATTCCACTTATTCAAGTTCACTGAATTAATGTTTCCTTAATGCCTTTGAAAATAGTCTCACCGGCTGGACACGGTGACTCAAACGCCTGTAATCCTAGCACTTTGGGAGGTCGAGGTGGGCAGATCACCTGAGGTCAGCAGTTCCAGACCAGACTCGCCAACATGGTGAAACCCCGTCTCTATTAAAAATACAAAAGTTAGCCAGGCATGGTGGCAGGTACTTGTAATCCCAGCTACTCTGGAGGCTGAGACAGGAGAATCTGTCTCTGGTAGCCAGCCATCATGCCTGGCTAATTAGAGTCTAACATGCCTGGCTAGTTAGAGTCAGGTTTTCACCATGTTGGCTAGGCTGGTCTCAAACTCCCGACATCAGGTGATCTGCCCACCTTGGCCTTGAACCCTGGAGGTGCAGGTTGTGGCGAGCCAAGATCATGCCATTGCACTCCAGCCTGGGAGACAAGAGTGAAACTCTGTCTCAAAAAATAAATAAATAAATAAATAAATAAATAAATAAATAAATAAATAATAAAATAGTCTCACCATAGCTGATTCACTAAGACAGTTCACAGAGGCTAAATTTTCAGTTCCTTTGAACTCAGCATTGACTCCTTGAATAAACAGTAACAACTGAGCATCATCGGTGTTAACATCACTAGCCAAGGAAAGCCACTCAGAATCATTCACCTTGGTTTTGAATTGACAAATAATGTTGTTCCCAACATTCTCAACTCTCCAAACAACTGTTCTTACCAAAAGACTAACAGTTTATTTTCTCTGGACACATTTCTTCAGCAGTTGCAATCAAACATGATTTAATTAACTTACCACCAGCAAATGATTTTTCCTGCTTGGCTAACAAATGAGCCACTCAGAAACTTAACTGGGGTAAAGAAAATTCTGCTGTGATGAGGCATTCCATTTTAAGTTTTCTGATTTTTCTGACCATTGCTTTTCTGTGAGTTGGGGATATTGTGAGTGGTAGGTCTGCTAACAGTGATATGTATTATATATTCTTCTAGCATAGATATAGCATCATTGCATAGTACAACAGTGCTTTGCCATGTAATTTGTTAGCAAATAAAGCACCCTTCACTGTACCATAAAGATGGGAGGCTCTAAGTCCACTTGTTGTTTCTTGCTTTGACAAAGTAGGCATTTACTGATAATAAATAAAATGTTGGCTGGGTGCGGTGGCTGACACCTGTAATCCCAGCAATTTGGGAGGCCAAGGTGGGCAGATCACCTGATGTCAGGAGTGAGTTCGAGACCAGCCTACCCAACATGATGAAACCCCATCTCTAACTGAAAATACAAAAATTGGGCAGGGCATGGTGGCTCAGGCCTGTAATCCCAGCACTTTGGGAGGCCGAGGCAGGTGGATCACCTGAGGTCAGGAGTTTGAGACCAGCCTGACCAACATGGAGAAACCCTGTCTCTATTAAAAATACAAAATTAGCTGGGCGTGGTGGCGCATGCCTATAATCCCAGCTACTCGAGAGGCTGAGGCAGGAGAATCACTTGAACCTGGGAGGCGGAGGTTGCAGTGAGCCAAGATCGCGCTATTGCACTCCAGCCTGGGCAACAAGAGCGAAACTTCATCTCAAAAAAAAAAAAAAAAAAAAAAATTAGCCTGGCGTGGTGGCACATGCCTGTAATCCCAGCTACTCCAGAGGCTAAGGCAGGAGAATCACTTGAACCTAGGAGGCAGAGGTTGCAGTGAGCCAAGATCGTGCCACTGCACTCCAGCCTGGGTGACAGAGTGAGACTCTGTCTTGAAAAAAATAAAAAAATAAAACGTTGTAGTCTGTACAACATGAAAACAGGCCAAGGCCACAATACATAAATGGAGGAGTGTGGCTGTGTTCCAATAAAACTTTACAAACACATTTGAATTTCGTATAGTTCTCACATGTCATGAAATCATCCTCTTTTTGTTATTTTGCAACCATTTAAAAAATGTAAAAATCATTCTTAGCTCATACAAAAACAGGCAGCAAGACAGATTTAGCCCACAGGCCTTGGTTTGCTAATCCCTGGTCTAGACTCTATAGACAACCCCAAGCATATGAACAAGATATTCATTCTAAAAGGTCATTTTATCAAGAACGATAACTACCCCCATTTATTACTATGAAAGAGGCACATAGTGCTATTCAGATACTTATCAAATACATACAGGAACCTCAGCAGGTCCTTCACACACAAAGGTGGTGTCATCCAGGCACCCTGAAGTGCTCCAGCCCTTTGCATTAATACCCCAGAAAGGGAGGTGGGGCCCTGCAGGAAGCCCAGCCCCCTCCCGTGATATCTGAGTGTCCTTGGAGGTCCCACTCCCCTTTCTTCTGTCCTCGGGCCCTGGGAGTCACTCCCCTCTTTCCTGACACAGCCTGTCCCTCCTAGTGGGTGGCACAGTACAGGAGTGGACCTAATGGGAGTGTGGCACCTCTCCCCCACTCTGCACAGACCCTTTTGTACACAAAAAGAATTCCCTTCTCTTCTGAGCATGAAAGGCAGGCTTGGCTTGGGATGAGAAGGAACTGGTCTTTGAAAGGGGGTCGTACCCTCTAGGAGAGAGTGGAAAACAGCTGAGAGCCTATTATAGTCATTTCCTCTTGCTGCTGTCTTGAATTACAGCAAACTTAGTGGCTTGAAACAGCAACCAAATTTATTATCTTACCCGTCCTTAGGTTAGAAGCCTGCATTAGTCTGTTCTTGCATTGCTGGAAAGAAATGCCTGAGACTGGGAAACTTATAAAGAAAAGAGGTTTAATTGGCTCACAGTTCCACAAGCTGTACAGAAAGCATGATGCTGGCATCTGCTCAGCCTCTGGGGGGGACCTCAGGAAACTTACGGGGGCAGCGTTTTCAGGCTGGCTTCTTTCACTGAGCAATGTGTGTTAGTATAATATGTATTCACTTCCTAGGACTGCCCTGATAGAGCACCACAGGCTGCGTGGCTTATACAACAGAAGTGGACTTTCTCATAGTTCTGCCGGCTAAAAGGATGTCCCTTCCCCACTGCTCTTCAGCAACGTCCCAGAAAGACGGTGCAGTGCTGTAGCTGTTCTCTTATTGGGGGTGCTTGCAAATCATGCAGAACCATCCACACACACGACCTGAGTCTTCTTTTCCTCTGTCGACCGATCGTAGGGAACTTCCAGTGAGGCTGTAGGTGCAGGCAGGGGACCAAAGGTATGATAGCAGGAGTGGGGACCACAGGAATTTGGGCCACTTCTGCATATAACTTCCTGGTGCCTTCGGGGCCTGCTCAGGCCCAGTCACGACTAGCCACTTCCATTTGATGATGGAGTGCTGCTGTGCACGCCTGATGTTATAGTGTCAACCCCCAGCACAGGTCCTGTGGTAACTCAGTGGCCTGTAGTCAAGCATTCAGCATCTACCAAGGCCCAGGAGCAGGCCAAGGGTTGTTTCTTAAAAGGAAAGTCCTTATCCCCAGAGAATGGTAGTGCCTTGCTCCAAAATCCTAGAGACTTGTGCTGCAGTTTGCTTGTCGGGGCCTGCCAAAGGCTCCAAACAGCATCTCCATCTGCCTCTGACACCTCGAGCACCATGGGGTCTGCTGGGTCATATGGCCCGAAGGGGAGAGCAGCTTGCACAGCAGCCTGGACCTGTTGCAGAGCCTTCCCTTGTTCTGGGCACCACTCAAAACTAGCAGCTTTTTGGATCACTAAATTAATGAGCCGGAGTCACACACCCAAATGTTAGGGGCTGCCTCCCACAAAATCATATATTGAAGTCCTAACCCGCAGCCTCTCAGAATGTGACTGCATTTGGAGATTGGGGATTTAAAGGGTAATTAGGATAAAATGAGATTAGGATGGACCCTAATCCAGTATGCCTGTTGTCCTTATAAGAAGAGGAGATTAGGACACAGACAGGCACGGAGGTAAGACCATGTGAAGACCCAGGGAGAGGACGCCATCCGCAAGCCAGGGAAAGAGACCTCAGAAGAGACTAACTCTGCTGACACCCTGGCCTTGAACTTCTAAGCTCCAAAATTGTGAGAAAATAAATTTCTGTTGTTTAAGCCACCCAGTCTGTGATGCTTTATTATGGCAGCTCTAGTAAACGAATATATCATCCTTTTGGCTTTTCCAGAATGTTGTATTGTTGGAATCATATAGTATGTAGCCTTTTCAGACTTCTTTCACTTAGTAAAATGCATTTAAGGTGGCTCCATGTCTTTTCATGGTGTGATAGTTCATTTCTTTTCATCATCAAATAGTAGTTTGTTTATTCATTCACCTGTTGGACATCTTGGTTGCCTCCAAGTTTTGGCAATCGTGAGTAAAGCTGCTGTGAGCATTCGTGTGCAGGTTTTTGTGTGGATGTAAGTTCTCAACTCATTTGGGTAAATACCAAGGAGTGTGATTGCTGGATCATGTGGTAAGAGTATATTTAGCTTTGCAGGAAACTACCAAATTGTCTTTTAAAGCAGCTGTAACATTTTGCATTCCCACCAGCAATGAATGAGAGTTCCTGTTCCTCCACATCCTCACCAGCATTTGGTGGTGTTGGTGTTTTCAGTCTTAGCCACCTTGCCTGTGACCGTTCGGTCCCAGCACCATCTTTTGAAAAGACTATCCTTTCTCCACTGACTTGTGTTTCCTCCTTTGTCAAAGATCAGTTGACTGTATTTCTGTGAGTCTATTTCTGGGCTGTCTCTTCCATTGATCTGCATGTCTGTTGTTGCACCAGATCACTGTAGCTTTATGTTATAGTGAGTCTTGAAATCATGTAGTGTCAGTCCTCTGACTTCATTCTTCTTCAATATTGTGTTGGCTGTTGACTTTCCCTTTAGCACATTCCTTTTCTGACTAAATTAGCCAGAGTTGGCCTCTGTTAAGAATTTAATAGGCCTTGGTGAACAATAATTCACCATTTCCACTTTATCTTCTTCCTCTTTTAGGATTCTTAGGAACCTAGATTTCTTGGATTCTCTATTGTCATTTCTGATTTAAACAGCAAATGCCACTGCTTATTAATAACCATTTGTGCAAATCTCTGTGCTGTGAACACTGATGAATATAAGTAAATCGAAGTGGACCGCAGAATTCAGTGAGCAGGAGAAGCTGTCTCTGAGCTCCCAGGCCTCTGCCCCTCTCTGGGGCACCTCCTCGCGCCCTGGGGTTTCTTCTCCATGTTTATCCTGGGATCTTCTGATCCACTGTGCCAGTGGGCACTTCCTTCCTGGACGGTGGGTCCTTCTTTCCCTTTCTGTCTCTGGGGTAGGCTTTCAGCATGGAGCTGCTGTTGCTCTGTTAATACCCTCCCATGCCTGAATCAACCATGTCCTAATAGAATTACGTAACCATGAGTCAAAGCATGAGATTCACCATCAAAAACAGACAGGTAGTGTTAAGTTCCACAACAAAATCACACTGCCTTCATTGTTTGTTTTAAAATAATCAAAATGAATCCTAGCCAAAACCCCAGTGTTTAAGACATAAAATCAAGCCTGTGCTGGTTGGACAGAATGGGACAGGTTGTAAGGAAAAGTAGTCTTTTTTTTTTTTCTTAAGGTTAGAAAACATTTGAGATCAGCCAGCAAAGCTTTCTTTAGTGACACCAGGAACCAGGCTGCTTGGGGTCCTCAGTAGCAGCCTCTGTGTGCGTCCTCCACACCCCCAGCCCTAGTCCGCGCTGGGTGCCCCTCCCTCCTTGCTGTTCAGTGTGGGCCCTTCCCTGCTTACACCCTGTGCCCTCTGCTCTCACTGGGTCCCCACTACCACCCTGCCCAGCCCTGCAAGGCCCTTCCCTAGGCTCAGCAGCTTCCCTGCGCACCCTCTCTGCCAGCTTCTCTGCTGCTCTCCATCTGGGCGGAGCCGCAGGGTGTCAGGCATCCCAAGCCTGGGAGTCCCCACACTTTCCCACCTGCCTTGTGGGGTAGCAGCCCCAGACCCTGTCCCTGGGCCGTCTTTTTATTTCTTTATCTACCAGCTACCTTTTCAAATAAATGTGAGCCCTGGAGTTTGAGACCAACCTGGGCAAGAGACCCCTCTCTACAAAAAATAAAAAATTTCCTGGGCATGGTGGTGCCCACCTGTGGTCCTAGCTGTTCCAGTAACGGATGGGCTGCAGCTTCTGCTCCCCTCATCTTCTGCCTAAACCGGGACCCCAAACGGAAATGATAAGCCTGAAACTCAAAGGCAGAATGTCGGATGTGGAGGCATTTATTGAGCCAATTGTATAAGGATATTGTACATCTCTTGTTTTAATCCAGACCCTTTTCCATTGTAAATGGTAGAATTCTAACTCAAACAAGTGTAAGGTAGAGAGGAGGAGTTTTTTTGACTCAGGTAATCAGGGTTTTAAAGGCAAAAAGTGGGGAAAGAGAGTAGTCTGATACAAAATTATTTGTCAGGAATTTTCATTCGTTTACAGAAGTAACATTGATTAGTAACTGGCTATACATTTTAACCTATGGAGTGTGGGCTATGGTGTCCAGTGTGGCATTGTTAAGTTAATTTATAGCTATTTGTGGCAACAGAAGGCAGTTTTAAGAGATGAATACAGGCTGGCATGATGGCTCGTGCCTATAACCCCAACAATCTGGGATGCTGAGGCAGGAAGATCACTTGAGGCCAGGAGTTCGAGACCAGCCTGGGCAACATAGGCAGAGTTTGTCTCTATAAAAAATCAAAAAATTAGCTGGGTGTGGTGATCTGTGCCTGTGGTCCCAGCTACTCAGGAGGATCCCTTGAGCCCAGGAGATTGAGGCCACAGTGCGCTGTGATCACACCACTCCACTCCAGCCTGGGTAACAGAGTAAGACCCTATGTCTTTAATTAACAACAGCAACAAAAGATGAATACATAGCTCAAAATGGTAGTGCAAGCAGGGGGTGGGGTGGGGGGAGTAAGGCATGATTGTTGTCTCATTTTAATGTCTCTCTGAGCCTGATGATTTAAAAGGACTCACATTCTTCAGGCAAAAGTTATTTACTTTTGGAAGTCCACCTGCTCTCACAGCCAGTGTCATGTAAGCTCTCTCCCCTGTCTTGATTCTGCCCTCTTCTGGCTGCATTTTTACACTTGCTTCCAGGAGCTCCACCTTCATCAAGTCTCAGCAGCACAGTGGAGAGAGGCTCTGGGGGCTCATTGCAATTCTGAGTTGGACAACTCAGGCGGGAGCTTAGAATTGTTTCTAACAGGTGTTTGTTCTTGTCCCAAACCTCAAAGTTTCTTTTTAAGATAAATCTGCTTAATAGTTTCTACAATTATTTCTGAACTTCATTTCACCCTCAGTCTTTGCACAGACATTGATTCCTTCACATTGTTCTTTTATTTTCTTACAGTGATGATACAGACAGAAATACAGATATTTGCTACATCTCTGTAAGAAAATGTAATATTCCTGGATTCCTGTCTTAGACGATGAGTTTTATATTGTGTAATACAAATCAATATTGCAAGCAAAAGACATTTATACATTTTGAAAACAAATTGTTTCCTTGGGAGCCTGCTGATGAAAGGCTGACTCCTCTTGGGAGAAATCACTCAAAGCTCTGAGAGTTTAAACACACTGGGATGGGATGGACGAGTTAGTACTGGTTAGTAGATAAAGTCTCCAAGAAACATCAGAGCCATTTGGGTGGGGAAGGGATCTCCAGCATCATATTTTTGATTTGCTCTTTGGTGTTTTTATTGATGATTTGGTATTTGGCCGCAAACGAGATAGTTAACCCAGATTTCTAAAATCCTGGAACTGAACATTTAGAATATGAAGACTGTGAGATCATAGGTTCATAGATGTGTTGGGTACAACATCTTCCATCAAAGAGAAAGGGGACATTTTTTTCCTGAGCGGTTAGAAGGAAAACATGCTTCCTGCCTATGGAGCAGTGGTCTTAGCGCTCCTCTTGCCCCACCTGTGTGGGTTTTCACTCTTTTGCCCACTCTGCCTTCCCTAAGCACAGTGAACCAGCTGGAGGATGCTCTCTGCTCACCAATTCCAGAGCTTCCCCGGCTTCCTCTGCCCTTGGAATCCCTCTCCCACACTCCTAAGTAGCCAGATCCTCTCCAGATTTAACGGTCGATTACAAGTGTTACCTCCTCTTTGAAACATTTTCTGACCCTCTGTGTTGGAAGTGCTCTTCCTTAAGTTTCCACTCGTTTTATTATGTACTTCCTTCATAATACTCATTACCTTTTATTGTAGATATTTGTAAGTTTCACTTAAATGCATTAGCAGATTATATATTCTGTGCGAGCCATATCCATTCTGATTCATTTCTGTATCCTCCACACCACCCAGCAGAATCTGGCATAAAATGCTGTAAACAGGAAAACCAAACCTTGTAAAATATTTTATTAATAAAGAGGTTTATTCTGAGCCAATGTGGCTGCTCGCGGCTGGCAGAAAACACAAACCCAGGAAGCCTTGATTAAGTCGCCCCGAGGCAGTTGGGTTACAGCTTGATTTTACACATTAGGGAGACTGGAGTTGCAGGTAAAATCATAAAGCAACACATGGAAATTCTACATTAATTTGGCCCAAAAAGGCGAGACATCTGGAAGCAGAGGCTTACAAGTCATAGGTGGGTTTTAGGGATTCTTTATTTAGTTGGCAATGGGTTGAAAGAGTTAAGTTTTTCTTTTCTTTTCTTTTCTTTTTTTTTTGAGACAGAGTCTCGCTCTTTCGCCCAGGCCGAACTGCAGTGGCGCTATCTCGGCTCACTGCAAGCTCTGCCTCCCAGGTTCACAACATTCTCCTGCCTCAGCCTCCCACTTTTTTTTTTTTTTTTTGAGGCAGAGTATCCCTCTGTCACCCAAGCTGGAGTGCAGTGGCACGATCTCAGCTCACTGCAGCCTCCACCTCCCAGGTTCAAGCGATTCTTCTGCCTCAGCCTCCTGAGTAGCTGGGATTACAGGTGCCGGCACCACGCCCAGCTAATTTTTGTAGTTTTAGTAGAGATGGGGGTTTCCCCACGTTGGCCACGCTGGTCTCGAACTCCTGATCTCAGGTAATCTGCCTGCCTCGGCCTCCCAAAATGCCGGGATCACAGGTGTGAGCCACCATACCTGGCCAAGTTAAGTTTTTCTAAAGACTTGCTGGGCACAGTGGCTCACGCCTGTAATCCCAGCACTTTGGGAGGCCAACGCAGGTGGATCACCTGAGGTCAGGAGTTCGAGACCAGCCTGGCCAACATGGTGAAACCCCATCTCTACTAAAAATACAAAAATTAGCCAGGCATGGTGGCATGCACCTGTAGTCCCAGCTACTAAGGAGGCTGAAGCAGGAAAATCTCTCAAACACAGGAGGTGGAGGTTACAGTGACCTGAGATCGCGTCACTGCACCCCAGCCTGGGTAACAGAGTGAGACTCCATCTCAAAAAGGAAAAAAAATAAAATAAAATAAAGACTTGAAGTCAGTACAAAGGATGCTTAAGTTAAGGGGGTCGGCTATCTGTCATGTGATACTATACCAGAGTCAAATTGGAAAGTAAGCCATGTCATATCGAGTTAATTAAAAACAAACAAACAAAAACCTTTAGCAAGCTTTCATAGTTTGCAGCATGTGACTTAACCCTTGCCTAGCATGGCCTTGGGTCCTGTTTATAATCTGGTGTCTTATTGCCACACAGAATCTATTGCATTAGACTGATGATCTCTGTTTTAATGTTAATTCCAGTCATTTGTGCCTAAACTCCAAAAAGAATGGGGTATGAGGTGTGTCTGACTTCCCTTACCATCATGGCCAGGAATTCAGTTTTTGTTGTTGTTGTTGTTTTTGAGACGGAGTCTCACTCTGTTGCCCAAGCTGGAGTGCAGTGCTGTGATCTCAGCTCACTGAAACCTCCGCCTCCTGGGTTCAAGCGATTATCGTGTCTCAGCCTCCGGAGTAGCTGGGATTACAGGCCCACGCCACTATGCCCAGCTAATTTTTGTATTTTTAGTAGAGACGGGGTTTCTCCATGTTGGCCAGGCTGGTTCTCCAACTCCTGACCTCAGGTGATCCACCCGCCTTGGCCTCCCAAAGTGCTGGGATTACAGGCGTGAGCCACCGTGCCCGACTGGGAATTCAGTTTTTAAGGTTTTTCTGAGGTTACCCTTGGCCAAGAAGCTTCATTCAGTCAGTGGGGGGCCTTAGGATTTTATTTTTAGTTTACGATAGGTCGAATATAGTCCTTGACAAAACAGAAGAAAGAACGTAGAAATCCCACTGCGCAATTGAATTCCAATCCAGAAAGATTGCCATTTGTTTTTTTATTTCCCCTAGTGCAGAAATAACTCACATATCATGAATTCACACCTCTTAAAATTGTACAATTCAGTGTGTTTAGCATATTCACAAGGCCGTGGAACCATCACCACCGTCCTTGGGAGCCCACTGCTGAAGGACTGGAATATCTAATTCCCGAATGTTTTCATCATTCTGCAAAGAAGCCCTGGACCCACTAGCAGTCACTCCCCGTTTCCCCTCCTGCTCTTCCTCCCAACAACCATTAGTCTATTTTCTCTCTTTGCAGATTTGCCTATTCTGGACATTTGACATAAATAATCTTATAATATGTGGTCTTTTGTGACTAGCTTCTTTTTCTTAGCATAATGTTTTTATCTATGTGTAACATACATCTCTACTTCATTCCTTTTTGTGGTTGAACAATATTCCATCATATAGGTATACCATATTTTGTCTATTTATCATTGGTGGACATTTGCGTGTTTCTGCTTCTGTGCTTTCATGAATAATGCTGCTATGGACATTTGTGTACAGGTTTTTGTCTAAATATATGCTTATTTCTCTTGGGTATTACCAAGAATTGGAATTGCTGGGTCATGTGGTAACTGTATGTTCAACTTTTTAAGAAAAACGTAAACAGTTTTCCAATGTGGCTGCATCATTTTACTTTCCCACCAGCAGTGTATGAAGGGTTCTAATTTTTCCACATCTCACCGACACTCGTTACTGTCTTTTTTATTGTAGCCATCCTAGTGGATGTGAGATGTTATTCACTGTGCTTTTGATTTGCAGTTCCTTAATTAATAATGTTGAGTATCATTTCTTATGCAAATTGGTTATTTGTATATCTTCTTTAGAGAAATGTCTGTTCAAATCCTTTGTTCCTATTTTAATTGGGTTATTTGTCATTTTTTCTCATTTGTTCTCAAGCACACGTAACTCTACATTTAGTCTGTCCTCACCCATGGGTATCTGTTCAAAAAGGAATAGTGTCAAGTTTTGCCCCGATTTTATCATTTCAATTGTGTTGTATGTTAGCAATATTCAGTGCTAACAAGTTTTAACTACATGGTTCTAAATATGGATCTTCCCAACATTTACAAATGGAGGAGGGATAGACGGAGTGTTCAAAAGAAAATGTTAATATGCTTTGAAACATTGTTTTGTCAATGTAAATGTTAAATCAGCAGAACCCAGTAACTGATGAGAAGCACAGTAAGTTAGCTACAGCAATCACATAAGCAGAAGCACAGGGAAATTCACGAAGAGGGAAACAGCAAAAATAGAAAGGCGGGAACACAGGAGTGGGTATAGGGATGCCTACAGTTATGTATTCATGAAGTAAGAGCTTTCTGGGCAGTGATTAACTGATTTGTCAGAAATTGCAGACAGCAAGGAAAGAAGAAATAAAACTTGCTTGGAAGGAAGTAGTGTTGTCTGGTCCGCTGTGGACACCTGGACATGTGAAGAGAAGACTCTGATCTGTGCTCAGAGTCGGGTTGTTTCTCGAACGGCCGCCTGGTGGCGCTGTGGCACAGGGGCGCTGGCGAGGGAAAGGCTCCTGCAATGCACCAAGCTGCGCCCGGGCGCGGGGAGCCGTCGACTGGGGACTTGGAGGTGTGGGCCTCTCGTGCTGTGTCTGAGGGACAGCTGTCATGTGTGAAGCTCCTGCTATATAAAAGGGTGAGCTGTTTCCCTCTGCTCACCCTTTAAACTGCTCTGCCTGCTGAATGCTGTACCCAGGTGGCGGAGAGCAGAAGCGAAACTGGGGAGTGAGGCCAGTGAGGCTGGGGGGCTTGCTGGACACAGCCAGTTCTCCAGAGCTGGAGCTAAACGGCAGCAAGGTCCCAGCCTCTCACTGGTGTGTTCTCATTTTCATCTTTTGGAGATGTTTTTTCTGTCTTAAAAAACATTCCAAGTCCATCAACGGATGACTGGATAAAGCAAATGTGGTACTTATACACTATGGAATACTATTCAGCTGTAAAAAGAGTAAAATCATGTCTTCTTGAGGGTAATTCTCTAAGTGAAATAACTCAGAAATAGAAGTCAAATGCCACATGTTCTCATAAGTGAGAGTGAAACAATGTGTGCACGCGGACACAGGAGTGGAAGAACAGACATTAGAGAGGCAGGATGTGAGGGAGGGAGGGACGATTACTTACTGGGTACAGTGTACGCTCTTCAAGTGATGCCTACACTATGCTCTATAGCCATGCAACAAAACTGCACTTGTATCCCCTATGTCTATCACTGAAAAAAAAAAAAAAAAAAAGTCCAAGCCCAGAACTTGTGTGTGCGTGTCATTCTGCACATTCCTGGACAGGTCCTGTGTCCGTTCTGTAGAACTGCGCCATCATTTCTCTCCTGGAGGAGGCCCCCAGCCTCACCAGAAGGGATGAAGATGTGGGGTGGCCTCATCCTTTTTGAAACAGCTCTTAGTTCAGATGAAACCATCTTTCCAGAGGCTCGGTGGTTTCTCGATGGAACTGGGGGTTAGGGAAGAGCAATAAGCTTTTCTTTTTCTTTTTCTTTTTTTTTTTTTTTTGAGACAGCCTCGCTCTGTCACCAGACTGGAGTGCAGTGGCGCGATCTCAGCTCACTGCAACCTCCGCCTCCCAGTTCAAGCGATTCTCCTGCCTCAGCCTCCTGAGTAGCCAGGACTACAGGCGTGCACCACCACGCCCAGCTAATTTTTGTATTTTTAGTAGAGACGGGGTTTCATCATGTTGGCCAGGATGGTTTCGATCCCTTGACCTCGTGATCCACCCGCCTTGGCCTTCCAGAGTTCTGGGATTACAGGCGTGACCCACCGCGCCGGGTGTAGATTTTCTTTACAGGACAGGATCAAATCACATAGAATGGATTCAGTGGAGGCAATCATGTCTGGGCTCTGAGGGCTGGAGCATGGCTGTGTGGCTTAAATGATATGTCCTTGGAGAGCAGCAATTTCTGAGAGATTAGCAATAGCTTGCATTCTAGATAGCATGGGAGTTTCATAGGCTCGCCTAGGACTCTAAAGATCTCATGGCATCGTTCAACAGGTGAGGTTTTAGGTTGCAAAGGGAATACTACCAGATCCTAAGCAGGACCACTGCTGGGGTCATTCTGTAGTTCACTCAGTAAGCATCAATGATCTGATGAGCATGTAGGAAATAGCCTTTGGGGGGATTTATTCTACTGGAGAAACTTGGCATTCTCAGAGAACCACAGCAACCAGGCAGGAAGCTAAAGGGCAAATGGCATTTAGACCAGCGTCCCCTATCTGATGCAGGAGTGCTTGAACCAAGTATAGAACCGGTTTGATGGACTTGCAGAGAAGTGGGAAGAGAGCATCCTAGATAAAGAGAAAGGCTGGACTCAGGTGGGCACAGGGAAAACGCCAGGCCGACGTGAGGATTGGTGGGCATTTGATAAGGTTTTGTTTATTGTTTTTGTGGGGGTTTTTTTTGAGATGGAGTTTCGCCCTTATCACCCAGGTTATAGTGCAATGGCACGATCTTGGCTCACTGCAACCTCCACCTCCCAGGTTCAAGTGATTCTCCTGCCTCAACCTCCCAAGTAGCTGGAACTACAGGCTCGCACCACCACACCCGTCTAATTTTTGTGTTTTTGGTAGAGACGGGGTTTCACCATGTTGACCAGGCTGGTCTTGAACTCCTGACCTCAAGTGATCCACCCGCCTTGCCCTTCCAAAGTGCTGGGATTACTGGTGTGAGCCACTGTGCCCGACCTGATAAGGTATTGATAAGTGGTATTAATAAGTGAGTTGAGCTCAATGAAGAGAGTGATGATAAGGAATGGATCATTTAAATAAGAGTAGCTCACTGGTCTCTTTAATTAAAAAGAATGTGACCAGGTGTGAAGCTCACACCTGTAATCCTAGCACTTTAGGAGGCTGAGGCAGGAGAATCACTTGAGCCCAGGAGTTCGAGATCAGCCTGGGCAACATGGCAAAACCTTGCCTCTACTAAAACTATAAAAAGTTGGCCAGGTGTGGTGGCATGCACCTGTAGTAACAGCTACTTGGGAGGCTGAGTTGAGAGGATTGCCTGAGCCCTAGAGGTGGAGGAGTTTGCAGTGAGCCGAGATTGTGCCACTGCATTCCAGCCTGAGCCACAGAGTGAGAACCTGTCTCAAAAAAAAAAAAAGAAAGAGAGAAAGAAAGGAGGGAGGGAGGGAAGGAAGGAAAGGAAGGAAGGAAGGAAGGAAGGGAGAAAAAAATGCAAGGTCACAGTAAAAAGTTCAGAGAATGGAAAAGGACAGAGAGCAACACTGGAAACCTCCCTTCCTGGGTCCCAATTGTTTATCGGATGCCTTCGAGCCCTCCCCCTGTTCATATACAAGAATCTATTAACATAGTGATTTGATATGCAGAGTTTACTACTCTCTGTCTTGTCCCGCAACTTACTCTGGGACTTAACATGCCAGTACATCTCCAAATCTAGTCTATTTTCTTCCCACAGAGGGAGAGACTTCTTTTATTAAAGATACTTCTGGCTGGGCATGGTGGTTCACATGTAATTCCAACACTTCGAGAGGCTGAGGCGGGAAGATTGCTTGAGGCCAGGAGTTCCAGACCAGCCTGAGCAACATAGTGAGACTTCGTGTCTACAAAAAATTTAAAAATTAGCCATGCATGGTGGCACACACCTATAGTCTTAGCTACTCAGGAGGCCAAGGCGGGAGGATCACTTGAACCCACGTGTTAGAGGCTGCAATAAGCTATGATCACACCACTGCGTTCCAGCCTGGGCAACAGAGCAAGACCCTATCTCTATTATTTTTTAAAGATACTTCTTTGTGGTTTTATTTTTTTGTATGTAGAAGTATTAGTTTTATTTTAAATAAGATTTAAAGTATCACATACCTTTAAACTGCATTTGTACAGCAGTTGTTCTGAAAGATTTGTACTTGACTTCTGCAACCCCTGTTTGCAGAAGGTGCTTGGTGTGTCTGAGAGATTGAGCCTTGCTGTTTAGAAGCTGCTGGTGGTGATGATAACCTCCTCTAGCTCATGAAGAACAACCTTCACAATCATTTTCCCATGTCAACTGCAGGGTGTAAATTCCCCAGTTGTGTTAGAAGAGAAACAGGACAGCTAAATGCTGTGTGATCCTGGGCCAGCCCCTGGAAGAAGGATGGGGAGATTGCTACAAAGGACACTTGGTTCTGTTAGCAGACTTTGTATATGGATGGTTGATTAGTCAGTAGGACTGTAGCAACATTTGTAGTTATGTAAGAGAATCTCAGCCTTAGGAAATACCTATGGACAAGGGCATACTGGTTCCAGCTTACTTTCAAATGGTTCAGGGGAAAAAAATGTGTAAATACGAATATGAAAACATACAGATAGGGAAAGTATATGATAAAGCAAATGTAGCAAAATGCTAACAATTGAAGTAACTGGGTGAAGAGCATGTGGAACATTTTTATACTATTCTTTCTGTGAGCTTGGAATTATTTCAATTTTTTTAAATTTTGTGGATGCATAGTTGGTGTATCTATTTATGGGTTGCATGAGATATTTTGATACAAGCATCCAATGTGTAACAATCACATGCGGGTAAGTGGAGTATTTCAAACTTTAAAAAATACATTTTGTTAAATATTCATCTGAGGACTACTATATATACAATGAGCTTACTGTGCATGTTTTAATCATCTTTGTAGAAGAGAAAATAGCTTGCTTCATTACAATAATGCCTACCAATGCTTTAAATTGTGTATATTGTTTTCTAGTCAAATTCTAAGAATCCTAAGGCATTTTCTCATCTCCCTCTCCCTGACCTTCAAGTCTGATCAGCCCCCAAGGTCTTCCAAGTCTCTCTGAATGTTTCTCTCTTCCACTCTTCTGAATGTCTGTTGCACTCACCTCCCTGGCTGCACCTCGGGGTCTCTGCAGTGGGTTTCACTGCCCTCCTGCCCACTCTCCCCATCTCTCCAGTCCACTGGTTCACCTTCCTTCTGAAAGCACAGCCCTTGTCAGATCAAAGCTGCCCAGACCTGCCAGTGTGCCAGGGCCACCCCACATAGCAGTGCAGGTTTCCATCCGCACAGGGTCATCTGACCAGAGTAGCCATGGGGACTGAAATCCGGATGCCTCTGCTCTCCAAGCCCTGTGCTGGGCACAGGGACATATCAGCCCAGAGGAAGGGAACCATTTGGGTGAGAAATCTGGCAGAAAACAAACAATCCCCTCAAAACAGGTTACTGAAGAGAGCTTGATGACAGCATTCAGCCTGACATGGGGGAACGGGGGAAGGACCCTGACCTCCTCCCCTCACCCTGCCATTCCCCCTGCACCCACAGGAGCTGGGCCAGGGAACCCAGTGGAGGCTGTCTGCAGAGCCAGCCCCCTGGGCCGGAGAGGGTGGGTCTGCAGGCCGGCAGAACCCCCAGCGTCCAGGCTCTGCTTCACAGAAGGCAGTGACTTGGGGCTGACAGACCTGCTGGTAGCTCATCACTCAGCAGATGAAGGGCTGACTTGCATTTCCTCTTTTAATATCAAAGCCTCCCACAGACCCTGCTTCCAGGCTTTCTCTCTTCTAGCTCCTCTGGCTGCCGGGCTCCCAACATGAGCTTAGCCTGCACCACCCACCCCAAAAGTCCCACTGTTCCAAGCAGGCCCCAAAGGCCTCCTCCAGCGTTTAGGCTCCTGCCCAAGCACAGCCTGGGCCACTGGACCCCTGGCCCTTGGCTTCTGTGTCTTAACTTCTTGTAGCATGCATTGGCCAGGCCAGGTCTGCTGTGGGCAGCAATGTCTCTGGCTGGGACACCAAGCTCCCTGAGGGGAGGGCTGTCATCTAGGATGGCCTGACCTCTGTGAGCAGAGCCCAGCATGGCACCTTCATGACCAGCTCACTGCCGAGGCAGACATGCCCCAGCTTCCCCTATCTCAGCTCACTGCAACCTCCACTTCCCGGATTCAAGCAATTCTCCTGCCTCAGCCTGCTGAGTAGCTGGGATTACA
Source organism: Homo sapiens (assembly GCF_000001405.40). Lineage (NCBI taxonomy): Eukaryota > Metazoa > Chordata > Mammalia > Primates > Hominidae > Homo > Homo sapiens. The sequence goes on from NC_000018.10 coordinate 11,738,590, forward strand.
GGCGCCCACCACCACACCTAGCTAATTTTTTGTATTTTCACTGGAAATAGGGTTTCACCGTGTTGGCCAGGCTGGTCTCGAACTCCTGGCCTCAAGTGATCCGCCTGCCTCGGCCTCCCAGAGTGCTGGGATTACAAGCATGAGCCACCACGCCCAGCCAAGCCTTTCCTCTTGAAGCAGTTATTCCCCAGGGTAAAGGAGGAGGCACTCCTTCCAGGCAGAATTGGAAAATTGTGTAGTATGAGTCCGTGCAGAGCGGGTGAGGATGAGGAGGATGTGCAGGTTGCCAGGCAGGACGGCAGTGACCTGGGGGACTCAATACCCACAGAACCTCAGTGCTGCGGAGGAGCCCACTGCTCTTTGCCGCCCGACGTCATAACATCTTACTGCCTTATTTCATGCGATCAGTGCATCACCGAAGTACACGAGCAGAAACACCATGATGGTGTCCGCTGCCCACTGAACGAGGGCAGGTGAGGGCCCAGAGAGTGCCCTGCGCAGCCTAGATCCCTGGGGGCACTTGGTGCTCAGATTCAGGGAAATTCTTACAGAGCAGAGCATCTGAGGCTGTTCTCATTATTCAACTTTTCATTTGGAAACAATCTCAAACTTAGAAAAAAGTTGCAAGAATAAGACTTCAAAGGTTTCCTAAATGCCCCTCACCCAGGTTCGCCTCTTGTTCACATTTCCCTGTGTGCCTTCTCATTTGCATACATTCTGTAGATGTGCAGGTGGAGGTGTAGACAGGTGAATCTTTCTCCATCTTCTGAGAGCTTGCTGTGGCCATCATGGCCGTTGACTCCCAAAGGACGTCCGTGTGTGTTTCTAGGGGCAGGGTATTCCCTTAGGTGACCATGGTACGGTTCTCAAAATCACTCGATTGGATATTGAGACAATAAGTGTGTCTGACCCGTCATCATCTGCACAGCAGTTTCATCGGTCGGCCCCTCTATGTGTTCTCCAGCATTTTCCCCTCCAGGATTGGAGGTATTGCATCGCTCCTTAGCTCTTTATGACATTGGCATTAGTGAAGAATACAGGTCCCTTTCCTTTTTTTTTTTTTAATTTTAGGTTTGCCCGATGTTTCCTCCTGACTTAAATTCAGGAAATACCTTTCTGGCTAGAGCACTGCATACACTCTGTGGTGTCCTTCCCGGGGTCTCACCTGTGGAAACCTGTGATGCCCACACCTCCCACACTGGTGGGGTCAATTGTGATGACCCAATTTGGTGTCCAGTTTCTCCACTGTGTGGTTACTTTTTTTTTTTTTTATGTTGCCACTAATAAGCACCCTATGGGGAGACACTTTAAGACCATACAGCCCTCCTGCTCCTCGTTAAAACCTCCCCCTGCGTTCAGCATCTGCTGCCAATTCCACCCGACCCATGCTTCCCCACAGTGGTCGAAAAGGATGTGTCCCCTGTCCCAGCCCTCCTTCCGCATTCACTAGCTGCCTTTGGCTAGAGTCCTCCCTTTTCTATTTATGTATTTATTTATTTATTTATTTATTTATCTGTCTGTTGTTGGCAGGGACACCTGACAGGCCTGTAATTTTCAGTGGCTTAGAATTCGTTACAGTACTTAACTGTTTTGGTGCTCACATCATCCCACATTTGGCCAAATGAGAGCCCCTTCAATCCAGCTCTTGTGTGCTAGTGGTGTACCCCCAGCATTTTGGGGCACTTCCTTACTTTCCGACATAACAGTGTTCCAGGTTTAGCTCATAGCTACCCTGCCCTGCCCACTCCACACCCCACACCCCCAGTTAGCTATTTCTCTAAGGATGACCAAGATCTGGGTACCGTCCCTGCTCGCTGCTACTGGAGAGTCTTCACTTCTTGGCATTTCAGCAGACAGAAATAGGAAATACATGCATGTAGATACACAGGGACAAACATACACAGGCTCACAAATACACTTGCACACACCCATTTGTGGACAGAATCATGAGTGTGTCTATGTATATTTTAAAAATCATGAGCTCATACCAATTCTTGCAATTCCAGTCCATCCCCACAGGCCTCTTGCTTCTCTTCATTCCATATGTGTGTGTTGCCTCTTCCTTTCTGAAAATCCTGGCTCTCATTCACAACATAACACATTTCTTCATTTGCTCAACCATACAATACATCTAAATTTGTTTCGGATTCGTGTGCAATGAGGGAATCCCTTTTGAATGTCAGTCTCAACTTACCCATAGTTTAAATTCATCAAATGTTGCTATGTGATGACAAATAAAAGCAAACCATGCAATGCAAACATAGACAAATATGAAGCTCTGTGCCCCTTCCTCTTTGTCAACAGCCCTGCAAGTTTTAGGATGAGCCACTCCAGCTTCTCTGAGAAAGGCTCATAGTTCCTACCTGGGATAAGAAAAGTTTATGTTATGTTTAATTGCATAGACAATTCGATATTCTATTACAAGGAATACTGTTGCTTTAAACTCTGTAACTAAACCAAAGTCTAAAAGAAACCAGTTGCTAAGGCAACTGGGCAAAGAGATAATTAATTCATCAGTCATTATATGCAGATTAATCTGCCTAACTGAGTGGGAAAGGAGGTAGGCTTCTTTGATTTTTCCTTTTGGAATTAGTAGAAGAGAGAAGGGTGTAGTTTTTTAAAATCTGTAAGAGGCCTCAGAGTTCATCCGGGAAAGGGTGGAGGCTTTGGAATCCAACAGAACAGACCCCTGTGAAAGCTATGGACCAAATTGTGGGCAATATGGTGCATTCTATAATCATCAAATGAGATGCTGAAAATAAAGCACCTTTCAGTGTCTTTTAAAAATGAAGAGTGACTTACAAATATTAGCATAAATTTCTCTAAAAAAAATGAAATGATGTTTTTTATGCACTTGTAGAATTAACCACACAAACTCCTCTGTGCTCCCGCTGTAATCGTTACAGAATTCAGAGAACTTGACTGCAGGTCCATCCCTCTCAACTAGACTATTAAATTAATGAGATCAGGGACAATGTCTTATTTATCCTTATAATGTCAAGGCATGGAAGTGTGCTAGATGTATAGTAGGTGTTCAAAGAATGCTTTATGATGAATGAATGAATGAATGAACATGCGTTGCTTTAAAAGCACCTCAGAGCCTCCATCTGTCCCCCAGGCTCCATGTTGTCACCTGCTGGTGTAAAAGTATAATTGCAGTAAATGTGTCTAAGAACAAGGAATTGAAGTCACTCAGCTGTCATCAGGAGACTCTCTCCCACAATTGCTGTGCTGAAAATTCTACATGTGCATTTTGTTCTTTTTTATTTTGGTAAAATATATGCAATATAAAATGTACCATTTAAATCATTTTTAAGAGTACAGCGCAGTAGCATTAAGTACATTCGCATCATTGTGCAATCTTCACCACCATCCATCTCCAGAAATTTTTCATCCTCCCAAACTGAATCTCTGTACCCGTTAAACACTAACTCCTCATTTCTCCTCTCTTCCCAGCCCCTGGATACCACCATTCTACTTTCTGTCTCTACCACATTTTGCTTACCCATTCGCCCATCACATGTGCATTTTTGTACAGTTCCTAGTATGCTTTGTTACCTGTGTGTTCCCAGCCAGCAGCTTACACTGTGCTCAGCTGAGTGTCACAGGCCCTCAGTGAGTCTTTGTTGACCGTACTATAGTTCGTTGTTCATGTGTCTGCTCAGCAGAAAAAGCTAGGAAATCCTCAAGGATGTCCACATGCTGCCTCATGGAGAGGGATAAGATGGATATATATTAGTTCTATTCCTATTGAATGATCGTCATAATTACCACAGTCCACTTACTGGGAGCTTGATGCAGTGAATCAGTTCATCTAATCCTCACCACAGCCCCATGAGGGGAGTACTGTTACCCTCACCCATGCACTGAGAAGGACAGAGAATAACAAAGAAAGGGACCTCTGCTGGCATTCTTGTTCGGCATCCGCTATGCTGCACCCAGCGGAGGGGCTGCCTCTTAAGAAAAGTTTCCGTGCCAAGAACACGCATTCTGGGGCTCATATGCTCACCCGACCTCTGAGACTGAGTTTCATTGTCTGCCAACCTGCCTCCTGGGCGATAGCAGTTCCCTTCCCTCTGCCTATCCTTCTGCAGTGCCTTCTCACCTTAAATGTGCGCCTTCCCTCCATGTGGTCCGACCCCACCACTCCTCAACACCGGCCTCGGATGCCGCTCCCATGATGAAGCTTTGCGGGATTCCAAGGACCCTCACACACCCCTCAGTGTCCCTCCCACGCCACCTAGCCCTCGGCTCATACCCATCCTGGCACACTGCCCTCTGAGTGAGTGGGCTGTGCTAGTCCTATTTGCTCAACTGCACAGAAACTTAAGAAATTGGTCTTAGAGTGTTCTTATCCTTTCTGGAATACATCTCTTTGGGTGACAGCCTGTAGGTAGCAATATCCATGTGTTCAACTACTTGAATCCTCCTTTCCTTTTTGTGTGGACACGAAATTGGACTCTACGAACCATCTTCCCTTATGGTATATCCCCACTTGATTTGCTTAAAATATGAGAACAGTGTGAGGCAGACAGACAGACATTACTGAATTCCAACATGGGATCAGTGCTAGTTCTAGGATTCATGTGGAATCAGGTGTTAGCCTAGGGGCCACATGAGATGAGGTGTTGGCGCTAGGATTTACACAGAATCAGGTGTTAACACTGGGATTAACACGTGGATGTCACCACACCTTTGATTTTCCACAGGAGCACTCACTAATACAAAAAAAAAAAAAAAACCACCACTGTTAGGCATTTACAATGCAGACCACATTGTTCCTCTGTCTTTTTGCTCCAAATCAAGGGACTTTGTGGAGTCCGACTCACTTTATACTAAAATATGTTTGTGAATATAATCATTTGAAGAGTAGAAAAGTCAGGGTATCTAGAACCGTCCTCTAAGTGCTAAAATTATTTTTTATCATAAAATATTCCCTCAGAAAGAAACTTTGTTCATATATGGTAGATTTGCTTGAAAAATTTTTACATTTTACTTCATCTGATGTTTGTTAATTGGTAAAGAGAGCACCATCTTTAAAGCTTTTTAGACTGGTTTTGAAACTTCACTTTGGTATTAAAACACATTGGCTAAACAACATGTGTTTGAATATCTGCTGTAGTCCAAAATGCTGCTAGGCTATTTGAGGTTAAACAGCAGATTGAAACAGATGGGGTTGCTGATTTTCACTGTTCAAATGCAAATTATTGGGCACTTTATTTGATTTCTGGTTTGTAAAATGTGTTTTAAATGCAACTTTGAGGTGTGTGGTTTCTCTTAAAATACACCAGTGGTCCCCACACCTACCCTTGCCTCACAGCCTGACCTAGTTTGGTGGTCTTCGGGGATATTTTTGAATTGTAAGACCTTGATAGTTCATTCTATTTGCAGGTTCCTCTTGTTATGCTTTGTGGGATACGCTTTTGTTTGGTTTTGTTTTGACATATTCAATGGCCTTTCCACCTTCTAACACAGTAATTAAACTCCTATCTGTGCCACTGAGTCCAGTGCTTTAGTGGCACTGGATATTTCAGTCCTGGATTTTTGGACAAGGGGTGAAGTCAGAGACATGTAACCTACTTTTCCTACTGATTCAGTGTTATTTTGGTTTTTAAAGCTGTGAGTTAAAGAAGAATGTGTTATTCTCCTTTACAGATGACACTTCTAAAAGCTCCTTAATATTACTTTGGTTATAGGGGTAAGAAAAATAGAAGATAAATTATTTCAATACATTCTAAAATATTTGATCACAGATTATTATGTACAGAAAAGGAAAATGGAAAAATATTTCCCTGCTTTTCTCTAAAAATCGTTAAAATTTTTATCATGATGTTTTTTAAGTGTACTATAATTAGGTCACAGAATGATCTCTGCTGCTAAAAATGAATGATCATCTACTCAGGTTATTTCCACCAAGATACTAAGAAAAAAAAGAGAGATAAAACAACAGGAAGTTGTTTAAAATGTCCCGAAGGGACCCCCATCTGAGGGCTGTGTGCACACTGGTCACTCAGTGGCCACAACTCCAGCACCACCCAGTTGTTTGCAACTCTCGGGCTATAGCTTTCGGCTTCTTGGAGCATTGTTAGTGCATAGAATTTAGTGACCATTCACCTTTCGTAAACTGTTTTGTTCCTCAGAGACAGAGTCTCGCTCTCTCACCCAGGCTGGAGTGCACTGATGCAAACATGACTCACTGCAGCCTCGACCTCCTGGGCTCCAGCAATCCTCCTGCCTCAGCCTTCCAAGTAGCTGGGACTACAGGTGCATCCCACCATGCCCGGTTAACTTTTGTAATTTTTGTAGAATTGGGGTTTCGCCATGTTGCCCAGGCTGGTTTCAAACTCCGGAGCTCAGGCAATCTGCCCCTCCTTGGTCTCCCAAAGTGCTGGGACTACAGGTGTGAGCCACTGTGATGGGCGCTAAAACTGTTGATGTACCTGTTCCAGAAGTCTTAGTGCAGTTTTCATCTTTAATAACCTTTAAAGTATAAAGACTACAGAAGACCAGTTATTACATTTTCTATCTATTGTTTTTTTATTAAAATTTAATGTATCCACCGTCTTGTGCTATACATACATCTAGTCAGTTTTCAAACTTGATCAGCATCTCCTGGATCTTGGCCTGTCGTGAACTGAAACAGCTGCCTTGAATTTTTTCATCCTTTCATCCAGTTGTTAATTAAATTTCTGCAGGGGTGGGAGGCTCCTTATAATGGGAAACAAATTTCCTTCTTACTGCTATTGGGGACTTAAGCTCAGCTAACCAGAGAACAGGTGACTTTTTTTTCAACATTTGCCATCTTCAATCCGAAAGACTGAAAGAGACCAAGTTTTTAAATTATTATTCAAAATTTACAAAACTAAGTATAAAAGAAATTTAAATAATTAAACTTTCAAATGCACTAAGACTTCTGAGATGCCTTCTGCAGCCCTGGCCCTGGCTGTCCCCTCCAACCTGACCCGCTGGTGCCTAGTCTTTTCCATCACATTTGATTTATTTGAATAAATCAGAGCCCATGGCTTCACAGGACCGTATATGGCATTTGGGCCCTCTTTGGCAGCAACGACTGCCTTTCTGTTCACACGCATTTCGTTTTGAGAATGCCAATGGACACACCAACTGCTTCTTTGGATTTCACCAGTTGGCAGTGGTTGATCAGCTATTTGGAATGCAGCCGATTTGAGTGAAGAAATATCCATATTTGTAGCCCTGTTACAATAGTGAAAGCTACAACCACAAAAAAAAGATGCAACACCATTTTGAATTTGAACACCAGACCAACGTGAATAGTGAGATAATCGTCATCTTTACGACAAAAGAGGGATTGAGCAAACAGTTTGTATGTTGGATGATGTATTTGCAATTACTTTGCTAGATACTGCCAATAAGAAAGTGTTCTTGGGCAGAGATACCTAGGGAGTCGGGTTTTGTTTAAAGCCGTAACAGAAGATGGATTTTGGTTGTGTCTTCAGAAGCTGAAGTTCTTGTTCCATTGGAGCACTCCACGACTCCCCTTTTAAAAGTGGAGCCTTTTGTTCTGGGACACTATGAAGTTTTGGATTTAAAGGCAAATGGCAAAGTTGCATCTGTGGAAATGGTTAAATATCATCACTGTAGGTACAACCTCTGCATGCCTTCTGTAACAATGTGGAGAAGCTCTTCTCAGGTTTAGAGACAGAAACTTTGAAGAGCAAGCTTTGGTTCCTTTTTAACAATGATATTAAGAAGAATTTAATGCCAGGTGCAGTGGCTCACACCTGTAATCCCAGCACTTTGGGAGGCCAAGGTGGAAGGATCACTTGAGTCCAGGAGTTTAAGACCAGCTTGGGCAACATAGCAAGACCCCATCTCTACAGAAAATTTAAAAATTACCCAGGAGTGGTGGCACATGCCTGTAGTCCCAGCTACTTGGGAGGCCAAGGGGAGAGGATCCCTCCAGCCCAGGAGGTTGAGGCTACAGTGAGCTGTGATTGTGCCACTGCACTCAAGCCTGGCAGCAGAGTGAGACCCTGTGTCTAAAAAAAAGAAAGAAGAAGAAGGAGAGGGAGAAAAAGGAGAAGGACAATTTTGACGACAGACAGAAGGATAGGCTCCATTTTATTAGGGGCTTGGACTCTGGCTTGGTTGCTGCCACCCAGGTGAAGCAGCTGAAAGAGACGCAGTGCAAAATACACTCCCCAGACATTTGTGACTGGCATGGAGGGCAGCCCTGATTTATTGGTTGCTGGACGAGTGGCAGATCGTATTGGAAGTGAACATCATGAAACCCTCTTGAACTCTGAGGAAGGCACTCAGGCTCTGGATGAAGTCATATTTTCCTTGGAAACTTAGGACATTACAACAGTTTGCACTTCAGTAGGTGAGTATTTAATTTCCGAGTAGATTTGGAAGAACACAGATAGCATGGTGATCTTCTCTGGACAGAGATCAGATGAACTTATGCAGGGTTATGTATATTTTCATGAGGCCGAGGAGAGAGAGGCCTCTGAAGGAGCTCTATTTGTTTGGTGTTCTCAGCGCAGATCGAACTGCCCACGCTGCCCACAGCCTTGAACTGAGAGTCTGGTTTCTGCATCATCGATTTTCTTCCTGTTACATGTCTCTGCCACCAGAAATGAGAACTCCAAAGATGAGGTGGAGAAACAGCTCCTGAAAGAGACATTTGAGGACTCCAGTCTGAGACCCTGAAGAGATTCTCTGGGGAACAAAAGAAGCCTTCAGGGATGGAATAAGAATGCCTGGTTTAAGGTGTTACAGGAATATGTTGAACATCAGGTTGAAGACGCAATGACAGCAAATGTGGGCCAGAAATTTCCCTTCAATATCCTAAAGCCAAAGAAGTCTGTTCATGCCCTTGAGGCTTGAATGCCACTACCCAGGCAGGGTGCAGTGGCTGACCCAGTACCGCATGCCCACATGGATCGATGCCCGCTCACTGACCCACTGCAAGTCAGCTACCTAAGCCTAGGTGCTCTCTGAGCCAAAGAGCAACAGCAAATGTTCTTGTTGTGAAGGATAGGGGTACTGGGGATGGATAGGGGTACTGGGGATGGATAGGGGGGCAAGGAAAATCACCCAGGCCTACTGGGGTGTGAAAAAAATAAAAGTCTTAAATTAAAAAAAAAAAAGAAAGAAAAAGACTTCTGAGACATCCTGTATGTCTTAAACTTCAACAAGAGTGAGGAAACAACTGTTTTACTTTTGTGCCTTTCAAATTCTCCACGAGGTGACCAGGACCTTCTCTTCCTGGCTCTGGCGCAGTCAGCCTGGACCCTCTGCCGGTGGCTCCCAGGGCAGCCCTGGGTCCCCGCAGGTGGGTGTGTTGCCGGGGAGCGCAATGCTGCTGCTGCGGTTGCCTAGCAACAGACGCTCACACTGGCAGCGGGCGCCACTCTGCTCTTGGTACCCTCCCCACCAGCCCTGCTCCCACTGCTCCAGGTGGCCAGCTGGTACACCTGATGCTGATCCAATGGTTCTAAACACAAATGAGAATCGGTTTCCCAGACCAAACTAGAAAAAGGTCAGGTGATTGGGTTAAAAATTTTTTTAAGGTGTGTTGAATTCCTACCTGAAAATAGGCTAAGATTGGCTTTGCATTTTTCATGAGAAATGTCTCGTCACTGTGTAAGGAAAGTGCTTTTATGTTTTAGAGTGTTGGCAATGTGTTGTGGCACACAATGCAGGTAATAGTGCGAATGTTGCAGCCAGGCTGCAAGGGTCTGTGTCCCAGATACTCTTCTTACTCAGCCTCTCAGTCTCTGTAAAATGATGATGACAATAGTTCCCACCTTTTAGGGCAAATACCAAGTAAATTGTTCCATGGAAAGGATTTAACCCAGTGCCAGCAATCACTCCATAACTAGAAGCAGTTTTATAGCACACACATTATCATTATATTATTAATATATTAACTTCCTGGGTATATTTTGGTACTTTTTCATCACATCTGTTTACCTAATCCTTCTTAAATTTCAAATATAGAATTTATCTTTAACACTGATTGCTAAATCTGAACAAGTGGAAATCTTTTGCTATATTTTTAGGGAAACTAAATATCAGACTTCCTTAAAAATGTGACTTCTAGGTTCTAACATAATTCTCCCTTTATAAGTTTTCAAGGGATTTATTTTGTCCCCTGCTGTCCAACATTTTATAGAAATCTTGACATTAAAAAAAAGTTGGCAAATCCTTATAAAAATCCCACTACTCTATGCTTTTTTCAAAAAAAAGCACAGACACATACATTTTCTGGCCAGGCGCAGTAGCTCAGGTCTATAATCCCAGCTCTTTGGGAGGCCGAGGCGGTTGGATCACTTGAGGTCAGGAGTTTGAGACCAGTCTGGCCAACATGGTGAAACCCCGTCTCTACTAAAAATACAAAAAATTAGCTGGGTGTGATGGCGGGTGCCTATAATCCCAGCTACTCGGGAGGCTGAGGCATGAGAAGCCCCTGAAGCTGGGAGGCAGAGGTTGCAGTGAGCTGAGATCATGCCATGGCACTCCAGCCTGGGCAACAGAGCCAGACTCCATCTCAAAAAAAAAAAAAAAAAAAAAAAAAACCTCACCTTCTGACTGCCCCACTAGTCATAGCGCATGCTGGGTTGATATTGCCACGTGTGAATATATGTCTTTACACACTCATAAGATGTGAGCTGTGGAAACTGTGCTAAACAGTCTCCTTCCACAGAACTTCAACTTTTAGCCTAGCTCAGAATGGAGTCTGACAGTGTATGTTTGCTTCTGCCTGTCTAGAAAAGTAATTCATTGCATTTTTTAAATGTATTTTTATTTTCAGTAAGAATATTTATTGAAAAGTACTATATTGAACAAATATTTTTTACGTGTGGTCATGAAATTCCTTTGATGAGAATTCACACTTTGAGCTGGAGTTATCTTTCGCTTTCATGACGTCATTCATTCCCTTGACAAATATTCCCAGCGCATCTCCTCTGGGTCAGGCACTGAACCAGGTACCGGTGCCGCAGGTACAAGGATAGGCTCAGCCTCCGCCCTCAAGGAGTCCACAGTCTAGTGGAGTTTTGAGGACACAGTTAAACCATAACAATGCAAGGTGATGGGTGAGACCAGCGGAGAATCTGGTGCTCCCTTAGGGCTTGAGAAGGTGTGGCCTAACCCCCAATGTGAGGGAGGCAGTGAGGCCCAGCTTGAGGCTGGAAGGATAACTAGGGGGGTTGACCCAGAAAAGAGAGTCCCCAGGTATTCCCAAGACACAAGCAGCACATGCACCCGACCAGCCTGTTCAGGAACTGAGAGTGTTAGGAGGGATGGGGTAAGCCCTAAGAAGGGGAGAGTTTATACTAACCCCACCAGAAGGACCAGGCCCAGGTCCTTAGATGATGGGGACAGTGATGTGGCTGGATTTGTATTATCGCAGTGGGAGCATTGTGCAAGGTGCACTGAAATGAGACAGCAGGCAGTGGAAACCGTCCGGAGGCCTCTGAAATCCAGCTCTCTGTTAGTAATCTAAGACCACAGCAGTGGCAGACGCCACGGAAAGAACAGGACAGATACTCAGGAAACGGACCCAACGGGATGCGGTAACTGTTGGGGTTTGTAAGAAAATGGAATCTGGCATAACTCCCACCGTTCTGGTTTGGAAAATTAGGGGCCCTTATTCCAGAGAAAGAACTGAGAAAGGAGCAGGTAGAAGGCGTGAGGGTGGCACGGGGCATGAGCTCAATCCTTGGCAAGGTGAATTCCAGACACCTGCGGCACCGTGGGGGCGGTGTGTCTGGGGACGGTGGTGGTCAGCAGGATGGGCTGGGCTAGGGATCCGCGGTGGGCACGGTGAGAGCTGAGTGGGCAGAGTATGGAGGATGCAGTCAGCCCGTCAGGAACGTGTGTGGGTTGAGAGGCTGTGCTGTGGGGACGGCTCCTCGGACCCCTGGGTGGAGGAGCCCGGATGCACCGGCCAGAGGGACAGCCTGAAACCCAATGCAGTCTCTAGGAGGGATCAAAGCAGGAGCCACAGAGACGGAAAGAAAATAAAGACCAAAATTCATGGATGAGACTTGGCCCCTGGGGGGCCCTAGATGACCTTGATGAGAGTATTTTCCCTATGGGGTGAATGTGGAAGCCAGGCTGCCAGGTACTGAGGTGGGAGCAGCAGGAGGGGAATACAGGCGGAGTCAGACGACCTTTCTAACTCTTGGCTGCGGTGGGCAGGAGGAAAACTGGTGGAACTAACAAGGGGCGTGAGATGAAAGGTGTTGTGTGGTTCAGGTGGGACAGAGTTGAATGTGTTCGCTTGCTTGAGGGAAACCAGCCGGTAGCAGGAGAGGTTGAAGCAAGAGTGGAGAGGGGAAGGTGCGCTGGGTGAGGGGCGAAGGTCCACAGGGCAGCGGCGGGCCTGAGGGTAGGGGAAGCGCCGCCTGGGGAGCCGGGGCGGGCTGGGGTCTGTTCTCCTGAAGAAGGCCAGCTCCGCAGTGAAGAAGACCGTGTAGGTTTCTTGGAAGGTGGAGGCACTCGACGACAGAGCTGAGCAAAGGCAAGTTAGACAGCGCAGCGCCAAGCCCGAGACGGTCAACTGGGAGCCGCCACACACAAGGAACAGTGATTTCTCCACGCCCACGGCTGGTGTCCACGACTTCGGCCCGGCCCCCTCTTCTGACCTCCTTCCCCCAAGTACAACACTGCAAACGCCAAGCTGCCGGCTCTGGCCCTATTGGAGGGGTCTCAGTAACGGAGGGCAGGTGCCAGTCTCGCGCCCTAGTTCGTTCCTCTGCTACAACGCCAAGTTCGAGGCCACAGTGCCTTCTGGAAGAGTTGTTGTGCTGCTTGGGAGCACTGCACAGGAGAAACGGGGGCTGGAGGTAAAGACAGGAGGCTCGGGAGGCGGCGACGTGGGCGAGCTGGAATAGTCTAGAAGCTGAGCAGAACAAAGGCGGTGTGACTGGTGAGCCTCGGAGGGATCCTCCTCCCTGCTAGAATATGCATGATCCTCCGCGAGTCTTCGCCCGCCAGGAGCAGGGACGCGTCCGAGCCAACACGGGGCGCGCGCCCAGACGCACTTTCCCGGCTCGGGGTGCAAGAGAGCCAGGCGGCCGCGGCGCAGCGGAGGGGCTGCGGGCCCGGAACCCAGGCCGGTCAGCGTGTAAGCGCCCCAGCCGGCCGGGCTCCGTGGGGGGTCAGCTCCCTGACCCCTACAGCGCGGTAGCGCCTCTCCGAGAGCTCCGGGACCAGCGGCCCGGCCGCCCCCAAAGCCAGCCTCCCTCTCCCTTCCCCGCACCGGGATCCCAGACCAGGGAGGGGGCGCACGTCCGACGGCTGAGGAATAGCAGGGCGCGAGCCGGCCCGGCAGGTGCCCATCGTCGCCCTCTGGGACCCCGGTGGCGCGCTCTGTCCTCCGCGCCACGCTCAGCCACCACCCCGGCTGTTTGGGACCCGGCACCCAGCCGAGCGCGCCGCCCCCTCGGGGACCCGCTGGGCGGGGCTGAGCGAGGCTTGGAGTGCGGGCGAAGGGACGTGGGGCGAACCCGGGGCGCTGCGCCACCTCGGCTGTCTCCAGCGGAGACCGGCGCCCTCGCCCCCCGTCTCCGTTCATTGTGCTGTATTCATCCAGCAGATTTTGAAACAATTCTCGTGTAAAAAGGCATTTTACTCCGCGCGTCTTCCTTACAGCCATTTAGTTGGGAGTTTGCGGTGGGCAGGGGGAGGGAGAAGAAACGCCTGCTCTGAATCGGAAAACACCGAAGAGACCAGACCATCTCTTTCAGCAGCAGGAAAGAGAGGAGCCGTCGCAGGAGCCGCACACGTCTCCAACTCTCTATTGCTTTTTGCGCACATTCCTAACTTCCTGACGTCCATCCCAGCGGGCAGGCATGGGGTGTTTGGGCGGCAACAGCAAGACGACGGAAGACCAGGGCGTCGATGAAAAAGAACGACGCGAGGCCAACAAAAAGATCGAGAAGCAGTTGCAGAAAGAGCGCCTGGCTTACAAGGCTACCCACCGCCTGCTGCTCCTGGGTAAGGCCGAGGGGCGCGCGGCGGCTCCCGGCCCCAGCGGAGCGCACAGCCAGGAGCGGCGAGCGCCAGGCTGGGCGGGCAGGGCCGGGCGAGGGTCGCGCGCACCTCTGGGCCGCGGAGCCCAGACGGCGGCCGGGGCGAGCTCCTCCAGCCAGGAACCCGCGTGTAGGAAATCCCCGTGCTGGGGGAGGAGGATTGCTCAGACCCGGCTAGTGGTGAGAGATGGCAGCGATATCCGGACACAGATCACAGCGTTCTTTCTGTTTGTTTGCAGGGGCTGGTGAGTCTGGGAAAAGCACTATCGTCAAACAGATGAGGATCCTGCACGTCAATGGGTTTAATCCCGAGTAAGAATGTTCAGTTTGCTTCCAAACTGCATGCAAACTTCGTCTCTCTCCCAGACGTCCCAAAAGTGCTTTCTCTAAACAATTTTAATTTATTTGATAATGGAGTAGACATTCAAGGGGGAAAAAATTAGATATTTGCTGTTGGATTTGGTATATTTAGGCAAATCCTTCTTCTGCTAGTGTCTAATGAAAAAAAAACTTGCTTAACAAAATATGATTTATAGGTATTCTTGGAGTGTTGATCTGTATTACTGGTATTGCTCTGAGCACACTTAACCAATATCTCGATATATTTTTTTCAATATAATATTATTTGTTTGCATCTATTTCAGTTTATAACTGTCAACATATTATCCATGGGATAGATCTAGGTAAAATACATTTACAGGTGTAACTGCATGTTATATTTATATGCAATATCCATAGCGATTTTGCCTAGTTTTTCTGTAACCTGCATAGTTGTTTAAAGCTATAGATTTTTAAAAAAATGTGTGCATTCAAGTTTGTTTAGAGTACAAATTAGAAAAGAAGGGTGCTTTCCTTTCCCAGATAAAACCTTTGCGGATGTCTTGGGGGTTGATACTGACCTCTAGTGAAACCAGTCTAGGTCAGTGCTGTAGCTGGAAATTTAAAATCCCACTCAATTGATTGGAATCAGTGCTAAGAGTAAATTAAGCTAATAACAACTCTCTTTCAATACAGGGAAAAGAAACAGAAAATTCTGGACATCCGGAAAAATGTTAAAGATGCTATCGTGGTAAGGACTTTTTTAAATGATTGTTTACTAGAAAGGTCAAGTGCTCTTCATTCTAAAACTGTGTAGACAGAAATTACATATTGTAGATTATCATACATGGAGCCTAAATGTTTATCCATATTTTTTTTCTTATTCCATTTTAGACAATTGTTTCAGCAATGAGTACTATAATACCTCCAGTTCCGCTGGCCAACCCTGAAAACCAATTTCGATCAGACTACATCAAGAGCATAGCCCCTATCACTGACTTTGAATATTCCCAGGTAAGAAATGCTTACTGAAATATTCTAACTAGTGAAAGATGGAACCATTTTTAATAAGGTTTCTTATTGAGAATCAATATTGATACTAATTCATTATTAACTTTCTTCGAAATCCAGCTCTCTAAATGCATAAGAGGAATACTTATTCTGTACCAAAATATTTGTGTTTGTTAAAAATATTAACTACGGCCAGGGGCGGTGGCTCACACCTGTAATCCCAGCGCTTTGGGAGGCCGAGGCGGGCAGATTGCCTGAGGTCAGGAGTTCAAGCCCAGTCTGTCCAACATGGTAAAACCCCATCTCTACGAAAAATACAAAAAAATTAGCTGGGCATGGTGGTGTGCGCCTGTAATCCCAGCTACTCAAGAGGCTGAGGCAGGGGAATTGCTTGATCGAGGGAGGTGGAGGTTGCCATGAGCCGAGATCACGCCACTGCACTCCAGCCTGGGCGACAGAGCGAGACTCCCATCTCAAAAAAAAAAAAAAATTAACTACAATGGGATTGCAAGAAATGCTTTTATGAGTGTATGGGGAAGGCTGATAATCGGGAAGGCAGCATACCTTTAAGAAATACTGATGGTGCTTTTTTTCCTGTCTGTATTCTTAAACTAACAATTAAGCAGTTTCCCAGATAAAAACAGTAGAAATTACATGAGTAGAGAAAAATACTTATGGTAGGTAATTGCTTCCATGGGAATTACAGAAAGAGCAGAATTCAGTTTACTTTGAAGATGCACAGCCTTCAGATCAATTGAGAAAAGAATGCATTGTATAAAAAATGATAGCATGGATCACTTCTGAATGTTTATCATATTAAAATGCAGTTTGGTTCACATTTGCATTATTTAGGGCTGCTTTTCCTAATCACTTGGATGGCAGTATTGCTTATGCAAAAGAGTGACATCAATCTTAGTTTTCTCTCATTTTTCAGAATATACATTTCTTTAAAATATTTGGTCATTTCATAAAGCATGTTTCAAAGGAAAAGTATTTGTTAAGCTTCTCAGAAAGTCATTTTCATTTTTGTTACAGTGCACCAGAAGTGAGTGTGTATGTGTGTGTGTGTGTGTGTGTGTGTGTGTGTATGTGTATTCATCAATAACAGTCTTTCAAAATTTGTATTGCCTGGCATGGTGGTTTGGAGACATTTTTCATTCTTAGAATCCTCTCTTTGAAGGGAAGCATGTGGAGAAACCAATATGTAAAACAGAGAGACCCCGCCCTGCCTGCAAGGGCTGTGGCCCCTGGCTCACCCCACCCCTTCTCTACAGAGCACCATTGTCCTGTGGGCTCTGTATTGGGATGGCTAATAAGAATGACTTTGTTTCTTCGTTTGTTTGTTTGTTTGTTTTGAGATGGAGTCTCTCTCTGTCGTCCAGGCTGGAGTGCAGTGGCGCGGCTCACTGAAAGCTCCGCCTCCCGGGTTCACGCCATTCTCCTGCCTCAGCCTCCCTAGTAGCTGGGACTACAGGCGCCCGCCACCTCACCCGGCTAATGTTTTTTGTATTTTTAGTAGAGATGGGGTTTCACCGTGTTAGCCAGGATGGTCTCGATCTCCTGACCTCATGATCCACCCGCCTCGGCCTCCCAAAGTGCTGGGATTACAGGCATGAGCCACCGTGCCCAGCCAAGAATAACTTTTTTAAAAAGCTTTTATTTTCATCCTTTAATATGATTTTTGCTTCTGATAAGCATGCCAGTGTAGAGCCAGTGATATCTGTAGAATTTCTAAAATGGAGGAGTGAGGAGTGGCACACTGGCTGGAAGAAGGGGCTGGGCATCTGGCCCCATGTCTTTAACTGGATGGCTTGGAGAGGGCAAGGGGTTGACGTGGCAGGGGAAGGGGTCGGCAGAAGATGCTCCAGCCACACCAGGATCCTCTGCTAACTGGAGGTGCAGATGTCCTCCCGGTTCTCACTGATGCTATGTACACTGGCAAAATCACCCAGAACTACATGGTCCTGGTTGAAATCAGGAGTGGTGTTCCCTTTCAACTTCAGATTTAGACATTTATAGAAAAGCATCTGAGTTCTTGGATTTATCCTATCATGTTTGCCTAGAAGTAATCGTAAAACATCTTATATATTTGGGGGGAAATGCTATTCTTAACATCTAGTGAGAAATTAAAATTAAGATTTATTAATCGGTCCCATGTCTTCTTTCTCCTGTTCATAACAGTCTCACGGTTGATGAGGCATCCCATATTCAACCCCAAATCCAGAAACAATTGGTAACTCCCACCTATATTATCTAAGGAATCCAAAACATCTAATTTGTGAAAGTGTTTTTGGAGCTAAATCATGAACATTTTTAATTAAAAACTTGAGAAACCATTTGCTTTGAATGCATGTATTTTCAGATAGATAAATTAAGGTTACTTAAAAGTTATTTTCAGAAAGCATAATTAATTATCATTACAGTAAAGGAGAATTTAGCACCAGCAGATGCAAATGTAATTACAGTGCTCTTTCAGAGGTAATACTTTTGTGGGGGTTAGTTTTACTGGTGTTTTTTAAGCCTAACATTCTGTTGTCTTAAATGTCTATGCACATGTCAAATGAGAGTATATTTTATATATATATTTATGTATATTTATATATTTTTAACATAGCCCCGACTTATGACTTATATAAATCAGGAAATTAATGTTAAATATGCAACATTCCTTCTGAAAATGCTATTTTTAATTTTAGTATGCACAGAATTTTAGTGACATTTATTTCATAGTGCTTGGAAATATTTATATTACTTATTAAATTATGTAGTTCTTGGTTTCATATTTTGATGATCCTCATTCAGAATGATATCAAGACAAATCTGACTTATATGCTCCATTGGAAAATTAACTTTTATTTAAAAGAATGTATGTTTTTTATAAACATACAAGTAGAGCTAAATCAAGTATTTTAATAGTAAACAAAACACTGTTTTACTCAGTCCAGTACTTTTTTGAGATTGAATCCTTGAGAAAGCCTGTCAGTGTCATGGTTCAATTATTTGAGGGTCTTAAGTTAATTTTCCTGTAGGGGTAAGATAACTTTTGAAACAAATACATTATATTAAAGTTAAAAATTAATTTTAGGGTTCTTCAATTTAAGAAGGAAAAGGAGAAGAATAACTTATCTTAGAAACAAACATCTTGAGAATTTTCTCTGAGAATATTGCACATGGGGGAAATACGGGTGGGTTGCTCTTTGGGTCTTTTGCTCTCTGTGGTGTCTTTCATTTGAATTTCAGTTGAATTCCATGAATCTGAAGTTGTAACAGAAAGCAGGCAAATGTGGTTAGTACCTATCAGCCAAGGGCTGCTGTGGGGAGGTCAGAGAGACTCAGAGGCTGGATCTTATCATCAGCCTTACAGGCCAGGTGTGTCCAGACACACGAAGCTTTGGAGGGTTCTAAGCAGTGGAGCCATGAGATCTCATTGTGTTTCATCAAGATCACTCTGGCTGTGGATGGAGAACGGATTGTGGGGAGGCAGGAGTTGAAGGAGGGCAACCACTTCGGAGACTAGTCTAATAATACAGTGGAAAGGTAATGGGAGAGCTTGCAGTGGGAGGGGATCATGGGGGTGGAGAAAAGTGGCCTGAGTTGGGATTTATTTTGGAAACAACCATTTAGACTTGTCGGCATGTGGATATGAGTACTGAGGGGAAATAGATCAATCAAGAATGACTCTGAGCGTTTGGGTCTGAATTTCTGCATAGAAGGTAGAAACAGGTTGGGAGGAGGCAGGTATGAGGAGGTTTTGTTTTCCTGGTGAGTTGGAGATGACTATTACGACATCTAAGTGGAGACACCAGGTGGACAGCTGGATGCGTGAGGCCCCAGGAGGAGCCATTGCAGAAGGAAGGGATGTCAGCGGTGGGCAGTGCTGACCGGGGAGTCAAGATGGACATTAAGGTTAAAATGGCTTTGGCGGCTTCAAGGTCACCGGTGACCTTGATAAGGACCCAGGTGGAGGGTATTGAGGAGAGAATGTGATGTGAGTGGGTGCAGGTGGCGGCGGCAGATTAGGCTTTCTGGAGGTTTTGCTGTGGAGGAAGGCTGAGGAGCCAGGCAGCAGCTGGGAAGGTAGGCAAGGTCAAGATGAAAGATACAAAACCCTGTCTGAATGAAAAGGGCTGGAATCACTTGGTAAAGCAGGAGAAAATGACAATACAGAAGAAAGAGGCTGTGTATGGCAGGAGTCCAGTCCTCGAGAAGAATGGGGTCCGGAACAAAAAAGGACCAGACCAACTCCCCACTTGAGAAGGCAGAGAACAGGTGCAGACGCAGGTATGTTTTCAGATTTGGTGGCAGAGAGGTGAGGGAGGGCTTGTTAGCAAAGGCTTTTCAAGCAAATTGTGAAAGCAAATTGGTAGCTTACATGGGGATGATCGTCTAGTTTTGCAATTATCCATAAACTGGTATTGTTCAGGTTATAATGAACAGTGATGGATGATAAAATTCTTGTGACCTCGAGCTCACGTGATACAGTTATTCCCTTCACAAGCCAGAACTGTAAAGGGGAGTTTCATACCAGGTCAAAGCAAAAAATAAAAAAACTCCAGTTATCTTCACAGCAAACCGGCAGGATATTTGCTGCAGAATAATGTGAAATCTTTGGAGACAAGGTCAGCATATGTTAAATTTTAATTTCAAATGAAATAACACAAACATATTTTACAACACATAAATCACCATAGAAAAGTACTGGGATTAGCTACAAATAATGAATTGACAGTTGCCTGATTAGAGTTTTTCTCATGAATACACCCAAAGCTTCAGGTTATCTTTGTTCAAGGCTTGACTCCCCACTCCGTAAGCCCCTCACTAGTTGGCACTATGTCTTAGCAGCCAAATTTTGCATAGCAGCCAGCAGATGCAATGATGCAAAATAAATAGTCTTAAGTGATTATGCCAAAACATAGATTAGCTGATCATTTATGAAATAGGAAAAATAGGCCGGGCATGGTGGCTCACACCTGTAATCCCAGTACTTTGGGAGGCCAAGGCAGGTCAATCACCTGAGGTCAGGAGTTTGAGACCAGCCTGGCCAACGTGGTGAAACCCCGTCTCTACTAAAATTAGAAAAATTAGCCGGGCATGGTGGCGGGCGCCTGTAATCCCAGCTACTAGGGAGGCTGAGGCAGGAGAATAACTTGAACCCAGGAGGCGGAGGTTGCAGTGAGCCAAGATCGTGATATTCCACTCCAGCCTGGGCAACAGAGCGAGACTCCGTCTCAAAAAAAAACAAAAAGGAAGAAAAGAAAAAAGAAGAAAAATGTTGTGGTTGCCTCCTCCAAAAATCCTTTAGCACTATACCAAGCAAAATCACTGTTGAATTCAATTGAGTTATTCATTTGTTTCATTTTTATTCTTAAAATGTGGATACTTTATTAGCTCTTTTCAAATTGTATTTTGCTAGTTTTTTCTAAGGGGAAGAGGATAAATCAGGCTAAACAAGAAACAGAAAAGCAGTCTGATCTGTTGGTCAGTACTTTGCCATTACCACCTGGTGTTTCCTAAATTATTACCCAGAGAGCAGAGGTCAGTGTTTTGCCTTCCTCCCAGGTGAGAGCTACTCTGTCACTTTCCAACAGCAGCCCCAAGTCAGGAGGCACCCTGTGTGGCTAACGTCTGAGTGTTCGGTCAGTGTGCAGGCAAAGGAGGCCACAGTGGCCTGGGCCAAGGCCCCGAGAGCCAGACGGCCTGGTGTGACTCTGAGCAAGTGGCCTACACCCACTGCAGCTTGGGCCCTGCATAGAGAGCCAAGTGCGGTGCCCAGCCCAGGGAGTGCCATGCAGAGCTCCAGCGGCTGCTGCCGTGTGCTGCCGCCTCTCCTTGGGAGATGTGTGCAGAATCTCCAGAATGCGGTCAGATTCTTCCGCACAATATCTGTGTTCCCTCTCCAAGCCTGTGTCTATCTCCTGCTAGAAGGCTTTGTGCTGTGGGTTTTCGTGTGTGTGTCTTTTTTTTAACCAACCAAGCTGAAGCCCACCGTGTAAATCAGGTCAGCATGAGTTCCTCCACGGCAGCCTCTACTTGGGTTCCCTGCACCCTGGGTGACCATTCCTGCCCAGTACCTCATCAAACCCACCTCCCAGTGCCATCAGAAAATGATGGGGCTGGCTGTGTTCGCTCCCTGAGGACCAGGCCTCTTTCTCCACCGCCTCCTCTCCCCGCAGCTCGCTCTTGGAGTGCATCTCCTGCTGGGTGCGCTACAAACAATCTCCATGTGCCTGCTAACTTAGGTTATGATAGAATCCTCTGAATCCACTTCAGTAAGGACCTGTGGGCACAAGAAGTCAGGGGACAGGCCAATTGGGATGTCACACAGTGTGAAAGAACATGAGGTCCCCACACATACAGCAAAACAGCAACCACCTAATTCAAAATGGTACTGAAATTGATTGCCCCACAGCCATCCTGTTCTTTGCCTTTTGAGCTAGTGAGGTCTGGTGCATGTTTTATGGGAGAAAGGCAACATTTGAGCTGGTGTAAAAAGGGCACAGTAAACTTTCGCCTTCTGCAGTACACTGAACCTCTTAAAGACGCTTGTGTCTGGCATGGAAGGAAAAAGTACCATGTTTTCCTTCCAGTATTTTCAGATGTAATTAATAAATGGAAATTTATTATAGGGGCCCACTTAAGGTCTCACTGCCCCTCTGCTGGGTCTGTCTTGAATGGGAGTCACTGGGAGAAGGGTCTTTGGGCTTGGCGCTTCCCCTGGGTCTTCATAGGGGCTGAGGCAGGGCTGGTAAGGAGCCCCTGCAGGGGGACACAAGGGTGGACAGGGTGCAGACACCCCCAGGCCTGGGATTCTGTGGACAGCATGGTGTTTGTATCTTGAAAGGGGGTCTTAAGGGGAGGTGTGGGGCCAGCCCAAACTGTGTTCAAATTCTAGCCCTGCCAGACCCTTTGTATGTGACCTTGAGCACATGACCTCATTGCTATCTGCCTTTTCTCAATGGTACAGTAGAGATGATGGCAACACCTACTTCCTGTGGCTGATGTGAGGATTAAACATGTTAATATCTAAAACAGTGGCTGGGACATGGGCGGTACAGCTTTAAAATGAGCAATCCTGCTCTGCTGGAGGAAGTGGAGCAGAGCTAGCGCCATTCTTGGCCTCGCCTCAGTTGCTGGGGCTGGTTGGTGGCCCCACCTCAGTCCACACGGCCCCCAGGTCCCGTGGTCTGACATGGCTTACTGTCCACTCCCCTCTGGATCCACGGGGAGTCAGTCGCACCCCTTAGCTGTCACCGCCTGCACCTCCACCTCAAGCCAGCATTTATAGGCAGTCCCTTCTGTCCCATGCCAAGAGCTGACATGCCTAACACTTCACAGCCCTCCTGGGAGAAGGCACCCCTAGTTTTCCCCAAAGGAAGTGAGGCCCCTGACTGCTCAGGAATCCTCATCCCCATGCCCTCTCAGAGCACAGGTTCTCATGTGGGAGTCCCCCAGGCTCTCTGGCAGGTTACCATGGACCTCCCTTCCTGCCTGTTCTCTGTTACCAGCAGGCCCCAGAGCTCGGCTCTCCTTCTCTTTCTCTACCTTATTTTCAGTTGGATTTTCTTTGCTAACATTGGCCTTGCTCTTTCCCACCATTTCGGCTTGGCCTGTGTCCTGGCCTTCTGATCCTGTGGCTGGCCTAGTCTCAGGTTCTTTGAGGGTGCCTGGAACTCCCCTGGATTTTGCAGATTTCTATGGGATTTTTTGCCTCTCTCCCTAGGCCTGCAGTTTCTGCCCAGTTTTGCTGCAAGTTCCAATAAGCTGCAGCCTCATTCTTTTGTGCTCACCGCAGTGCACCTTTGCTTCGTGCTGTCTAGTGGTAGAAAGGTGAAATGCACCCTGACTGCACCCCTCACAGGGAGATCATGCTAAAATAAATACTTCACAAATAGTTAGATGTCCTAAGGCATGTTCTCTGGTTTTTAAAAAAGTCCTAGGAAAGACCTTTTTTTAAAATGCACAATAATCTTTCTTGTTCTAATTTGCACACCTGGTTGCTGGAAGCAGTGAACGCCTGTGTCTTAGGCTCAGGGCTGCCGTATTGATTCTATAGGGCCTAACAGAAGTCCCACTTTGCAGAGGAAAACAGTGATGTGTGTTGAAAATAGATGGTGCGTGAGGCCTCAGGGACCATTTGGCCTGACAGCCCCAGCTGAGGACAGGGAGGCACAGGAGGTGGAGAGGGAGAGGCAACATGGAAGTTGATTTCATTTGCCAGCTGTCCATGGAGCTTCCCAGTAGTTGGCGAAGATGGAACGTGGCTTCCTGAGCTGCCTGTCTTTCCCGTGAAAGGTTGACATCACAGAGTAGTCCATAAGCAACAGTTTTCAGTGGGGCCACATGGAGGTCCCGAAGCTCTTCTGCCAGCACTGTGGAGGGGAAGCGGGTGACATGGAAGAGGTCACGTGGAC
This sequence comes from Homo sapiens, assembly GCF_000001405.40. Lineage (NCBI taxonomy): Eukaryota > Metazoa > Chordata > Mammalia > Primates > Hominidae > Homo > Homo sapiens. Next base: position 11,762,354 of record NC_000018.10, read on the forward strand.
TGCCCTTGCTTCAGTAATTATTCAGTACACATATTATCCATCTTGTGGACACCAAGATGAATAAGGAACAGCACTTTTCTACCTCTGGCAGGGATACAGGCTTAAGAAATACAGGTGTGTAAGGCTACATTTAAGGAAGTTCTTGGGGCCACCTGGGGACACCCATGCAGCTGGCGTCACACTGAGCTGAATCTTCCTTGAATGGGACGGGCTTAGAGGGCAGGTGGACATAGAGAGGACAGTGCTTCAGGGTGGGTGGCACCTTCCCTGCAGACCAAAAGCCCAGTCAGGCCACGGCGGGTTAGGGAGAGTCCTGCGAGCCTGGCCAAGGGGCCTGGGCTTCCTCCTCAAGGCTGGGGAGAACCATTCCACGGTTTTCTTTGGGGGAGTGACAAAAATGCAAGGTTTTTTTGGAAGGATCACTTCCGAATTCATAAAGAGACCAGGCTTTGTATCTGCTGTGGGGATGGTGCTCTGGGAATTTGTCTGTCATTGGACAAAGGGCATTTCCTGTACCAGAAACCTGCTTCCAGGTCTCACATGGCTTATGTCATGATATTAAGGAGGAGGGAAACCCCCACTGAGAATAAGTATTGTATTATTCTGCACATCTGAGATGCTAATAAAAGGAATTTTTATTATTATAGTAAAACATTTCAGTTAGATAGATTAACCGTATTAGAGCTTCAATAAAGATACTTTTCTTAAATTCCATTTTTTTCTTTGCAATATTATCATAAGAGGTACTCCTAATCAATGTTAGCTTTTTATTTTGAAGTGATTTTAATCTTTACCTGAACAATACAAAAGAAGTACCGAATACTGCCATGTGTCCTTCACCCAGATTCATCGATAGCTAATGTGTGGCCACATTCATGCTCTCACTCTCTCTACACTAACACACATTTTTGTGAACGATTTGAGAGTTGGTTGCAGACATCATGCCCCCTTGCCTCTAACTACATCAGTGTGTATTTCCTTAGAATGAGGACATCCACTTCACTTCTGTAACCACAGCACAGGTATCAAAATTAGGAGATTTAACATTAATACGATATCTTTTTTTTTTTCTTTTTTGAACAGAGTCTCGCTCTGTCTCCCAGGCTGGAGTGCAGTGGTGCGATCTCGGCTCACTGCAGCCTCCCAAGTAGCTGGGACTACAGGCATAGCCCACCACCATGCCTGGCTAATTTTTGTATTTTTAGTAGAGATGGGATTTCACCATGTTGGCCAGGCTGGTCTCAAACTCCCAGCTTCAAGTGATCCACCTCCCTCCCAAAGTGCCGAGATTACAGGTGTGAGCCACCACATCTGACCATCATTTTGTAATCAACAAACCTTACTCAGATTTTACCAAGAGTCTCAATAATTTAATGAAATAATAGCAGTAACAATAATAATAAATAATGATATTGGTAACTCTGGTCAGTAATCTAATCCAGGATCAGCCATGACATTTAACTTCCATTTCTCTCTATGCTAGAACAGTTGCTCAGCCGACCTTTTTTGTCATGACCTTGGCCTGACATTGACTTTGTAGAACACCCACACTCAGAGTTCCTTTGAGGTTTTGTATTTGGAGCAACAGCAGAGAAGTGATCATGAATCCTTCCTTCTCAGTGCATCTGTGATGTTAACTCTGGTCACTAGTTAAGGTGGGGTCTGCTTCTATATAGATGCCCTTTTTCCCTTGGTAATTTATAAGTAAATTCCAGGAATGTTTTTTGAAACTGTACAAATATCCTGTTTTTTTGTTTTTTTGTTTTTTTGAGACAGAGTCTTGCTCTGTCGCCCAGGCTACAGTGCAGTGGCACAAGCTCGGCTCACTGCAACCTCCTCCCTTCAAGTTCAAGCAGTTCTCCTGCCTCAGCCTCCTGAGTAGCTGGAATTACAGGCACCTGCCACCATGCCCAGCTAATTTTTTTGTATTTTTAGTAGAGACGGGGTTTCACTATGTTGGCCAGGCTGGTCTCAAACTCCCAACCTTAAGTAATCCGCCCACCTTGACCTCCCAAGGTGTTGGGATTACAGGCGTGAGCCACCATGCCTGGCCCAAATATCCTGTTCTTATCAAAACTCACACTCTAGTTTTCACACACCAGTAGGCTTGAGCAATAAATATGTAAGGGAGAAAACTGCTCAATCTTTTGACTTTCTAAATACCATGATTAAAATAAAATAGGTGGCCTATGCCTGTAATCCCAGCACTTTGGGAGGCCCAGGCGGGTGGATCACTTGAGTCCAGGAGTTTGAGAGACAAGCCTAGGCAACATGGTGAAACCCTGTCTCTACAAAAAATACACTGGGTGTGGTGGCTGCCACCTGAAATAGCAACTCCCTGAGCCTGGGAGGCAGAGGTCACAGTGAGCCATGATCCAGCCACTGCACTCCTGCCTGGGCGGCAGAGTGAGACCCTGTCTCAAAACAAACAAACAAACAACAAAAAAAAGAAAATGGATGTAAGTTCTGTGTAGCTAGGTGGGGTGGGCTGGAGTCAAAAGAAGCAGGCATATCTATGAAAGCTGAATATAATAGACTGTACATACTGAAGACTTTATTTTTGTTAATAAAAGCAAATGGTTAAAAGTTGTTTTACATCTATTCTTCAAATATCTATAAAATCAGTTGATGTTCCTTATGGTTAACAGCACAGGCTGCCCCATAAAAATACCTGATGAAAAAACAATTAGAAAAAGAAAATGGAGATGGTGAGGCTGCTTTGTCATCATAAAAAATGCATCATTTCATGCTCTTGATAATAAAAGCACATGGAGGACCAGCCACAACAGCGACCTCTCAAACTCACCAGCACACCAAGAAATCGGGGCTTGAGCCACATGACCATTTTTATCTAAAGTGTTTTTTCTTACAGAAAATGAATTAAAAGGCCACAAAGTAATTAAGGCAACTTTTTTTGGTTTTTAAATTTTTTGATGGATATATAATAGTTGTACATGTTTATAGGGTACGTGTGATATTTTGATGCAAGCATACAGTAAGTTATCAAATTAGAGTAATTGGAATATCCGTCACCTCAAACATTTATCATTCCTTTGTGTTAGGACTATTCTAATTCCAGTCCTCTAGGTATTTTGAAATATACAATAAATTATTAAGTTACAGTTGCCCCATGGTGCTCCTCAATACTGTATCTTATTCCTTCTGTGCATCTGTACTTTTGTGCCCGTTGATCATTCTCTCTTCACCCACCTCCCCACTATTCTTCCCAGCCTCTAGTAAGCATCATTCTGTTCTCTACTTCCATGAGGTCCACTTTTTAGCTCCCACATAGGAGTGAGAACATGTGATATTTGTCTTCCTGTGCTTGGCTTGTTTCCCCTAACACAATGTTCGTTCTATCCATGTTGCTGCAAATGACAGGACTTCATTTTTTTCCACTGCTGAATAATATTCCATTGTGTATTTGTGTACCATTTTTTTTATTATTATTTCTTGGATAGGATGTCTTTGAAACTTCAAATCCTTTGAAAATGTGAGGCTGAACAAAAAAGATTTTTGTTTCCAAAGTTCGCCTCCAGTTTGAATGTATTGGAAGTTTGTTGTTCATCTCTAAGGACCCTTGCTCTTTTCAGAAGAATATGGCGTTAAACATACCTTAAGTATTAGAGCATTTTGTTCTTATCGTTGCTAGTTTTATGTAACTGAGAGAAAATATTTTGAACGTCTTAGCACTCTCTCAGGAATCAGTAGAAGGAGCAGAGCGAGGAGGCTATTCTTATGCCAAATTAAGACTTAAATGAGTCAACACGTGTGGTTTGTGAGAAAAGCACACTAGGTTTTAAGAGGCAGAATAATGAAGTTGTTCTTGAGGAAGGTTCCTTTGAAACACTGGCTTTCTTATTTTTTAGTTTTGCATGAGAATGTCATCCATGAAGGTGTGGGGGTTTTTTCACCTTTAAAATAATCTCATACTTTTTTTATCCTGTCATCTTCATGGCATAAATGGAATTAAATCAACTGTATGCATAACATTCTCACTACACAAAGCAATTCCATTTTTAATTTGTGTTTGTATTTGTTTGGATAGGAAATATTTGTGGATGGCATAAAATCCAAAAGATATAAAGGAGCAGGGAGGGAAGAGGCTGCTCCTGCCCAGCACCCCCAGAGTCCCCAGAGACAGCCAGTGTGGTGTTTCAACAGAATGGTTGGCCTTAAACTGACTTCGAGTCCCCAAAGGGCGATCTTCTCAACCTACTTTTATCTTGTAGTGAAGAGAATCTGTTATAAAATGTTACCGTAGTTAATCTTGTTAGTATGGGGCAAATATCTAACCTGAATTGCCAAGTAAATGTTTTCCAAGTGAAATTTAACAATAGAGTAAATTAGCTGGAAACTGCTTGGGTGCTGAGACCAAATGCCGGAGTACTTAATTGCAAAAATATAGAACGATTTTATTAGACAACCATGAAATACTGGTGTTTTAAAGCGTAGAAGCTGCAGACTTCCTCACTGAGGGAGATCATAAATTGAACAGTTAAGCCAGGCAGGACGTTTGGAGGGCATTTGATGTAGGTTCAGCGTGGCTAATAACCTGGGATGGCATTTGGTAGTTCTTCGGGACATTTCTTTAACTTTACAGGTCCTTGCTACATGTCATCTTTCTCACAAGAGTTTCCTGTTCAATCTGTACCCAACCTGTATTCTTCCTTTTGGCTTTAAGACATTTTGTCCCTCCCATACCCATTTGTATTTTACAGACCCAGTTTGATATTTCTGCCCAGGAAGAAATCCCTGACTTCCCTCCCATATGCCATGCTTGCACACTTGCATTCTGTGCACCCTTATGCTTGCACACTTGCTCTCTGTGTGCCTTTACATTTGCATGCTTCCTCTCTGTGCACCCTTATGCTTACACACCTGTTCTCTGTGCCCCCTTATGCTTGCACACTTGCACTCTAGGCACCCTTATGCTTGCACATTTGCTCTCTGTGCCTTTACACTTGCATGCTTACTCTGTGTGCACCCTTATGCTTACAAACCTGCTCTGTGCACACTTACACTTGCACACTTGCCTCTGAGCACCCTTATACTTGTACCCCTGCCGCTGTGCACCCTTTTGCTTGCACAGTTGCTCTCTGTGCACCTTATGCTTGCATGCTTGCTCTTGCTGCTTGCATGCCTGCACTGTGTGCATCCTTACACTTGCATGCTGTACTCTGTGAGCCCTTGTGCTTGCACACTTGCACTCTCCACGCCCTTGGCCTTGCACGCTTGTTCTCTGTGCACCCTTAGCTCATACACTTACATTCTGTGTGCTCTTGCACTTGCACACTTGCTCTCTCTGTTCCCTTAGTTTGCACAATTGCGCTCTGTGCATCCTTGCACTTGCACGCTTGCTGTCTGTGCACGCTTACACTTCCATGCTTGCTCTCTGTGTACCCTTATTTTTGCGTGCTCCATCCCACCAGGTCTTGCTCTTACCATCTTCAAAACCCTGCCTTGCCTGCTTTTTTTTCTTCCTCTACCTGAAACACTAAGATTTCCAAGAACACAGTTTGCATGCTGTGTAGATGTCCTTATTTAAATATTGATTTGCCAAAGGTTAGTCTTGAGTACTTAGTAAGTTCTTAGTAAGACCCAAATAACTATAGAAACTAGTTATTTGCCCCCTTTTAAGTCCCTCCAATTAACAAGGCTAGACTTATTTAGAAAGCACATTTATGTGTCATATTTGACATTTTTTATGCCTGACCTTTGATTCTTAAAGCTCATAGTATGATGAGTCATGTAGTTTTTCCACTAAACATGCCTTTACTGAGGACAGGAACTTGACATGGCATTTGGCATATAGTTATGCTCAGTAAATGTACATAAAGCCACGTATTTATCAACACCGTACTCAGGACCATGAGTTACACAAAGGAAGTGTTAGTTATGACCTCTGGCCTCAAAAGCCTTACCACTTAGTGAAGGAAAGGATGTCTGTAATATATAATGTATAGGCCGGGCACCGTGGCTCACACCTGTAATTCCAGCACTTTCAGAGGCTGAGGCAGGAGGATCACCTGAGGGTCAGGAGTTCGAGACCAGCCTGACCAACATGGAGAAACCCCGTCTCTACTAAAAATACAAAATTAGCTGGGCGTGGTGGCACATGCCTGTAATCCCAGCTACTCAGGCAGCTGAGGCAGGAGAATCGCTTGAACCCAGGAGGCAGAGGTTGCGGTGAGCTGAGATCACGCCACTGCACTCCAGCCTGGGCAACAAGAGCGAAACTCCATCTCGAAAAAAAAAAGGCCAGGCGCAGTGGCTCACGCCTGTAATCCCAACACTTTGGGAGGCCGAGGCGGGCGGATCACGAGGTCAGGAGATCAAGAACATCCTGGCTAACATGGTGAAACCCCGTCTCTACTAAAAATACAAAAAATTAGCCAGGCCTGGTGGCAGGCGCCTGTAGTCCCAGCTACTCGGGAGGCTGAGGCAGGAGAATGGTGTGAACCCGGGAGGCGGAGCTTGCAGTGAGCCGAGATCACGCCACTGCACTCCAACCTGGGCGACGGAGCAAGACTCTGTCTCAAAAAAAAAAAAAAATATATATATAACATATTATTATATATATTATATATATTACTATATGTTATATATAATATATTATATATATTATATATTCTATATTATAATATAGAATATATATATTCTATATTATAATATATTATATATAATATATAATATATATAATATATATTATAATATAGATTATATAAATTATATGTAATATATATTATAATATAGATTATATAAATTATATGTAATATATATTATAATATAGATTATATAAATTATATGTAATATATATTATAATATAGATTATATAAATTATATATAATATATATAATGTGTAATATAAAATTAATGAAAAATAAGGCATGTAGTTTAATGCTAACTCATGTGGTATAGACTAGACATTCTGTAGCCATTCAGAAAAGAAGATTAATAAGGACTATTGTGCTCAGACAAAAGTCTTCATTGTTGCACTTCGTACAGTAGGGCTTCCTGGGAAGGTAAAATTGTCATCAGCAGAGCCTAGTCAGGAAGCCATATCCCCATCACAAAATCAAGGCCACTCCTAGCATAGCAGCATCAGTTTCTCAGGTCTGGGGGACAGTAAGCTTTGGCTAGAGCTCAAGAATGAGCCCTTGGTCTACAAACTTGTTCCATGATGTTCAGAAAAATGAAGAGCATCATCTTTTAGCTTAAAGTGAATCCACAGTTGTGGGAGTTAGTTTATTACACATGCACGTAATTACTTAGTGTTTAAAGAAACGTTGGTAAAGAATATGTTCAAACAAATTGAAGTATATATTTTTTATTTCATGAAGCACGTAAGTTTATGGCAAAAAGATAAACAAATGTTGGTTGCTTCAGTCATTTCCATTTCCATTTTCTCATCCCAAGTGGAGGTAAAATGATCCTTACTACAATCTTGCTTATCCTACCTATTTACACACATGTCTAAAATATACACACACACATGCACACACACTGGCACATGCAGAGGCTGAATCATGCACAAAATACGTAAATGATGAACATTTTTTTAAAAATATTACCAAATATTGATGGGATATGGCAGTGTTGTTTTTGAAAAATATGTAACATGACTTTAATATTTTTATAGTTTTCAGAATTAGAATCATAGGAAGGGAAAATGTTTTAATTAGATAATTCAACTTTTTATGTGTCTGTAGTGGTGTACTATAAAAGCAAATTATAAAGCATTATTAAATATTCATAATAATTTTTAATATTACCTGCATTATGAATTTAACTAAAATAAAGTGAGTTGTACATTTTTAATTGAGTTGTTTCAATAGCTGGAAGCATCCTGAAGCATTATATTAATTTTTGAACTATTTGAATTCAAACTGAGTATGATTTGAAAATAAATTAATAATTTAAAAACAAAAATAAAAATATTACCAAATATTAAACTTACCTCAATGATTATTCTTCAGAAACATCTGAAAAGAATGATATTTTCATAGCAAAACCTTTAGAATCATCTCTGAAAAAAGAAAAAAGGGAAAACATATTTTCTCTTAATTTTCCTCCCTACTGCCACCACCCATGTGAGAATCATATGAGTTTGACCACCCATTATTCTTGATTGTTTCTAGAGCTGTCTATGCAATCTCAGTCAAACGAGTAATTTTTAACCAGAGTATTTGTAGAAAAATAACAGTTATTTGAGTTTTCATTTTTATTAAAAATAATGTTAAAGATTTTATGGCATTATTATCAGGTTGCATTTTTTTTAATCCACAGGAGTGTACCATTACCCTAAAGAATACCTTTTAAATTATTGGGAGGTTCCTATCTCCATTTTCTCAAGCTTAAATAATCTCCTTAAATAATCTAAATTTTAGATATTATGTAAGTGTTCTAATACTTTACATATTGAATGAAGATATATCATTTTAAGGTATTTAGTTTTAAATTTAAGTTTTTTAAAAATAGTTCTTAAGGTGTTATATGTTTACTTTTTTTCTTAAATCACGTGGCATCAGCTGACATCTTTAACTGCTTGAAAGAATTAAGCCAATAAATATTATCATGGCCAGGTGCGGTGGCTCAAGCCTGTAATCCCAGCACTTAGGGAGGCCAAGGCAGGTGAATCACCTGAGGTCGGGAGTTTGAGACCAGCCTGGCCAACATGATCAAACCCTGTCTCTACTAAAAAAATACAAAAAATTAGCCAGGCGTGGTGGCAGGCCTCTGTAATCCCAGCTACTCAGGAGGCTGAGGCAGGAGAATTGCTTGAACCTGGGAGGCAGAGGTTACAGTGAGCCGAAGTCGTGCCACTGCTCTCCAGCCTGGGCAACAAGAGTGAAACTCTGTAAAAAAAAAAAAAAAAGAAAAAAAGAGATTATCATTAGTGTTTCTTATTTCTTTGGTTAAAATGTTATAGTGAGTAGTGTGTTATATCATCATGTGAATTTTCATAACTTATTGGAAGTTAATGTTAATGTTAACATTAACTAATTGGAAGTTAATGATAATGAAATTAATCATTATCAGTTTTATATGAACAGGCATTTCATTTTTTTTTCTAAATGATGACCTGATATGTGTCAGGAACTATGTTCAGCATTGGAAATACTAAGCTGAATTGTGTACACCCACGGGAATTCTCACAGGGCTCACAGAGCTTAAACCCCTAGGACACACTGTCATGTTGGCAAGGGGAAGGTGGACACAGCCCTTTGGGAGAAATAGTGGTGCTATCCCAGGGAAGGTGAGGGGTGGCCTGGCCTTTGAAGAATGGGTGAATTCAGCAGGTAGACCAGGGACAGTGGCAAGTGCAGTATGGCCAGCACAGCCCTGTGTGCAAATTTTTTTGTTGTTTGTTTGTTTTGAGATGGAGTCGCACTCTGTCACCCAGGCTGGAGTATAGTGGTGCGATCTCAGCTCACTGCAACCTCCTCCTTCTGGGTTCAAGCGATTCTCCTGCCTCAGCCACCCCAGTAGCTGGAATTACAGGTGTGTGACACCATGCCTGGCTAATTTTTTTGTTTTTTTTAGTAGTAGAGATCAGGTTTCGCCATGTTGGCCAGCCTGGTCTCGAACTCCTGACCTCAGGTGATCTACCTGCCTCAGCCTCCCAAAGTGCTGGGATTACTGGTGCCCCGCCCCTGTGTGCAAATTTGGACACCGCAGAGGTGCTCCTTCTCAGAAGTCCCCCACATCATACAAATCATTTCAAGAGCATCTAGCCCTACAGGAAGATCATGGAGAGACATTCTTGGACTTTTTTATTACACTTGCTCCAGTGTAAAATTTTATGGTATGAATACAGTATGACTATTATAGCAGAAATAAATAAAAATACCAGGACAGATAATAGAAAAGAGTTGTAAGAAATTCAGGAAATGTATGTGCTTCAATAAAAAGAATGCTTTAAATTGTCCTAGTTGATTTTATTGAAGGTAAATTTGAAATTCCATACTTAGTATTTAAGTCAAATTACCACTCATGCTTCTCTTGTGGTTCTCTTTACTGAGAAATTCAGGAGACTGCATCTTTGCAGGTTTCTCACTTCAATTCCATGCCCATCAGTTTGCCCCCAGTGCCGTCCTGTTCCAGGTGATCATAGGGCCAAATAGAGTTGATGTCTCCATTGTGTTTTGACCAAGCTTCCCCATCTGTGCTCTTTTGGTGGCTTTGCCTCTAATCTTAGCATTTCAGCTGGAAGCGCACTTAGGTGTGTCTGATCCAAGACTTCCTCTACAGATGAGCAGGGCATTAGCGCAACTCTCTACGAGACTTGTCCAGGGTCATCCAGATGTGCTGACCTGGAGGCAAAGCCAGGACTAGAACCGAGTCTCCCGATTCCTCATCCAGTTCTCTTCTTGTCGCTTCCATTCATGCAGGGTGCGGGTCTGCATTTATACAGCGGAGTTTCATTATCTATTAGGTTGAACTATTAAAAATTGCCAATATTTGGCCAATTTTGAGCTCTGATATGGCAGTTTCTTACGGTTCAACCCGTTAGATTAAATGTCACCTGTCAGTCTCTCATTACAGTCCCTTACATCCCTGTCCTGCGAAGACAGCATTGCCATCGAGTGGTAGGTATCCTCCCTGCGGACAGAGGCCCCGTCACAGTGGGCCCAGCCCTGCCCTTCTATGCTACAGGCTCAGGTCTGCACCTGCCTTTGTGCTTCACTCTCAGCAGTGACATCTGCTGCATCCCTCACTTGCCACCATCATCTCTACTGGGAGCCTTCCCTGACCTCTGAGATGAGAGGCAGCCAGTTCTCCCAAAGACACACAGCCCCTGGGTTGTCTGGCACCAAGGTGTCCCCTTACCAGGGCTTGCACGTCTCATGTCCACTGCCCACCCATAGTTACCCATTTTTTGTGGCTAAGCACATAACATGCTCACTTACCTACAATTGCAACAACTAGAAGTTAGAGCAGTCTGTTTAAAAGGCTTTGTGTAAATCACCCTGAAAGATTCCTGGTATGTGTTGGAGCAGGAGATAAACGGGATGACACACTACATAACCAGTCTCTGAAATGGTCCCCACGGTAGGCTTGATATTGTTTCTTAAGGCTCTTTTTTGAAAAGAGAGGAAACAAAATAGTACCAAAAATCTCATAATAGGCCAGATGCAGTGGCTCATCCCTTTAATCCCAGCACTTGGGGAGTCCGAGGTTGGAGGAACGCTTGAGTGCAGGAGTTCAAGACCAGACCAGCCTGGGCAAAATTATGAGACCCCATCTCTACAAAAAATCTTGTATAAAAATAAAAAAAATAGCCGGGCATGGTGTTGTATGCCTGTGGTCCCAGCTTTTCGGGAGGCCAAGGCAGGAGGATCACCTGAGCCCAGGCAGTCAAGACTGTAATGACCTATGATTGCAGCACTGTGCTCTAGCCTGATGACAGAGGAAGACCTTGTCTCAAAAGAAAAATCTCACAATAGTTTTACGCATATGATTATATAAAAACAATCGCATCTGAGTAATTTCGGTGACTAGAGTAAAAGTTCCTTAACATTATGGTTAAGAGTGCAGACTTTGCAATTGGTCTCACCTCTGCCTCTTCCTGTCTATGTAACCTTGGTTGAGTTAATTAGTATCTCTATGCTCAGTTTCCTCATCTGTAAAATGGGGATAATAATAATAATGCCTAGCACATGAAGCTTTTTGGGGGAATTAAATACAATAATACATCTGAAGTGCTGGGCCCTGTGCCTGACACACCTTAAACATTCAGTAAATGTGAGATGTCATCCTGGTCACCCTTCACCATGCGTAATGTTATGTGTGTGTGCTGCCTTTTCAGACGTTGCCGAGTGCTGAAGCCACGCACGGGGCCCAGTTTGACTCGGCACGTCTTGGTGTGGCCGAAGAACAAGCCTGGCTCTGAATTAAGAGTCAGGCTGTGGTGTTTTCAGGGAACTTTCTCTGCCTTCTGTCAGTTTTCAAGGCTTGGCATTGCATGGGAAGAGTCAACAAATACTATATTCTGCAGAAAGTATTGTGGTCTGAAATAGTGTAGACTAAAATATAAAGAAAAACCAAATTGGGATTTTAAAATGCATGAGCGCCCATCTAAAAGAGCCACCTACGCCTTGGTTTTCCTCTTTTTTGGTGAAGTTGATAAATTGGCTTGATACCAATGAAAATGGCGACCACTGCTTGAACAGCACTTCATGCCAAGAACTGCCCTAAGCTGTATAACTGCAGCAATCTTATGGGTGGAGAATGGTGGCTCATTTCATATGTGAGAAAACAGAAGCCCAGAGAACATAATTGACTTGCCCCGAGTCATAGAGCTGGGTAGAGAATGGTTCAGAATTTGAGCCCAGGCAGCCTGACCCCAGAGCCTGTCCCCCTGTGTACTGTGAGGTGACCTTTCTGGGTTTAAGAATCACGGGTCCAGGTTATACACTGTATCAGCCTTGTTGCAGCTACAAGCTTGGTGTGGTCACTTCACCATCCCTCATTTTGATTTTTGTTTGCAGAGTTTAGGTCGATAGACATTGCGGGTATATTTCTAAGTCTTATTGAGGAAATAATCAGTCCATGAGTGCCTGTAGCTCACTACATGAGCCATCTATCTGGAGATGGGCAGGGCTCACACAGCACAGGCCATCTTTCAGTTCTGCACCTGATGGACAGCACCTCTTCCTGCGGCAGAGCCTGAGTGGCCATCGCTCGGCTCAGCCCAGTGCGAGGCAGAGAGTCCTGCTGAATCTCCCCTTGACTAATGGCTTCTTTCTAATTCCTGATTTACTGAAGACAGCCTTTCTGTCTTGAAGGAATTACTCTGTGGCATTTCCCAGTCTTAGCAAGTGGTTCTGGGGGGCCCTGATGAAAGCACTGTGTTCTGGCGAACTGAGAACCAACTGTGGACCCTTGCTTTGTTTGAGGGCCAGGGGTGGCCAGGAGGGTTTCTCTGCAGAGTCCACACCTCACCCATATGCACACACTGGGAGGAAATATTTTTCAACCATTGGTTTAACCATTGAATAGTTAGCTTTGTAGTACTTACTCCTCTGAGATTTTACGCAGATGATCTCACTTAATCCACACACATGCACGCCCCCGTGTAGTAGCCACCATGGCGGTCCCCTGACGGGGTAGATACGTGGCCCGTGTCACACAGCATGTGCAGCAGGGCTGGGACTTGGCGCCAGGGCCTACACTCTGAGCCACAATGTCTAAGCCCTACCTCACCCAAAAAGATTCCTCTAAGTCTGTGTCAGATTAGAAATGAAGAGGGGACAAAGAGAAGTACCACGGACAGCAAGAAAAGAGGAAGATGCACATCAGAACTCATAAAGCAAGTCCCTCAAGAGGCATTCTGTGTGGGGGCAAATTCCCAGGGGTTCCCGGTGTCTACAACACAAATACAGTGACTGACGCAAGATCCTATGTCCTCAAGGAGAGAGAGGAGGTGAAATTCCAGTGTTTTCATTTCGTAAGAAGGCAGAGATGTATGGAATGCTTCAGGAAGATTTCCATTCAAGAGTTTATGTGGGAAAAAAGTTTTATTGCTGAAAGAATGATGTCCCTAAGTATCCAGACATTTCTGATTTGGATGGCTAGGCTCGCCAGAATGTCATTAACTGGGATGTTTGCTCACCTAGCGTTTAACTGTCATAGTTCAAGCCTAGAGAAAAGGTGTCTCCGGATGGGAGTGATTTATAATTCGCCCCTCCATTGTCATCCATGGTTGCCCAACTGATAGCTAAAAAATCAACAGCATCCGCCTCCAGAGCGCCTCTTTGCTCAATATGACCTTGCGAGTTTCCAGTGCAAATCTGACTCTGCTGGCTTCTATGCCACTTTCTCTTTTTTAATTCAGTTGCCCATGCTATTCTTTGGGTTTCTCTAGCCACTTTGGCTCTGACGATACAAAATGTCTTTGTAGATAACAACAAGATTTCAACTTGCTTATTAGAAAAAAGAGTTACATACTCTTCAGAAGTTTTTTTAATATATAAAGAATATGTTAACAAAAAGAGGGTTCACACTTGTAAGAGCGTCACACTCTGTGGTGTGTAGAATAAGAAATAACTTCCATAATAAGAATTTATGCCAGGCAAAGTGGCTTATGCCTGTAATCCCAGCATTTTGGGAAGCCAAGGTGAGAGGATTGCTTAAGCCCAGCAGTTCAAGACCATCCCAGGCAACATAGCAAGACCCCATCTCTACAAAAAAATTTTAAAATTAACTACCCATGCTGGTGCACACCTGGAGTCCCAGCTACCTGGGAGGCTGAGGTGGGAGGATTGCTTGAGCCCAGGAGTTTGAGGCTGCAGTGAGCCGTGATTGCACCATTGCACTCCAGCCTGGGCAACAGAGCCAGATCCTGCCTCAAAAAAAAAAAAAAAAAAAAAAGAATTTACACCTTGCAAATGCAACAGTCTTCTCTTCATCCTTGTACTTTGTCAAAAACTTTAAAATTGTGTTTTTGGAAACATGCTTCTCTTCACGACTAAGACTTGTTACTGGATTGTGTGCTGCGGGTCCCTTTCCAACTGACAAGCTTCTCTACCCTTCGAGCTGATAGTCATTTGTGCTTTCCAAGAGGTCATCCCAAGAATGCAACGAAAAAAATCAATACATCATAAAAGCATGAAGGTTGTAGTATCAATGTAAAAGCCATTTTAACTTTCCTCAACATCAGAATTGGAAGGACAAATACATTTCTTTCCACTTTTCTATCCCTCGGTCCTCTTTAAAAAAATTAATATATGATATGTATGAATAAATGCAGAGACTGTTAGTGTGATTTTGTAGATGGTGGCAGAGAGATGGGAGATGGTGGGCTTTGGCCAAGTTTTCAGCACATCATTGGTAGAACCAAGACTGGAAGCTACATCTCTTTCTTCCAGGACCGGTATCATTACTGCTCATGTGTCAGACGACACTGAATTTGGTGAGAATTTCTCACTTCTAAGGGATAATGAACCATACAAAAAAATCACAGTCAGCTCCCTGTGTTACTCTAGCTGACCTGCTTTAGGAACTCTGCCAGTGCTGGATCTGCACTCTCTTTGAAGGCCTCCTAACAGGTATTCAGATGACTCGTTAAGCTTTAGAGTGCTGTGTGTCCAGAATACAGCAATACATGCTACTTGACATGAGAATATAATTCAAGGCATGTAAACAGAGATACATTGATCTTCTAAGCAATATCTTCATTTGAGCAGGACAGTTGGCATGTTGATGAAAAGAGGCTTCAAATCTTAACAGTTACAAATAACTTTTCCTTTTGCCTGTAATGTAATTAGCACTCTTGAAGTATTTTGCTGGATGCCTTTCTTCATGCTCTTCTTAGCAAGTTGTTTAGTCAAAATCAAGTAGGTAAACTAGATGGGTATATACATATGTTAAAAGTTGTTTGGAATTTCAACCTACCCGGAAGAGCAGACCCTCGCCTAGCACTCGTTACATCCTAAGAGCTGGAGACATACGAGCTCCTGGGATCTTCATGACACCCCCATCAGGAGGAGACTACCAGCATCCCTGTCTTACAGACTAGAAAAAGGCAGTGCAGAGGTGAAGGTCACACAACTAGTCAGTGATGGGTTGAGGTTTGGAGTCCCAGAGTCTGGTTCCAGAGTCTATGCCCTTCGCCCCTCACTGGGCTGCCTCTGGGTACAGAATCAGCACCTCCCCACCAGCTTGTGTTGTGCCTGAGATTCCATGGCATCACTCGCTTTCCCCTGCAAGTTACCATGTCGCCTCCAGACATGTGCTCTTCGGAGAGGGACTCTCATACTTACCCATACATATGTATGGTGAATAGTGACTGTTGAGGAAGGGAGGGAGAGCTGTTGTTCGATTTCCTGCCTTAAGAGTTGAAAAGTTTTTCATTTGACCACTAGTAGTTTTCACCCTCAGAACAGACAACCATAGTTGAAGATCAGAGAAGGGTTAAATCCTCAGGAACATCTGAACTATGACCCACCCATTCATGGTTTTATAGGTAAGGTTACTTGTGTGCTAGGTTAAGTCCCATTTACTCCTGCTATTTTTAGTTATTTCTTCAAAAATGGTGTCAGCTGCAGGCTGAGCGAGCATCCCCTAGGTCCCTATTCAAGTTTCCAGAGCCTGGAGTAACCTCTGTAAAGGCCGCATGATGTTACAGAGAAACACCACAAAAACAGTCTTAGCTTCTCCTCCTCTCACAGGTATTAGTGACGAAACCTTGGGAAATGTGACTCAGTATCTGGAGCTTTAGTTGCATCCTCTTGTATAAATGAAAGCTAGGCAAGGTGATCTCTGAAGGCCCATGCAGGCTCTGAGAACCAACAGAATTATGACAAAGGTGTTATGGGGTCAGTGTGGTGGGTGCATAGAAAACAAAAATCCCCTTTCTTAAGAACCCATTTTTATCAGTTCCCATCATGGATTGGGAGATACATTCCAGGAAGAATTTTATAGATAGTAACCTTATCTATAAAACCATGAGTGGGTCATGGTTCAGATGTTCCAGAGAATTTAACCCTTCTCTGATCTTCAGCAATGGTTGTCTGTTTCAAGGGTGAAAATTACTAGTGGTCAAATGAAAAACGTTTCAACTCTGAAGACAGGAAAACAAACAACTGTTCTCCCACCCTGCTTCAACAGTCACTGTTCAGATACATTTCAAGAAGAATGTATCTCCCAATCCATGATGGGAACTGATAAAAATAGGTTCTTGAGAAAGGGGATTGTGGAAACTGTGAAAAGAGCCAGAGACAGCACGTAGAGGTGAGGAAGGGGCAACTCTTCCTGGCCCAGCAACAGTGGCATTCATAGAGTGGAGAAAAATACACTGCAGTGTGAAGAATGGGCCTCGTGCTACTGCGAAATGGAAAGCAGGAGACTGCAAGGGGTAGTTAGCATGGAAGCAGCATTCTCGTATACCAAATCTATACCTTGCTGATAGTTTGTCATTGCACCCAGAATGTCCATTATTAGATTTCTTCCCACCAGTGGCAAATAGGCATTATCTGTGCTACTAACTGCACATTACATATATGTGGTAATGCAGATTGTGAAGGCAGGATGGAATAGCAGTCATTTGATGGCCTGTATTGAGACTGATGGATAGACTTTCTTACAGACAAGAAGAACCTGCTGACTAAAGCTTGTGTGGCGGGGGTTAAACTTCCTGGAGCAGCCTGAAAAGGAGAATTATCTGGAATAATGGGGTGTCCTTTCAGTTCACTCTGACCTAGCTCCAAGATAAGCTTGACCATCCTACAAACAATCAGATCTAATAGTCCCTCAGTTCTTTGGGGAGTGAAAATGCGGGTCAATGGGAATGGAAAGATGGGAGTTATTGGCTCATGCACTCATTCAAGTAGAATTTCCTGAACACCTCCCCTAGGCTGGGGGTAGTCTGGAAACTGGGGGATCACAGTGAACAAGATGCAGTCCCTGACCTGAAGAACACAATTTATCCACCAAACTTTTGCTGAGAGTCCATCATTTTCACTTGAATACTCTTGCAGTTTTATTCATTTCCTTGCCTCATACTACAAAAATTTAATTGTGCAGTCATTAACAAAAATTAGGATGGAAAATATCAACCTGGGGTTGTTTTTTCCACTCATATGGAGAAGGCTTCTTCAGCTTACTGAGCCAGTAAAAGATGTCTGTCATCATTTGCTGTTGATTGTGGCATATATACCATTGCAACATGCATCATTAGCGCAGTTAGTACCTTGTTACAGCTTTTGGCTTTATATTCTTACTGTGTCTTAGGGTCTCAGATGGTTTGCGTTACATTTCTCAGATGTAATACAAGTATATCTCTGTGACAAGTTTCTATTTTTAATTTTTTTAACCTCTTTTTATGTGCAGTTACCTAAAATTATTCTGTAGGGACTTGACTCCAATCCCTGAAGTAGAGGCATTTTTGCATAGTCACGTTCCTGCTGTCTTGTCCAGGGACTTTTCCTGTGTGCTGTGTTTATATATTTGATTCCTAACACGTAAGACCTTTTTCGGAGCAAATATCCAAGTTTGTTTTTATTATGGCTCTTATATTTAAAAAAAAAAAGATAATTTTTTGGTCAAATGTTAAGACATGCCAACTCTCGGTTTTAAATATTTTAAGGTCTTCAAAAAATGAATGTTTACAGTTTTGTTGCCAGAACCTCTCTGGCTCTTTAAAATAAAAATATTTCAGCTGTAAATTGGAAGATAAGTCCTCTGTCCAAGCAGTTTTTCAAACCTGTTCCAGTCAGCTCCAGTAAAGTGTGGTACAATGGACTGAACCCAAAATGAAAAAGACTGGAGTCCATTCTCAACCAGACACAGTCTTAGCCAATCTGCCTTTGGGTTTTCACGTCTGTAAAATGATTATATTAATACCAAACTCATGGAGTTACACTGAGGAATGAATTAGATCACAGGCATGAAAAAGCGCGGTAAGGTGAATAACTCAGTAAATGTGAATTATTATTGTTATTACTGTTGACCAAGTTCAAATACTAGAACCAGAAAAGGACTTGAATTACAATGAAAATTAGCCAGAAACACAGAAGACTTTGACTTACACATTTCTGATCACTCCAACCCTAGGAGTCCATTCGTAGGCAAGACTTAAGTCACACTGAAGTATAAATGACTGATAACAGGCTACTAATCTGTTACTCTATCAAATGCCTTTGCATTTAACTGACTGAGAGCCTTGACTACAGGATTGAAATTCTGCAAGATAAATTTTAAATATCAACCAGTGAATGATGATAGTGCTGACCAGAACTACCAGTGTTTCTTACGGCTATTTCAAATTAAGACTTTAAATATAGGGAAAATTTGGTTGTTTTAAATCTACATTTACACTTACAGGCATTCTTTTCAACATGCATTATCTGTGGTAACTGCAAATAAAGCATTCCCCAATTCGTAAATAAAAATTGGACTTAGAAACACCTAACCATTAAACTACAGCTCTGAACAACTCTTAAATTTCCTTTGTATTACCCAAACCAGAAAGCCCAACCTTGGATTGAGAGAGCCTTAATATACACCTTTGAAAATATAGAATTTCTGTATCTTATAATAGATATGCACATTTAATGTGATAGCATTTCTCCTCCCATACACCCCCACAGCCTCAAAAATCTATTATTAAACACTGCTACATCAAGAATAGAGAAAAAGCAGCATTTTGTAGAATTAAACATCATATTGCTTCCAAAAAAGAAAAGAGCAGTTGTAGACATTTCCTTAGTTAATTGCATAAATCTTTAAAAACATCATTTTATATAAGGAACAAATTAACAAATTACTGAGCTCTTTGAAGATAAACTTTGTGAGAATTATAAGCTACTTTGTGCATTTAATCATTTTATATACTGAGGAGCTGTATTTGATAAGTAATATGGAAAGGAAATTCTGAATAGTATACAACTGAACTGCCAAGCTACTGGATCTCTGTTTAATCCTCTTTTGAGGAAAACTTAGGAGATGCTATTGCCAAAAGGGGAGGGGTCACACTGTATTTTAAAATCAAATTTGTTTAAATAAACAAAATAGGTGTTATAATTAGCAATATATAACAGGAAACATGTTCAAGAATATTCATAGTGGCACTGTTTATAACAAGAAACTGGAAACAACCCAAATGGCCACTAACAAGACAATGGATACATAATATGTGGAATATCCACACAATAAAATATTCATCAGTGAAAAGGTTGGCCAGGCGCAGTGGCTCATGCCTGTAATCCTAGCAATTTGGGAAGTCGACATGGGCGGATCACTTGAGGCCAGGAGTTCAAGACCAGCCTGGCCAACACGGTAAAACCCTGTCTCTACTAAAAATACAAAAATTAGCTGGGCGTAGTGGCAGGTGCATGTAATCCCAGCTGCTTGGGAGGCTGAGGCAGGAGAATCACTTGATCCAGGGAGGCGGAGCTTGCAGTGAGCCAAGATGGCACCATTGCACTCCAGCCTGGGTGACAGAGCTAGACTCCGTCTCAAAAGAAAAAAAGAAAAAGAAAAAGAATGAATTACAGCCACATGCAATGACATGGATGGATCTCAGTATCATAATGTTGAATGAAGAACTCAAGTGTTAAAAGATTACATATAATCCTCTTTTGTTTGTAAGGTTCAAAAAACAAGCATAACTAAGTACTATATTGTTTAAGCATGCATGTATTTGTGATAAAAATTTTTGAAAGGAGACAGAATGATAGTCGTAACATTCAGGATAGTAGGAGAGAAGGCAAGGGTGGAAGAGAGATGGGGTATGGAAGAGATCATAGTAAAATATTGGTTATTGATCCTGTCTTATTAAGGAGATGGGAGGGGCTCATGGGTGTTCCTTTTATGATTAAACAAAAAAATAAGAAAATGAAAAAGGGCCATGTAAGAGTCAATGATGACTGTGTGTCATTAACCAGATCTATTCACCTGTGGTCCACATTAAAAAGAAAATTCGTTTTCTAGTTTAGAAACATGTATCTTTCTTCGTGCTGTGTTGTCTTTTAAAGGAAAAATGTACATAGATGCTACTGAAAGGGCTATGTGAGCATAATGCATGATAAAGAGAATCATAAATCTTAAGAATTTTGAGATTTGTATTTATTATGATAGGTGACAATGCTTCAAGATTTGCAGCCACAAAGTCACTGAGGTTATATCCCCATAAGCCAGACTCTGACTACGCAAAAGACATGGTAGAATATCAACCAACATTTGTAAAAGTAACTAACTCTGTCATTCTGTAAATTTCACATCGCATTCTGGCAGTTGTTCTTTTGTTAATTAGACTAATTCCAGAGGTGGGTCATTCCCATTACTTTTTCGTTCTGTATATATTCCAGGTTTAATTTGTTGACCACCTCACATTCAACAGAAGTGAGTGTGAAACAAGGCTGCTCCCTAGAACCAGGCCACCTGCTTTTAGAGCCCAGCTCCCCTCTTCCAAGAGGCAGTGCCTCTGTGTGCGTCAGCTTGTTCCTTTCTCAAATGGGCATGATAATGGTACTTACCTCAGAGTTGCTGTGAGGGTTAAACAAGTTAATATATTTAATACATAAAAGACTAGGCTCAAAGTTTCAACATCATAAATACTCTATATTAGCTAATCGGAAGAAAAAAATTATTAAATCAGACTTTTATATTGTGCCTGCAAAGCCAAGAAACTCTACTAATCTCACCGTGATGGCATCACTACACTTAACTGTGGTGAGACTTCTTTTAATGAATACATCCTCACTCCAGCACTGACCAAACATAGAAAATAGAAATAAAATGTGAGCCACCAATGCAATCCACCTATGTAATTTTGCATTTTCTAGCAGCCACATTTTTAAAAAGTAAAAAGAAATCAGCAAAGCTTAATAATATATTTTAACGCTATACAAATATCCAAAAATATTATTTCAGCATGTAGTGTTTAGAAATTTCCAATTTCTATGCTCTTTTTTTCATTAAAAATGTCTTCAAAATCTAGTGTGTATTTGGCATGTCTGGCACATCTCAGTTTGAGCAAGCCGCATTTCAAGCTCAGTGGCCACCTGCTGTTAGTGGCTACTGCAGAGAATATGGAGAAAGGAAATAATGACTTCTTCCTTCCCAGCATCAGTGTTAGTGGGGAGGAAAGGCACAGGCCAGGTGAGAAGCTCCATCTGTGCATGTTCATTGTCCTGTGAGGCAGGAGGGTAGCCAGCTACTCCAGGCCCCCTGGTACCTGCTCTCAGGGTGAGTGTCCCTCATGTCCACGTGGCCCAGCAAGCCCATGCAGGGCAGAGAGTAGCGTTGCCTGAGTACCGGACACTGCCTGGTGCTTAGCAGCTATGCTTCCTCATGGTGGGGACCAGCGTACTTGTCTTTGGTCTCCCAGTGCTGACAAGAGCCTGTTGCTCTTCTGGAGACTTCACTGCATTGTGTTTCTGTCTTCAGGTCAGCAGGCGAGGTGTCCGCCCTAATGGGCCTTACCCCTAATCTGACTGCTTCTAAGTCTCCCTTGTCATCCACCATGGCCTCAGCATGGGGAATGAAACCAACCACGTGGCCACAGGTGTTGCGGCAGCCAACTGTGTTCTCTGTGTGTGCAGGAGATGGAATGGTGAGGCCTTACCTTGCCACACCTTCATGATGACACCCCTGCACTTACCAAAGCTGCCACAAGCCTAATGCTGTGCTTTTGAAGCCTATTCTTGATGCCTTTGCCCAAAAAGAGCCACATGATTATGTATTGCTTGAGCAGAAGCAGATTGTATAATTTTGTTCTTTTCATTTTATTTTCTGCATGAAATTTTTAGGGCATTTAGTAATTCACTGAAAACATACAAATTAGCATTTTATTTCTAAGTCAAGAAGTTGGCTGTGGTCTGTGTGTGTTTAAAAGGAATGTATTATGAATCTGAGTAAAAGAAATGGAGAAAGATTTTTTCGGCCTCAGTGGAATTGAAAAAAACCAAAAGCCAGTACCTGGTCTCTGAGCGTGGAAGAAACTGACTGTGCGTGCTCTGTTGGATTATGAGAAAGCTGCATGAGCCTGGCTGTCCGTATGTATGGGAGTCAGAAAAGTGGGAGGAAATATATGATTCATGGTGTACAAAGAATTGAGTTTAGAAAAGGGGAATAAACAAGAGGAATTACTCAGTCACTACTATTTAAAACTGAGAATCAGAAGACAATTAGCACAATGTTGTTGGAAGAAAGTTTCAGATAGTGTAACATTTTTAGTTTCTGCAAAGTCTGGAATTGCTGTGATTCATACTTTTTCCCAGTCCCACGCTCAGTTTTCGTCCCCTCTCAGCCATTGGAAATGTGCACCTGTCTTTCCCCTACCTCAATCCAGTCAAGTCTTTTAGATGGTTTTATATAAGATTTCATCCCAGTGGAATTTGGAAATTAGTCTAGAAAGCTGAAAATGAGAGGGTACCTGAAAGTTGGGATAAAGATGAGGTCATTGCTCCTGGATTCTGCACTCTTTCCCATGATATCATCCTTTAGGGAATCCCTGGAAATGTGGAATGGGTGTCCACAAGGCAGATGGAAGTATGGGATGCTCCGTGGTAAGCCTGTATGCCTCCAAGCCCCCAATAAGTAGAACAATGGGAAATGCAAATTGCAGAAATCTGGAACAAGGAGAAGAAAGGAGGACACTGGATGATGCTGGGATTTACCAATGCTGGGGTTCCAGGAAGACAGCTTCTCTGGCCCCCGCCCAGGCCTGGAGGCTGCAGGCCCCTGCCTCCTTAGAACCATGGTCCCTGGACAGCACTCCATCCAGCCTTTCAGAGTTTTGTTTTCTTCTCTTTAGCTTACAATTAATTATCTTAGGGAAAAGAAATCAGTGCCAGTGAATTGCCTTGCTTTTTTTTTCAATGAGTCTTTTCTAAATTGGGTTCAGGCCGGTGTATGAGAGACCAGAAGGAACCCTTCTGCCCAGAGACCCAGTCTGACGCCCCCTCTCCTGCGAACGTCAGCGATGGCCTCGGCCATGAATGGGTTAAGCAGCAGCTCCTCTGCTCAGCCCCGTGTTGAGCTGTTATTGAAGGTCTTTAAAGGCTTCCGCCCACCTTCCTCCCACTCCCCTGGCAAGTGAAAGACATTTGAATTCCTCTTGCAAGGCAGAAAATTATTAAAGTGAAAGAAAATGACTGTTCCCTGTTCTAAAAAGGAGAGAAAAGAAAAGTGGGGCTGCCCCTCCTTCATTATTTCTTACCTGAGAAGGAGATTATCAGAAACAGGGTGAAGCATTCTGACTCCCAGAAATCAGGAGAAGGGGAAGTTTATCCTGTCGGCCTTTTGTGTGCTTATTTCAGCTTATAATTCAGTGCCCTGGAATTCCGTGCACATTAGAATATGGAGGACCTGCTAACCCTGGAGGAGATAACCATGATTAATAGGGTTATATCCTCACAGGGCAGTATTACTCAAAGACCCCAAGTAACTAAATTATAGAGAAGAATATGAAAGAGGAGTAGAAACCCGGTTTATTTTTCCTGTGCCTTTGAGCACTACAACTTCCACTGAAAATCAATTCATTTTAGAGGGTCAGATCTGAATGAGAGATTTTAGTAATGGTTCTTTTACACGTGGCTGAAGAAGCGTGGTGGGATAGATCTTCATACGTTTTCTTTTTTTTTTTTTTTTTTTTTTTTTTTTTTGAGATGGAGTCTTGCTCTGTCGCCCAGGCTGGAGTGCAGTGGCGCTGTCTCAGCTCACTGCAAGCTCTGCCTCCTGGGTTTATGCCATTCTCCTGCCACAGCCTCCCAAGTAGCTGGGACTGCAGGCACCCACCACCACACCTGGCTAATTTTTTTTTTTTTTTTTAGTGGAGACGGGCTTTCACCACGTTAGCCAGGATGGTCTCCATCTCCTGACCTCGTGATCTGCCCACCTCGGCCTCCCAAAGTGCTGGGATTACAGACGTGAGCCACCGTGCCCGGCGATCTTCACACATTTTCATTTGAATCTTTTTATATTTTATAAACATCACTTCATAATTTCTCTGTTAATCCAGCTCACCTTTATACTTCCCAATCTAATCAAACTACTGATTCAAACTATGTCTGCTTTACCCCAGCCCTGTCCAGAGCATGGGTCTGGCCCTGGGAGGTGGAGGGTGAGTGAGCTAAGAGGGCTATTGGAAAGGTTTTTAAAATAATCTCTGGCTGGGCCTGTAATCCCAGCAGTTTGGGAGACTGAGGTAGGAGGATCGCTTGAGGCCAGGAGTTTGAGACCAGCCTGGGCAACAACACAGCGAGACCTCATTTCTACAATAATAATAATAATCTCTGTTCTAGGGCTTATGGTTTAATTAGGAGGATTAGACCAACAGTCATGAAAAGCTAAAGTCAAGAGATCATAGAATTTAATTAAATCTCAGTTTTAAAATGTCTCTACTTCCCCAGACAAATATAAAGAAAAGGAAAAGGAAAGCAAGAACCTGGCAATGGCAGAAGTCTGTTCTGTATCCACTTCAAGACAATGCATTTTACATCTCCTTAGGATGTATAAATATTAGAACTAAAGTCTCTGCCAATACATCACTTTTTTGGCAACAGCTATGGTGCTGGAAGTGACAATATGATCACCAGTGAGGTGGGCCGAAACAGTTCTCAGCATTTACAGTACTATCATAATTTGGTCATAATGACATGTTGCGGAACTCATATAAGATACAGATACAGAACATTTCAAGTGTTGTTTGGCAGCCATCATGTAATAAAAGTTAAACTGATAGCATGATTACCTGAGAGCTATTTTCATGTGTATTTAGGAAATATTTGGCCGGGCGCGGTGGCCCACGCCTGTGTAATCCTAGCACTTTGGGAGGCCGAGGTGGGCGGATCACGAGGTCAGGAGATCGAGACCATCCTGGCTAACACAGTGAAACCCCATCTCTACTAAAAATACAAAAAATTAGCCAGGCATGGTGGCGGGTGCCTGTAGTCCCAGCTACTCAGGAGGCTGAGGCAGGATAATGGCATGAACCCGAGAGGTGGAGCTTGCAGTGAGCCAAGATTGCACCACTGCACTCCAGCCTGGGAGACAGAGCCAGACTCCATCTCAAAAAAAAAAAAAAGGAAATATCTGCTTAATAGGATCATGGGCAGCCGGCACTGGTTTGGCCAATCCCAGAGAAAAGGAAAAAAGTGTGTCTTAGCACCCAGTTTCATTGACATTGCCAACTTCCCATTTCCTTCTGCAAACTTCCCTTTTTTATTTCCTGCTGTCCCCAGTAAATTTATCCTTGACCATACCTGGAGCCATTAACCGTAATCGGGCCTTAGATATCTTACACACCCCTGAGAATTTCTCCTCAGCTGTGGAATAAACGTGTTATTCCCAAGTTGTGCTGTGCTTCAGAACCACCTGGGGAGCTTTCAAACAAGATCCCTAAGCCTGTCCTCAGAGATTTTGATTCAGGAATTCTTGGGTGAAGCCTTGAGGAATCTATTTTAATAGCTCCCCAAAGGCTTCTAAGGCACCAGGAGGTGTGGCAGTCACAACGCAACACCTAGTGTGGCTCTCAAGGCATAACCAGAGTTAAGAGGTGGTCAGAAACTGACAGCGAACTTGCAGCAATGCCCTTGTTCTGTGAGGAGTGGTTCCCCATGCAGATGGCCTCATTTATAAGTGTGCCCCCACCCCATTTTCTCTGTACTTACACTCCACAATCATGCCAAGAATCGTACTGTCCTATAGTCCTTTTTATGTTTACAATTCAGAACAAATCTTGATTCATTAAAACTTATTAACAGTTATTAAAAATATTGACAGTGTTGGCCGGGCATGGTGGCTCATGCCTGTAATACCAGCACTTTGGAAGACGGAGGCAGGCGGATCACCTGAGGTCAGGAGTTCGAGACCAGCCTGGTGGTCAGGCTGGTCAGAAGTTCAAGACCAACATGGTGAAACCCCGTCTCTACTAAAAATACTAAATTAGCTGGGTGTGGTGGCACACGCCTGTAATGCCAGCTACTAGGGAGGCTGAGGCAGGAGAATCGCTTGAATCTGGGAGGCAGAGGTTGCAGTGAGCAGAGATCACACCACTGCACTCCAGCCTAGGAGACAGAGCAAGACTCCGTCTCGAAAAAAAAAAAAAAAAAATATATATATATATATATATATACACATATATATCAAAAGTGTTTTTTCTTAAAAATAGAATGTGTAAGATAAGTTAAATGTAGAGTATTAGTTATAAAGAGGACTTGATACCACAAGTTCCATCTCTAGGCCTATCTCAGTTTCAGCACCTGCTCCCACCTCTAACTAGTCTTTCTCGATGCCACACAACCTGTTTTCTTGGGCCTCCTTCATTTCAGGTCACACCTCTGCCAACCCTGCCACAACACAGAGGAGCAGTTGAGGCCCTCAATCACTGTCCTAAGTAACAGGGCATTGCTCTTACTTGCCAAGACCTTAGCTAGCCTCAGGCAAAATTGTGGAGTCTGTTGAAAACATCCCTTTCCTATCACATGTTGCTGCCAGATACTCAGGTATTTAAATCTGGGTAAGCAATAAGTGATACAAGAAGTGTAAAGTGGTTTTGAAAATTCTAGCCCCAGCAACTGTCCTCTAACATTACGGACTGTGATGATGGATTCCCACGTAGTTGGCATTGATTGAGGATGATTTGCAAACCTACTTTAATTAAGCATTTTCTCACAACTTCTTAGCTCATTTGGGTAACTCCATGTGCATATAACTTAAGGTTATGGCACCATATGGTGGGGAAGACTATATATAGATAGGCAGATTCCCCACGGATCCAACAATCCAGTTATCATTGTATAGATTATAAGCATAAACAAAATGTACTTTAAGTGGATTGTTCTAATAAAGTACCATGTCTTCTTTTTCCTCCTTATATTTTATCATCACCTCTGTCTTAGCATTTGCTACCAGAATCTGGAGATGCTCTTAGGTGGACACAGAGTCTTACATGCCATTGATACATATACTGCTCATGTGGCTTGCAGAGGAAGGACGTGAAAAGCTTAGACCCAGAAGCTGGGAAAGGGCCTTGTTGTTAGTGTCAGTGTAATAAGATGCAGCTTCTAGCTCATTGATGCTGCTGTGTTGCAGAGGAAAAGCCTCAGATAAAAGGATTTTGTTTGAAGTAAAACATCACAAACCGGATTCCTTGTAAACACAGGAATAGTTGAAGAAGGTCAGACTCAGATCACTGATGATGCAAATGAGAAGAAAGTTCCAGGAAGTAAAGGCTTAAGCTTTCTAGAACGCTCCAGTGGCCCAGGAAGGGTGCTGTTGTTCTTAGAACAATGAGATGTCAAATGTATTCAAAGTAAAAATTAAAGTGGGAGAATGGTTTTAATAATTTGAAGTTTACCTCCTCAAGCCAGTTGTTGGATGAGGGGTTGAGAGCTATCTTTTGTGCAAGTGGGCAGGGGGTGTTCAGAGCCCTGCCCCTGGGGTCTCTGCACACCATTGTTGGGACAAAAGAAATTCTCCAGGGCGTCTGTCAGCTCCTCATGATTCCCCCAGCTTCCGACACTCTGAGGAAGAAATTCTCCAGGGCGTTTGTCAGCTCCTCACGATTCCCCCAGCTTCCAACACTCTGACATCAATGTGTCCTTGGGGATGTGTTGTTTACAATAATGTAACATTCACACTAAGATGGACTTCATTTTTAATACAGACTCATAAAGCATTTTTAACCACTTATTTTAATTCAGCAATTCTTAACTGCAAAGGAGGTCAGTGCCAAGGTGGAAATCAGTGTTAACATGTTTGATTTTTGCCTCTGAGGCCCCTTTGACACTTATGTAAAATTCTCTGGCTTCCAGCCTGGCTGATGGTTTTTCTTTTCTTTTCTTTTCTTTTTTTTTCTTTTTTTTTTTTTTTGAGACAGTCTTGCTCTGTTGCCCAGGCTGGAGTGCAGTGGCACGATCTCGTCTCACTGCAAGCTCTGCCTCCCGGGTTCACACCATTCTCCTGCCTCAGCCTCCTGAGTAGCTGGAACTACAGGTGCCCGCCACCACGCCCAGCTAATTTTTTTGTATATTTAGTAGAGACGGAGTTTCACCGTGTTAGCCAGGATGGTCTTGATCTCCTGACCTCGTAATCCGCCTGCCTCAGCTTCCCTAAGTTCTGGGATTACAGGCGTGAGCCACCGCGTCCAGCCAGCTGATGGTTTTTCAATCAAAACTATTCCAATACTTAATTTAAGAAAAACCAGAAACTACTATTTAGGATTTACAGAGCAAGATATCCAGATTTCAGGAATGAGAGGTGACTAATTCCCAGAGTTGTTTTCAAATTAAACTGTCACTTTAAAGCTGTGAAGGGAAGGCCAAACAATTTGGTTAAGCATGTCCTTTCGGCATGGTGGTGGCCATGGCTAAATGGTTTGTGTGGGTTCTTAAGCCATGGCTAGGATCCTAGTGAAGGTTTCCATGAAAGTAATGTTGAAACTCTGAAGGAAGCAACTAGCCACAGTTATTTTTAAATTTCCTGCCTGTTTGTTTCTTTGTTGCCAGCCACAGGAATGGGAACCGCTAGGTGTTTTTCCATAGCCATAGCAGAACAGGCTCCCCTGTTGAGCAGTGAAGACGCCTGGGTTAGGGGGTGAAACCAGAGAAGCCATAAGGGATGCTTTTTGCCTTCTAAACAGAAGGTTGATTATCAAGAGATCATGCTTGTTTGTTTGAAATAAATGAACTGATTTCTCCCCTGGGTGTTTCTCTTGGTAAAACATTTTAAAAGCTTTTAAAGTGGGGGAGGAACTACAACCAACTCCACACTATCTTAATAAGATACTAAGCTCAGATAGTAAACACACACAAAAAATTAAGCTACTGCATGTGATCTATTTAGGAAAGACTTTATATTAGAGAATAACAGAGTTAGCTTATAGGTGCAATCATCTAGACTGGTTAGCTGCTGTAGACAGATATCTATCAAGTTTTCTGCTTCATTGGGTTTCATTGCAAGGACTCGAAGTAGGACACAAAGGACTTCGGACTCAAGTAGCTTCCCATGTCTACCTCTGCAGTGATCCAGGTGTGCCGAGAACTCCCGAGGGTCTGCACCACATCCATAGTGCAGCACTGTCAGCCTCACCTCTCACAGGTGTCTCCCCTGGTACAGGTGTCTCCTGCACAGTTAAGCCAGTCTGTTAAAGACTGTTAATCATTTTGATTATGACTATTGTCATTTCCGATTTTAATTTCCTGCTAATTTTTTGAGTTCAGACCCACCTCTTTTGGAGACCTTTCCAACCTGTCCTGAAACTGAGCAACCTCTCCCTTTTTGGCCACTTCCTGTGGCTTTCCTAATTGGCACCATAGCTTTGGTCACGAAATTATATCCAGTACTTACTGCCTTGTATTGTTTCCTTCCTCCCTCCCTCCTTCCTTCCCTCCCTTCCTTCCTTCCGTCTTACCCTGTTTCCCAGGCTGGAGTGCAGTGGCGTGCAATCTCAGCTTACTGCAACTTCTACCTCCCGAGTTCAAGCAATTCTCATGCCTCAGCCTCCCGAGTAGCTGGGACTACAGGCGCACACCACCGCACCTGGCTAATTTTTGCATTTTTAGTAGAGATGGGGTTTCACCATGTTGGCCAGGCTGGTCCCAAACTCCTGACCTCAGGTGATCTGCCCGCCTTGGCCTCCCAAAGTGCTAGGATTACAGGCATAAGCCACTGCACCCAGCTTGTCTTGTATTGTTTTCTAATTACTTGGTATGTCTTAGCCATAGTCTCCCTACTGAAGTGTTGACTTCTTGAGAACAGGAGTATTGGCCATCTCGCCTTGTCCTAGACACATAATCTGCAAAATTACAAACTCTTTGAGGACAAGGGCACCTCTTTCTCATTCATTGCAGTATCCTAGCTCCTAGCATGGTGCCTAGCACAGAGTTAGAGCTCAATAAATATTTGTTGAATGATTGATCAATTGTTGGCACTGAGGGAATACTTGGGCATTGATTATAAGATTTGAAGGAGAGGGTAATTCTTGTCTTAAAGTGTCTTTGGCAAACTACCAACCTGGTGACATGGTGATGCAACTTCCATATGACAGAGGACACTACCAAATCCCTTAGTAACTTTAGGTATGTTTATATAGTTGGACTTGTTATATTATTGAATAGTGTCATTTTCCAATAAAAAGTTGTGGAAATTTGAGAAATAATCTAGATTGAACTAATTCTAAGAGACATATATAACTTTACTCCATATGCAAAAATTAAATCAAAGTAGATCAATCACCTAAATATAGGAGCTAAGACTATATGTAGGGGTAAATCTTCATGATCTTGGATTTGGCAGTGATTTCTTGGATATGACATCAAAAGCTTGAGCAACAAAGGAAAAAAATAGGTAAATTGGACTTCATCAAAATTTTAAAATTTGTGCATCAAAGGACATAAGAAAGCAAAAAGACAATCCACAGAATGAGATAAATATTTGTAAACTGTGTATCTGATAAGGGTCTAGTAACCAGAATATATAAAGAATTTTTGCTTGGGTGCAGTGGCTCATGCCTTTAATCTCAGCATTTTGGGAGGCTGAGGTGGGAGGATCTCTTGAGCCCAGGAGTTTGAGACCAGCCTTGACAACAATTGAGACTCCCATCTCTTACAAGACAATTTATTTTTTAATTATCCAGGCCTGGTGGCATGCACCTGTAGTTCCAGCTACTTGGGGGGCTGAGGCAGGAGGATCACTTGAGTCCACAAATTCAAGGCTGCAGTGAGCTATGATTGTGCCACCACATTGCAGCCTGAACAATAGAGCAAGATCCTGTCTCTAAAAAAATAAAAATCTACAACTCAACGACAAAAAGACAAATAATTTAAAAATGGACAAAGGGGCCAGGCGCAGTGGCTCACGCCTGTAATCCCAACACTTTGGGAGGCTGAGTCAGGCAGATCACAAGGTCAGGAGATCGAGACCATCCTGGCCAACATGGCGAAACTGTGCCTCTACTAAAAATAAAAAATTAGCTGGGCGTGGTGGCACGTGCCTGTGATCCCAGCTACTTGGGAGGCTGAGGCTGGAGCGGGAGTCAGAGGTTGCAGTGAGCCGAGATTGCACGCCACTGCACTCCAGCCTGGCGACAGTGAGACTCCATCTCGGGAAAAAAAAAAAAAAAAAAGGACAAAGGACTTGCTTAGCATTTATCCAGAGAATATATGCAAATGGCCAATAAGCACATGAAAAGATGTTCAACATCTGTTGTCATTAGGGCAACACAAATCAAAACCACAATGGGGTGCCACTTCACACCCACTAGAATTCTATAATTAACACACACACAGAAAATAACAAGTGTTGGAAAGGATGTCAAGAAATTGGAACCCTCATGCATTGCTGCTGGAAGTGCAGAATGGTGTAGCCACTGTGGAAAACAGTTTGGTTGTTTCTCAAAAGCTGAAACATAGTACTACCAAATGAACCAGCAATCCCAAAATCACTGAAAGCAGAGGATCAAACGTATCTCACATTAATGTTGATAGCAGCACTATTCACAATAGCCAAAGGGTGGAAACAACCCAATGTTCATCAACAGATGAATGGATAAACAAAATGTCTTCTATCCGTGCAAGGGAATATTACTCAGCCATCAAAAGGAACGAAGTTCTGATACTTGCCACAGCATGGATGAACCTTGAAAACAGTATGCTAAGTGACAGAAGCTAGATGTGAAAGGCCACATATTGTAATTCCAAGCATATGAAATGTCCAGAATAGGCAAATGTATAGAGACAGAAAGCAAATTGGTAGTTGCCAGGTGTTGGAGGGAAGAGGGAATGAGGAGTGACCACCTGGTGGGCACAGGATTTCCTTTTGGACTGATGAAAATGCCTTTCAACTAGAGGGGCAGTTACACAACGCTGTAAATACACTAACACCACTGAGTTGCACACTTTTAAATGGTTACTTTTATGTTATGTGAATTTCACTTCAATTAAAAACACACAGGTTAAAAAAAAAAAAAAAAAAAAAAAAAGGACAGGCCAGCCCAGTGGCTCACGCCTGTAATCCCAGCACTTTGTTTTTTGTTTGTTTGTTTGTTTGTTGTTTTTGAGACAGAGTCTCGTTCTGTCACCCAGGCTGGAGTGCAGTGGCGCGATCTTAGCTCACTGCAACCTCTGCCTCCGAGGTTCAAGCGATTCTCCTGCCTCAGCCTCCTGAGTAGCTGGGATTACCGGCGCCTGCCATCATGCCTGCCTAATTTTTGTATTTTTAGTAGAGACAGCGTTTTTCCATGTTGACCAGGCTGGTCTTGAACTGCTGACCTCAGGTGATCTGCCCATCTCAACCTCCCAAAGTGCTGGGATTACAGGTGTGAGCTACCCTGCCCAGCCTAATCCCAGCACTTTGGGAGCTGGAGGCAGCTGGATCACTTGAGTCCAGGAGTTCAAGACCAACCTGGCCAACATGGCAAAACCCCACCTCTACAAAAATTACAATAAATTAACCAGGCATGATAGCATGCACCTGTAGTCCCAGCTACTCAGGAGGCTGAGGCAGGAGGATCACCTGAGCCAGGGAGGTTGAGGACGCAGTGAGCTCACTACACACCAGCCTGGGTAACAGAGTGAGACCCTGTCTCAAAAAAAAAAAAAAAAAAAATGAACAGGCATTTAACAACATTTGTACTATCATTAGGAAAAAATAGCTTTCTTAAATTCCTGCTTATTGAAAAATAGATTGAAATAATTTATAAATATTGCAGTGTCACCAAATATCCTTCATTGATAAACTACAGATTTAAGGATGGCGACAGAAGAGCAGATGTAGTGAAAGGCTTTGTACTTAGTGTAAATGCCATTATGAGAGAAGTTCAGCTGAGACCTGTTTTAAATAGTCACTTGCTTAGATACTGAGCATGATTCTGTGTGAGGCGTCAGTCTGTGTGTCTGGCCATGTGGCTGTGTCACCAAGCTGCAGGACAGCAGGACTCTGCTGCCATCCAGGCCTCTGGTTCCTCCAGAGGTCCCTTGGCTGAGAAGAGCTCCCTGTGTTGAAGGTCTGGATGTCGCCTGGGTTCTGCAGGTCTCATCAGACTCCACTAAGAATGAAAACAACCTTCTCCAAGGAGAAATGGCCTTGCCATGGGTTAAGAGTAAAAAATTCCCATCTCACCAGCTCCAGGTGATTGGGGATAGAGCGTTCCTAGACAGTAATAGCTGATCCCTCCCAGGAATGGAGGACCCAGTTATGAGGTTCATCAAAGCTGGGGTCAGCTAACGGACACCAAGTATTCGCCCGGAAGGAGAATGCTATGGCACTGGAGGAAAGTAACCATCCCTCCTTAACCCATTCATTAACTTTATATACACAAACCACAAATTTACAGAATGGCATAGTAAGCAGGAAGCCAGTGAAAGGTGATCCCAGGCCACCAACACCACCAACAATGTGTGGTTTAATATGACAGTTGGACATGCTTGTTATAAGATTTTTTCATTTTTAAGACTGAAAAGTGCAACAAAGGAAGATAAAACCTTTCCACTGGGCCGGGCGCAGTGGCTCACGCCTGTAATCCCAGCACTTTGGGAGGCTGAGGCGGGCGGATCACGAGGTCGGGAGATCGGGACCATCCTGGCTAACACGGTGAAACCCCGTCTCTACTAAAAATACAAAACAAAATTAGCCAGGCGTGGTGGCGGGCGCCTGTAGTCCCAGCTACTGGGGAGGCAGGAGAATGGTATGAACCCGGGAGGCGGAGCTTGCAGTGAGCCAAGATCGAGCCACTGCACTCCAGCCTGGGTGACAGAGCGAGACTCCTTCTCACAAAAAAAAAAAAAAAAAAAACAAAACACGCAACCTTTCCATTGTCCCATCCCCCAGAGATAAGCACTGCAAACATTCGGTGATATCCTGCCAGTGTCATAGAAACAGGTATAACCATTTTAATTAAATTAGGATCTCAGTATAGCTACTGATTTCAAACCTGCTTTTTAAACTTATTAGAAACATTTTTCATTTCAGTTAATAATGCTTCTACAACCTGATTTTTAATGGCTATGTAGCATTCATCATATAAGTATCCCATTACTCATTTCCAAATTTCCTAATGTAGTCATTTAATTTTTTTGCTATTATAAATAATACTGCATATACATGTAGCTTTTTACAGCTCTCTGGTTTTCTTTTCATCTGAGGATAAGTCCCTATCAGAACTTATTTTTGAGACAGGGTCTCACTGTGCCACCCAGGCTGGAGTGCAGTGGTGTGATCTTGGCTCATTGCAGCCTCTGCCACGCGGGCTCAAGCCTCCCAGACTCAAGGGATTATCCCACTAGGCCTGGCTAATTTTGTAATTTTTTTAGTAAAGACGGGTTTTCGCCATGTTGGCCAGGCTGGTCTCAAACTCCTGACCTCAGGTGATCCACCCCCCTTGGCCTCCCAAAGTGCTGGGATTACAGGCGTGAGCCACCGCACCCGGCCAGAACTTCTTAAAAAGACAGCATCTTTAAGGCTTTTGATTTATGTTGCTATATTGTTTCTTTGGACTGACTTAATTTTAAATCTTTTTTATGATCAGAGAAAAAAGTTTTGTTTATAGGATACCAATTTTTGTCTCTTTAATTTCTTATTAGTATTTTTTCCATAACTCTTTTTGCACAGTGTTATCAAAGAAACAAGCTTCTGAGTGAATTTAGAAAACAATCTGTCCACCAGGCGTGATGGCTCACACCTGTAATCCCAGCACTTTGGGAGGCTGAGAGGCAGGTGGATTGCTTGAACCCAGGACTTCAAGACAAGCCTGGGCAACATGTCAAAGCCCCACCTCTACAAAAAATACACAAATTAGCTGGGCATGGTGGTGTGTACCTGTAGTCCCAGCTACTTGGGTGGTGGGGGGGCTGGTTTGCTGAGGTGGGAAGATTGCTGGAGCCAGGAAGTGGAGGCTGCAGTGAGCCAAGATCATGCCATTGCACTCCCCTTTGGGTGACAGAGAGAGGTGAGACCTTGTCTCACAGAAAAAAAAAAAGAAAGAAAGAAATGAATCTGATATGCATTCTTTTTTTTCAAAACAGGCCCACATGGAAAAAGGCAAAACTAAAAGATCACTACTAAAAAGTCAAACATTGATTCAGTGTTTTGGGATCAGCCAGTGAGCTAGTGTAGTTACATACAGTTGGAGAGAGAGAGGGTTAGTGAATTAACCAGACAGTGCTGTTATGAACATTATAACTTAAATGAATAAATTAGGTTTCCTTCAACAACATATTCCAGCAGACACTTTCTGATAGCAAAGATATAATGATCAAATACAATCTTCTAAAGTTAACATGCAAAGCCAGGCACGGTGGCTGTCTCCTATAGTCCCAGTTACTCTGGAGGCTGAGGCAGGAGGATCACTTGAGCCCAGGAGTTTGAATCTAGACTTTACAACACAGTGAGACACCATCTCTAAAATTAAATTAAGTAATAACATCTTAGGTTCTCTTTAGCAGCTCATTATGCGCTATTAAATTCTTTTTAATTTTAAAAAGTTAATTTGTAAAACATGTTCATTATATTCATATTCTTGGGTTAGTGTTACATTCTCCAAGACATAACTGTGAAACCTTTGTAGTTAATGGCAGTATGTCACCAGAGTGCCTCTTTTCCTATCGAACAAACTAGACAGAAGTTCAATTCTGCAGTGACAAGACACAGAGTAGCATAGAGTTCACCTGAACCTGACCTTCACCCCACCCAGCTCATTCTCTGAATTCTTTGTGCCTTCACAGTAATCAGTATTTAACTGTTCTCCAGTCTTCTCTTACCTTTATTTAAAAAAAGCAAATGCTGAGCCAGTTCCTCAAATATGTATGAATTATGTTTATATTTGCAACATAAATGTAGTGGCTTGCTGACATTTGTCATGTTCAAAATTATATACTTTGAATATAATTTTGAAAGATGTTAAATGCCTTCATGGATTTAAGGATATTTTCTCTTGTTCAGCAATATTTATATTATAAAGTAGGATGTTTACAATAAAATATGGGTGCTCAATCACAAGCTAAAAGCAGTTAAGTAGTTTAACATACGTTAAATGGGGCTGGGCACGGTGGGTGGCTCATGCCTGTAATCCAAGCACTTTGGGAGGCCGAGGCAGGCAGATCAGGAATTTGAGACCAGCCTGGCCAACATAGTGAAACCCCATCTCTACTAAAAATATGAAAAATTAGCTGTGCACGGTGACGCACGCCTGTAATCCCAGCAACTTGGGAAGCTGAGGCAGGAGAATTGCTTGAACCTGGGAGGCGGAGGTTGCAATGAGTCGAGATCAAGCCACTGCACTC
This sequence comes from Homo sapiens, assembly GCF_000001405.40. Lineage (NCBI taxonomy): Eukaryota > Metazoa > Chordata > Mammalia > Primates > Hominidae > Homo > Homo sapiens. The sequence goes on from NC_000018.10 coordinate 11,799,082, forward strand.
CAGCCTGGGCAACAGAGCGAGAGTCTGTCTCAAAAAAAAAAAAAAAGTTAAATGAACACACCTTTTAACATCTTTGGAAATTAAGCCTCAAACTAATGAACCCCAGGATCCCAAGCCCATATCCCCATGTGTCCCCAGCCACAGGGACAGTCTGTCCCTCTGAGGCTGCTTTTGAAAGAAAGTATCATGTCTCCAGCCCAGAAGCACTGTGAGTACTTCACCACTCTGTTGTCTTAGGGAAAGTGTAAAGCCATTTTTGAACGCCTTCCATGATATCTGTTCATTGCTCTGTCTTAAACATAAATGTTCTCTTATTTCTACAATGAGAAATTATTCAAATATTTTACTAGCTTTCTACAATAGCACAGGGGTATAATAGGGTCACTGTCCAGCCCTCAGCAAGTTCTAGCCTTCAGTTTGCTATCAGCTGACACACCCATAGTTATTACAGCTTGACCATGTGTAATCCAGAAATCCAACATTCAAAAGGCTCCAAAATCCTAAATGTTCTGAGCGCTTACATGACACTCAAAGGAAATACTCACTGGAGTATTTCAAATTTCAGATTTCTGGATTAGGGATGCTCAACCTACGTATAAAAAAAATCCAATATATGAAATACTTTTGGCCCCAGCCATTTCAGATAAGGGATATTCAGCCTGTACTACTTTTGCATATAGTTTTTTTTTAAGTGGTGCTTTTAAATTTTCAGCAGTGGACTGACAATGGCACAGTTTACAAAATGCCCCACTTTTCCTTGTCCTCAGGCAAGTGTGCACCTGTCTGTCTGGTGCTCCCTGAGGCCTTCTCTCTCCCTCTCTCTCGCCCCTCACTCTTCACTGTCTTTCCCTCCCCCTGTACGTGTCCCTTTTTCCCTCTCCATTCCTTTTCCCTATTTTTTGTCATATATCTCTACCCTTTACTGGCCATGAAACTAAAATGTCACTGTCATTATTATTATTTGCTTTATTTATTAAATTGAATCCTATGGCACGTGCTGTTTTTTCCCATTAGGTCAACAACCTTCAACAATGAACAATGATGTATATTCATGTCTTCATACATTTCTTTCACACATAGTATACGTGATAGATAGATGATAGGCAGTCAGATTGGTGGATGGGTGAGTGGATGGATGGATAATACAAGTGATGATAGATGGAACATAGATAGATAGATAGATAGGATTGATTAAATAAGATAAGATGACGAGCAGCAGGTGTCCAATCCACCCCTGCAGTGAGGGCAGATATTTAAGGGTCTTGTGGGGGTAACATTGCAAACTGCGAATTGGGAGAATTGCTGAACATGTACATTGCTTATTATCCTCTCACTGGTCATAATTAAGAATTCTACAGGCATGAAAGGATGGGCTCGTGATGGATACTCTGGGGTGGCCTGTAAGTGCCAAGAAGCAGTTTATTGTTGTGTGGGAGCAGCATTTGCTGGGAAAAGGAGGTATATGTCCTGCCAGAAGCCCACGGAATGAAAGAGGCCACTGCCTTTGGTAGGATGTCCCTGAGGCCATGGCCCAGGTTGAATTTGTTCTTTGCCAATTTATATGGTGGTGGGTTATACTCAGGTACAGCAGAAATCAGGAAGGGGCCAGGCGGCCTCTGGGAGACTCGTGGGGCTGTCATGTGGAAGGTGCTTTCTCTTCCGCAGGCTTCTCTGTCATAGGAAGGAAAGCCACTTAACATTTCCTAGTCCATTCATTATCAATTACATGAATTATGTATGACTTTCTGAGGATAATTGTGTTCTTGGATGCCAGAAAAGTTGCTTTCTAAATTACTTATGAAGTAGAACCAGGACAAACATGGTCTAAACACCAAAATACAACTCCCACTTGCAGACACAAACCCAATTCCCATCACCTCAAAGTTGCTAACAAATAATTGATATGAATTTTCAACCTAATTCACATAGGCTTTTGGCATGGAGGTGAAACTGTACAACAAAGTAGGTAGAAGACAGAGTGAGAGAAGACACTTCCTGGAAAAGTTTATTCATCCACTGCTCATGAAACAAATATTTACTGAACTCTTAGCATGTGTCAAGGGCAATGCTAAGTGCTTGATATACATCAGGAACAAAACAAAAAGATATCTGCCCTGGGGGAGCTTATAGTATAGGGGGTGATACAGAGAATGAATGAAACATAATAAATCAATAAACCACAGTGTGGGCTGGGCGCAGTGGCTCACGCCTGAAATAACAGCACTTTGGGAGGCCAAGGCAGGTGGATCACCTGAGGTCAGGAGTTAAAGACCAGCCTCGCCAGCATGGTGAAACCCCATGTTTCTACTAAAAATATAAAAATTAATCAGGCGTGGTGGTGCACATCTGCAGTCCTAGCAACTAGGGAGGCTGAGACAGGAGAATCGCTTGAACCCGGGAGGCGGACCTTACAGGTCATTGTAGGAACTCTTAGTGAATAAGGTCCCGTTGGAGGATTTTGAGTGGAGGAGGGGCCCTAGCTGACCTACACTGTGAAAACATCACCCTGGCCACTGTTTCAGAAGATGCCATAGAGAGGCAAGGAGACCAGGCTGCTGCTATAATCTGGGTGAGAGGTGCGGATGGTTGGAATCATGGAAGTAGTGAGATTCAATTTGGATCCAGTTTGAAAGTAGAGCCTTGCTGATGTGATGGATGTGGCTCGTGATAGCAAGAGAAGCATCAGGGATGATGTCATGGTTTATTCTGAGCCATTGGGAAGACAAACCTGCCTTCCCCTGTGGTCTGAAGGCTGCAGGTGGAGCAGGTCCCGGGGGTCAGGAGTTCGAGCCTGGCCATGCTGAGTTTAAGATGTGCATTAGACACCTGAGTAGGGACCTCCTTCACCATCTGTAAGGAACTGGTAATAGCAATAATCAGTATAATAATCAAGCATAATCATGGCAAAAATCACTGCAATACATAGCTGTCATATTTACAGTTTTAACTTTTTCAAATATAAACTTGGTTACCTGTTTCCCTGAAAGTTTAGGGACATTTTTTTTCTGGTAGGAAGACTACTTGCCAAGAAAATTTCATTTTCTTTATATTTAGAGTCAAGTTAGCAAAAAGCGATAAAATAAAGAGTATGCTCCTTACGAACTTCGCCCGAAAATCCTTTTGCTGGCCACTTATTTTGTTGTTTGGCCCTAAAAGACTGATGACAGGGTAAGAACTGAAACCATTCTGTTTACGGAGTTCCTCAAGTCATGGACAGTCCTGGGAAATGTCAAGTCCTTACTGGATTACCTGAACTGGTTGGAAGGGAGCTGTCCACCAGTGCTTGCTCCTCATGGTTTCTTGCTTTTGCCTTGGTGATGTGGTTGAATTCCCCACTGCCACCCTACACCCAGGCGTACTTCTTGATTTCGAAACACACTCATCACCATACTCTTGAGACCAGTCTTGTTGCAGGCAGTGGCTCACCCTCTAGTCCACATCCCTGACCTCTGCACTCATGGTCCTGAAGCAGAGCTCTGGGATTCTCTTCATCCAAACCCCCAGTGACTTCCCATCCATCCACAGATTCCAAAACTGGTCACTGCATATTTCTATATCAGGCGTAATTCTAGCTACTATGAATTAAAAGCTTCTTATGAAGCTGAGTCTCTGTTAGGAGAAACAAACCAATAAGAAAATCAGCACACAGTGTGTTGATGGCTGATGCGTGGGTGGGAAAGAAGAATAAAGCGGGGTAGGGACTGCCGGGTGGCAGGGAGTTGCCATTTTCTCCGGGGCTGCGGAGGATGTGGCATCTGAGCAGAAGCTGGTAGAAGGGAAGGGCACGGCAGTGGCCCAAGGAGGCAGGCTCTCGAGTTCGAGAGGTACCCGGGCTGTGTGTCTGGAGAAGAGTGAGCCAGGCTGGGTGGGGAGGGGAATCAGGGAGCCAGGGAATGGGGAGGTCAGATGACGAGAGGCTTTAGGTTTCACTTGGAGATGGAAAGTACTGGATTGTTTTTGTTTTGTTTTCATAATATATTCTTTTATTGTGATAAAATACATATAACATAAATTTTACCATCTTAGTCATTATTCAGTGCACCTTCTGTGGCATAGAACATTCACACTGTTGTGCAACCATCACCAAGATCCATCTCCAGAACTTTCTCATCTTCCCAAAATGAAACTTTGTGCTCATGAGACAACTCCCAACTCCTTCCTCCCCACAGCCCCTGGCAACGATGCTTCTACTTTCTGTCTCTATGATTTTGACTTATGTAAGTGGAATCATCCAGTATTCGTCCTTCTGTGACAGGCTCATGTCACTTAGCACAAAGTCCTCAAGCTTTATCAATGTTGTAGCATGTGTCAGAACTGCCTTCCTTTGTAAGGATGAATGATACTCCATTGTGTGTCTAGACTGCATTTCCATTATCCATTCTTCTGCCCATGGACACTTGGATTGTAGCATTGGGTTGCTTGGGGTTTTTTGTTACCAGTTTTTATATATTATCTTTATTATTATTTGTGTATATTTAAAGAGGACAAGTGCAATTTGAATGGAACATGGAGATATTGTGTAGTGGTGAAGTGCAGGTGCAGTTTGGATGGAACACGGAGATACTGTGTAGTGGTGAAGTACAGGTGCAGTTTGGATGGAACACGGAGATATTGTGTAGCGGTGAAATACAGGTGCAGTTTGGATGGAACACGGAGATACTGTGTAGTGGTGAAGTACAGGTGCAGTTTGGATGGAACACGGAGATACTGTGTAGTGGTGAAGTACAGGTGCAGTTTGGATGGAACACGGAGATACTGTGTAGTGGTGAAGTACAGGTGCAGTTTGAGTGGAACATGGAGATTCTGTGTAGTGGTGAAGTACAGGTGCAGTTTGGATGGAACACGGAGATACTATGTAGTGGTGAAGTACAGGTGCAGTTTGGATGGAACACGGAGATACTGTGTAGTGGTGAAGTACAGGAGCAGTTTGAGTGGAACACGGAGATACTGTGTAGTGGTGAAGTACAGGTGAAGTTTGGAACACGGAGATACTGTGTAGTGGTGAAGTACAGGAGCAGTTTGAGTGGAACACGGAGATACTGTGTAGTGGTGAAGTACAGGTGCAGTTTGGATGGAACACGGAGATACTGTGTAGTGGTGAAGTACAGGTGCGGTTTGGATGGAACACGGAGATACTGTGTAGTGGTGAAGTACAGGTGCGGTTTGGATGGAACACGGAGATACTGTGTAGTGGTGAAGTACAGGTGCGGTTTGGATGGAACACGGAGATACTGTGTAGTGGTGAAGTACAGGTGCGGTTTGGATGGAACACGGAGATACTGTGTAGTGGTGAAGTACAGGTGCGGTTTGGATGGAACACGGAGATACTGTGTAGTGGTGAAGTACAGGTGCGGTTTGGATGGAACACGGAGATACTGTGTAGTGGTGAAGTACAGGTGCGGTTTGGATGGAACACGGAGATACTGTGTAGTGGTGAAGTACAGGTGCGGTTTGGATGGAACACGGAGATACTGTGTAGTGGTGAAGTACAGGTGCGGTTTGGATGGAACACGGAGATACTGTGTAGTGGTGAAGTACAGGTGCGGTTTGGATGGAACACGGAGATACTGTGTAGTGGTGAAGTACAGGTGCGGTTTGGATGGAACACGGAGATACTGTGTAGTGGTGAAGTACAGGAGCGGTTTGAGTGGGACACGGAGATACTGTGTAGTGGTGAAGTACAGGTGCAGTTTGAGTGGAACACGGAGATACTGTGTAGTGGTGAAGTACAGGTGCAGTTTGAGTGGAACACGGAGATACTGTGTAGTGGTGAAGTACAGGTGCAGTTTGGGTGGAACACGGAGATACTGTGTAGTGGTGCAGTACAGGTGCAGTTTGGGTGGAACACGGAGATACTGTGTAGTGGTGAAGTACAGGTGCAGTTTGAGTGGAACATGGAGATACTGTGTAGTGGTGAAGTACAGATGCAGTTTGAATGGAACATGGAGATACTGTGTAGTGGTGAAGTACAGGTGCAATTTGAGTGGAACATGGAGATACTGTGTAGTGAAGTACAGGTGCAATTTGAGTGGAACATGGAGATATTGTGTAGTGGTGAAGTACAGGTGCAATTTGAGTGGAACATGGAGATACTGTGTAGTGGTGAAGTACAGGTGCAATTTGAGTGGAACATGGAGATACTGTGTAGTGGTGAAGTACAGGTGCAGTTTGAGTGGAACATGGAGATATTGTGTAGTGGTGAAGTACAGGTGCAATTTGAATGGAACATGGAGATACTGTGTAGTGGTGAGGTACACGTGCAATTTGGATGGAACATGGAGGTATTCTGTACTGGTAAAGTACAGGTGCAGCTTGGGTGGAACATGGAGATATTGTGTAGTGGTGAAGTCTGAGTTTTTAGTATATCCATCACCCAAATAATGTACGTTGTACCCATTAAGTAATTTTTCATCATCTACCCCCCACCAACCCCCTCACCCTTTTGAGTCTCCTGTGTCCATCATTCTACAGTCTATGTCCTGTATACTGATTATTTAGCTCCCACTTGTAAGTGAGAACATGTGGTGTTTGTTTTTCTGTTTCTGAATTGTTTTCCTTAAGATAGTGACCTCCAGTTCCCTCCATGTATCTGCAAAAGACATGATTTCACTTTTTTATGGCCAAAAAGTATTCTATTGCGTGTATATATACCACATCCAGTCATCCATGGGTGAGCACTTTGGTTGATTCCATATCTTTGCAATTGTGAATATCACTGTGATACACATATGAGTGTAGGTATCTTTTTGACATAATGATTTCTTTTCCTTTGGATATATACCTAGTAGTGAGATTGCAGGATAGAATGGTAGTTCTATTTTTGATTATTTGAGGAATCTCCATACTGTTTTCCATAGAAGTTGTGCTAATTTACATTCTTAAGAACAATGTATAAGTGTCCCTTTTCTCTCCATCCTCCCCAGCATGTTATTTTTTTGTCTTTTTAGTAATAGCCATTCTGACTGCTATAAGATGATATCTCACTGTGGTTTTAATTTGCATTTATCTGATGATTAGTTATGTTGAGCATTTTTTCATATGCTTGTTGGCCATTTGTATGTCTTCTTTTTAAAAGTGTCTATTCATGTCATTTGCCCACTTTTTAATGGGATTATTTGGGGGTTTTTGTAGAGTTGAGATTTTTATAAATTCTGGACATAGTCCCCTGTCAGATGCAGAGTTTGCAGATATTTTCACTCATTCTGCAGGTTGTCTGTTCACTCTGCTGATTATTTCTTTTGCTGTGCAGCAGCTTTTTAGTTTAATTAAGTCCCATTTGTCTATTTGTGTTTTCGTTGCATTTGCTGTTGAGGTCTTAGTCATGAATTCTTTGCCTAGACCAATGTCCAGAAGAGTTTTCCCTAGGTTTCCTTTTAGTATTTTTATAGTTTCAAGTCTTACAATTAAGCCTGTAATCCATCTTCAGTCGATTTTTGTATATAGTGAGAGATAGGTTACCCCTCTCAGGAACAGTGAGTATTAGAGGAAAAAGAATTCGAAGGAAGAAAGAAACTGTGTGCCCAGCATTGCGGCCCATTAACTGTCCTTCCACTTTGATATTCACATAGACGTCCTCCTGTTGAGGGAGGCTGGTGAAAGGGAAGCAGGGCTGAAGAATACCAAGGGCCTTCTCAATATTGTGAAGTACTCTTTTTTTTTTTTTTTTAACTTTTATCTTAAGTTCAGGGATAATTTGTTACACAGAAATGATTTGTTCTCATCATTTAGCTCACACTTATAGGTGAGAACATGTGTTATTTGGTATTCTGTTCTTGTGTTAGTTTGCTAAAAATAACCTGCAGCTCGAGCTCCTGACCTCAAGTGATCCGCCCGCCTCGGCCTCCCACAGTGCTGGTATTACAGGCGTGAGTCATCACAACTGGCCTGGCCAACATGGTGAAACCCCGTCTCTACTAAAAATACAAAAATTAGCCGGGCATGGTGGCGCACGCCTGTAGTTCCAGCTACTGGGGAGGCTGAGGCAGGAGAATTGCTTAAACCTGGGAGGCAGAGGTTGCAGTGAGTGGAGATTGTGCCAATACACTCCAGCCTGGGTGATAGAGCGAGACTCTGTCTCAAAAAAAAAAAAGAAAGAAAGAAAAGAACAACCTCCAGCTCTACATCCTCGCAAAGGACATGGTCTCATTCTTTTTACAGCTGCATAGTAATCATTGGATTGTTTTGAGCCCACCTGTAATGCGATTTGACTTATGGTTTCAACGATTCACTGGCTGCTGAGTGGAATGGACTGTGGTGAGAAGGGTGGGAACAGACCAGATAGGAGGCTGTGGCCATAACTGCGTGGACTAGATGATGATGGCTTCAGTCAGGAATTTAGCAGTGCGAGAATCAGAATCTGGATAGATTCTCAAGGTACAGCCAAGAGTATTTCCTTAAAGATCACAGGGATGTCTCCAAGGAGTTTGGCCTAAGCCGGGCCGTGGGGGGAAACCGCAGGTGGAGCAGGTTTGGGGAGGAAGATTAAGAGTTCTGTTTGGCACTTGCTGAGTTGTAGTTGCCTGTTGAATTCAAGCAGTGATGTCAGGCAGGCAATTGGATGTGCAAGTCCAGAATTCAGAGGAGAGGCCTAAGCTGGAGATGTCCATTTGGAGTCACTAGTATATTCATGGTGTGCATGCCACAAAGTGGAGATCGCCAAGGCAGTGAGCTTACATAGAGAGGGGGGCCCAGCACCAACCCTGGATCCCTCTAGGATTAGGAGGCTGTGGGAAGAGAGGGAGCCAGCAGTGAACCCTGAGCAAAAGTGGCCATGATGTCTTGAAGGCCAAGACAGTGTTTCACGGGGAGGGTGTAGTCAGCCCTGTCAGGTGCTAATGATGAGCCAGGTCAGATGAGGACCAAGGTCCCCTGAAAGCAGCCTGAATGTCATTGGTGACCCTCATCACACAGGAGAAACCACACTTCCTTGTCCAGCCCAGCCTTCTTTTTTTTTTTTTTTTAAAGACTTTGTTTGTCCCTACTCTACCCTCACAGGTCTTCTTACCCATTCCAGGACCATGATAAATATTTGCTGAGTGAATCGGTGAATGACAGGCCTTACTTTGGTTGAGTCACTCTGCAGGGAGTGGAAGGAATCGCCACTCTCCCCAGACTCTACTCTCCTCCAATCACTCACCCTGCACTCCAAGCTCCAAAGCAAAAGAGCGCCTCTGCCCGTTTTACTGCTGTCCCTCTTCCCTCACAGTGTGGCCCAGGAAGCTCAGAAAGTGGCTGTGGCTGGAGCAGAAGGCCAGGAAGAGGTACTAAGCCAGGCTTTGGGGCTTTCTTATTTGATTATTTGGAATTGTCAGGAATTCCAAGAATGTTGGGACTATCTCTGTGCGAATTTAAATCTGAAACGCATTAGAAAGTTAGATAAGTGTTACCCTCATGTAACATCTGCCATGCTACCCACCTGGATAGGATAAATAGTAGAGTTTTTAATGAAGTTATTAAATGTTCAGAGAGGAATTAATCATGTTGAGTGACTAATTCCAACTAGAAACTCTTGTAATATATATAGATCCAGATGTTTCTCTTGGGAAAGAAAGGAGTCCCATTCCCAGGCATGTATCCAAACGGAATGAAAACATACATCAAGACTAAAACTTGCACACGAATGTTTATAGCAGCATTACTCAATAATAGCCAAAAAGTAGAAACAGCCTAAATGTTCATCAAATGACAGATGGATCAACAAATGTGTCCGATCCATGTAATGGAATGCCGTTCGGCAATAACAAGGACTGAAGTGCTGACACATGCCATATCAGAGATGACCCTTAGAAACATCATGCTAAGTCAGAGAAGCCAGTCACAAAAGGCCACATATTGTGTGACTCCATTTATAGGAAACGTCCAGCATAGGCAAATTTGTAGAGACAGAAAGGAGGGACCAGGCATGGTGGCTCGTGCCTATAAATCCCAGCACTTTGGGAGGCCAAGGCGGGCAGATCACCTGAGGTCAGGGGTTCAAGACCAGCCTGGCCAACATGGCAAAACCCTGTCTCTACCTAAAAAACAAAAATTAGCTAGGTGTTGTGGCATGCACCTGCAATTCCAGCTGCTAAGGAGTCTGAGGCAGGAGAATCACTTAAACCTGGGAAGCGGAAGTTGCAGTGAGCTGAGATCGTGCCACTGCCCTCCAGCCTGGGCGACAGAGCGAGACTCTATCTCAAAAAAAAAAAGGAAGAAAGCAGGAGGCTGGGGGAGGAGAAATGAGGAGTGTCTGCTAATGGGTCATGCAGAATTGCTTTTCTTGGTGATAAAAATGTTCCAAAATTGATGGTGGTGATGAAGGCACAACTCTACAAATATTCTAGAGAGACCATTGAATTCTACACTTAAGATTGTTGAATTGTATGGTATATAAATTATATCTCAATAAAGCTGTGACATGAAAAAATAGAAAGAGGCTGAGGTGGGTGGATCACTTGAGGCCAGGAGTTGGATACCAGCCTGGCCAACATGGCAAAACCCCGTCTCTACTAAAACTACAAAAATTAGCAAGGCATGGTGGCATACATCTGTAATCCCAGCTACTTGAGAGGCTGAGACATGAAACTCACTGGGCCCCACAAGGCAAAGGTTGCAGTGAACCAAGATCAAGCCACTGCACTCCAGTCTGGGCAACAGAGTAAGATTCTGTCTCAAAAAAGACAAACAGACAAAAAATAGAAAGAGGGAAAATGTAAAACTTGAAATATTTGAGTCCAAGAACTGGAAGAAGTATTTAAGATTATCTAGTGCAAACCACAAGTATAGAATTACAAGGTGTTTGAATTTCTTTGGACAATATTCTTTCCCTTTTATGTCAGTTATTTGTTGACAGACTTACAGCTACTGCAGAATTACAGAGGGGCTCAGTGGCTGCCTTTGAAATCTTTCCTTTTGTATGTATGTGGAAATTGTAATCCCCTCATACCTTTAAGCTAGTGCAGGTGTTGAGCTTCCTGTAGCCACTGAGGTTCCCCAGAGCTAGGGGCTGCACCTTCTCAGAACAAAAGCTCAATAGAACAAAAACCCTTGGCTGGGCAGGGCGGCTCACGCCTATAATGTCAGCACTTTGGGAGGCCGAGACAGATGCATTGCTTGAGCTCAGGAGTTGTCAGAACCAGGCTGGACAACATAGCGAGAACCTGTCTCTACTAAAAATACAAAAAAATAGCCAGGCGTGGTGGTGTGCGCCTGTGGTCCCAGCTACTCAGGAGGCTGAGGT